>NC_000016.10:69410985-69714015 GCF_000001405.40 Homo sapiens | reverse complement strand
TAGTCCCAGGTACTCGGGAGGCTGAGGCAAGATAGTTGCTTGAACCCGGGAGGCAGAGGTTGCAGTGAGCCGAGATCGCACCACTGCACTCCAGGCTGGGTGACAGAGCGAGCCTCCATATCAAAAACAAAAACAAAAAAAAAATTAGCCGGATGTGGTGGTGGGCACCTGTAATCCCAACTATTTGGGAGGCTGAGGCAGGAGAATCACTTGAACCCGGGAGACAGTTTGCAGTTGGTTGAGATGGTGCTACTGCACCCCAGCCTGGGCAACAGAGCCAGACTCTGTCTCACAGGAAAAAAAAAATGAAATAATAAAATAAAATAAAACGCTCCAGAGAAAAAGGGGGTCATGGGTCGAGCTAAAACTAGAATAGCAGAATACTGAGAGGTGAAGGTGAGTGATAGATGCAGCACTATTTTCTCATTTACATGTGTTAAAAATTTCCATAATAAAAACAAAAGAAGGCCTGTCTTCATTTTTTGGAGGCCCAAATCCTGCACAGGGAACCCTTCGAGACCTTCCAGATGAAAGAGCTTGTCCTACGCCATGCCTAGCCCGTGGGAGGATGGATAAGAACAACCAATAACTCCACCTAGGCAGCCAGCAGCCAGCACTGATTTTGGATATGGTGACAGCCTCGTCCTAAGCCACATGTGGGGGTTTGGAATCCTTCATTTGCCCCAGGCCACCGGTCTGTAGACCATCTAGGCTGGCACTCCTGCAGAGTCATATTATGTAGCTCAGGGGAGCCAAAGTATGAAGTAATATAAACAGCAAATAGGACAGACTTGTGTGTTCTTTTCCCTGGAGCTGTTTCATTAACTTCTTGTCACCAAGGGGATGTGGAGGGAAGTGAAGTTTGTTATTGCTTTTTCTTTTGCAGAGTAAGAAGGCAGTGCTTTCCATCACCACTGGTGGCAGTGGCTCCATGTACTCTCTGCAAGGGATCCACGGGGACATGAATGTCATTCTCTGGCCAATTCAGGTACCTCATTTTCTTTTCTTTTCTTTTTTTTCTTTGAGACGGAGTCTCACTCTGTCATCTAGGCTGGAGTGCAGTGACACCATCTTAGTTCACTACAAGCTCCGCCCGCTGGGTTCGAGCAATTCTCCTGCCTCAGCCTACTGACAGGCACCCGCCACCACACTCGGCTAATTTTTGTATTTTTTAGTAGAGACGGGGTCTTGCCATGTTAGCCAGGCTGGTTTCAAACACTTGACCTCAAATGATTCTCCTGCCTCAGCCTCCCAAAGTGCTGTGATTACAGGCGTGAGCCACTGCACCTGGCCAGGTACCTCATTTTCAACGAACCTTCAGGGGAATTCATTCATTGAGCCTTCGTGGGGTTCAAAACCTCAAGATAGCATCTGAAAATAGATCTTGAGTTGTGAAGATGAAAGCATGGTCATAATTCAGAATGATGGGAGCCTCCTTTAAGAACCTGCCTGCCTTCCCAGGTGCCTGTGTGTGAACACACCTGCGTGTGCATGTGTTCAAACAGCATTCTGTCCCAGCCAAGGACTAGTGTGAATCACTACTCTTGATTTGTATAGCCGTGGGCCCTGGTCTCACCAGATGACTGACATCTCTCTCCAGCCTTCCTGTCCTTCTCCAGGTTGCTGATACAGTCCCATAGACTATTAGAGCCCAAGACAATTTAAGAAATGATTTACTGGGAGGCTGAGGCAGAAGGATCGCTTGAGCCCAGGACTTTGAGACCAGCCTGGGCAACATATAAGACCTCATCTCTACAAAAAAAAAAAACAAAATTAGCTGGGTGTAGTCATACACCTGTGGTCCCAGCTACTTGGGAGTCTAAAGTGAGAGACCCAGGAGTTCGAGGCTGCAATGAGCTATGATCACACCACTGCATGCCAGCCTGGGATACAGGGCGAGACCCTGTTTCGAAGAAAAAGGAAATAATTTAGTCCAGCCAGTTTATACATGGATAAAACTGAAGCCTGGGGTGGGCTTATTGGTGTTACCAAACCCTCAAGATAATTTCTATAAAGAGGGAGGTTGGAGAGAAGAGCCAGTGAGTGGCCACTTATGAAAATCATTTATCAAGACTCATCTGGGCCTGTAATCCCAGCACTTTGGGAGACTGAGGCAGGCGGATCACTTGAGGTCAGGAGTTCGAGACCAGCCTGGTCAACACAGTGAAACCCTGTCTCTACTAAAGATACAAAAATTATCTGGGCATGGTGGCGCATGCCTGTAATCCCAGCTACTCGGGAGGCTGAGGCAGGAGAACCGCTTGAACCCAGGAAGTGGAAGCCGCAATGAGCCGAGATCGTGCCATGGCACTCCAGCCTGGACGACCGAGCGAGACTCTGCCTCAAAAAAAAAAAAAAAAAGAAAAAGAAAAAAAGGACTCATCTAGTTATATGGAGAGGCAGAGAAATGCACCCACGCAGGTCTTGGTGAGTCACCTGCCAAGAAACTGAGACTCCCTAAAGTAACAGAACTTCCAGCCTTCTTGGCAAAGGATCCAGGTTGGCACAGTTTCAAGGTTTATGCATTTAAAGAAGAACACACCTGAGAAGGCTAAAATTGGTAACGGCTAGGTAGAGGGTAAGAGAGAGACGCTAGCTCTGAACTGATTCTCTAGTGTGCCTGAGGCCTCCTTATCAGAGTGTCTTACTGAGAAGCCCAGACCAACTTCTGTTGTTTATAGTACAACTGCATGGAATTGGTTGACTTACCTCTCTGTGCTTTCTGTATCCTCAGAGTGGCATTCTGCATTTCTGTGGCTTCCAAGTCTTAGAACCTCAACTGACATATAGCATTGGGCACACTCCAGCAGACGCCCGAATTCAAATCCTGGAAGGATGGAAGAAACGCCTGGAGAATATTTGGGATGAGACACCACTGTATTTTGCTCCAAGCAGCCTCTTTGACCTAAACTTCCAGGCAGGATTCTTAATGAAAAAAGAGGTACAGGATGAGGAGAAAAACAAGAAATTTGGCCTTTCTGTGGGCCATCACTTGGGCAAGTCCATCCCAACTGACAACCAGATCAAAGCTAGAAAATGAGATTCCTTAGCCTGGATTTCCTTCTAACATGTTATCAAATCTGGGTATCTTTCCAGGCTTCCCTGACTTGCTTTAGTTTTTAAGATTTGTGTTTTTCTTTTTCCACAAGGAATAAATGAGAGGGAATCGACTGTATTCGTGCATTTTTGGATCATTTTTAACTGATTCTTATGATTACTATCATGGCATATAACCAAAATCCGACTGGGCTCAAGAGGCCACTTAGGGAAAGATGTAGAAAGATGCTAGAAAAATGTTCTTTAAAGGCATCTACACAATTTAATTCCTCTTTTTAGGGCTAAAGTTTTAGGGTACAGTTTGGCTAGGTATCATTCAACTCTCCAATGTTCTATTAATCACCTCTCTGTAGTTTATGGCAGAAGGGAATTGCTCAGAGAAGGAAAAGACTGAATCTACCTGCCCTAAGGGACTTAACTTGTTTGGTAGTTAGCCATCTAATGCTTGTTTATGATATTTCTTGCTTTCAATTACAAAGCAGTTACTAATATGCCTAGCACAAGTACCACTCTTGGTCAGCTTTTGTTGTTTATATACAGTACACAGATACCTTGAAAGGAAGAGCTAATAAATCTCTTCTTTGCTGCAGTCATCTACTTTTTTTTTAATTAAAAAAAATTTTTTTTTGAAGCAGTCTTGCTCTGTTACCCAGGCTGGAGTGCAGTGGTGTGATCTCGGCTCACTGCAACCTCTGCCTCCCAGGTTCCAGCAATTCTCCTGCCTCAGCCTCCCTAGTAGCTGGGATGACAGGCGCCTGCCATCATGCCTGACTAATTTTTGTATTTTTAGTAGAGACGGCGTTTCACCATGTTGGCCAGGCTGGTCTCAAACTCCTGACCTCAGGTGATCCGCCTACCTCAGCCTCCCAAAGTGCTGGGATTACAGGCGTGATCCACCACACCTGGCCCTTGCAATCTTCTACTTTAAGGTTTGCAGAGATAAACCAATAAATCCACACCGTACATCTGCAATATGAATTCAAGAAAGGAAATAGTACCTTCAATACTTAAAAATAGTCTTCCACAAAAAATACTTTATTTCTGATCTATACAAATTTTCAGAAGGTTATTTTCTTTATCATTGCTAAACTGATGACTTACTATGGGATGGGGTCCAGTCCCATGACCTTGGGGTACAATTGTAAACCTAGAGTTTTATCAACTTTGGTGAACAGTTTTGGCATAATAGTCAATTTCTACTTCTGGAAGTCATCTCATTCCACTGTTGGTATTATATAATTCAAGGAGAATATGATAAAACACTGCCCTCTTGTGGTGCATTGAAAGAAGAGATGAGAAATGATGAAAAGGTTGCCTGAAAAATGGGAGACAGCCTCTTACTTGCCAAGAAAATGAAGGGATTGGACCGAGCTGGAAAACCTCCTTTACCAGATGCTGACTGGCACTGGTGGTTTTTGCTCTCGACAGTATCCACAATAGCTGACGGCTGGGTGTTTCAGTTTGAAAATATTTTGTTGCCTTCATCTTCACTGCAATTTTGTGTAAATTTCTCAAAGATCTGAATTAAATAAATAAAATTCATTTCTACAGACCCACACTCATTGGTATCAGTGAAGCTAATGATAGTGGAATCTAGTGGGAGGCAGATCAGAGGATTCAATCACAAACTGCAGCTGGAAGCCCCTTGGTGACTGGCTTGACAACTCACCCAGCAGGGCTGCTTCCTACTAAATGGTAATAGAACAACCTATTCAGTCCTCTCAGGGAATTCAAAGGAAAGAGAGTGGTATAGAAATCAAGAAAAACAGGCTGCGTGCAATGGCTCACGCCTGTAGTAATCCCAGCATTTTGGGAGGCAAAGGCGGGTGGATCACCTGAGGTCAGGAAACCCAGTCTCTACTAAAAACTTAAAAAATTAGCTGGGCGTGGTGGTGCGGGCCTGTAATCCCAGCTACTCAGGAGGCTGAGGCAGGAGAATTGCTTGAACCCGGGAGGCGGAGGTTTCAGTGAGCCAAGATCGTGCCACTGCACTCCAGCCTGGGTGATAAGAGCGAGACTCTGTCTCCAAAAAAATAAGAGACATCTATTAAGACTGCCAGGTGAGGCTGACAAGTAGGCAGTTGGATAGGAGAAACCTGGAGTTAAGGCAGAAGTTATGGCTGGAGATGCACATTTGGGAATCTTCAACATATAGATGGTGTTTAAAGCAATGAGATTGGCTGGGATCAATCTCTTTGAGTTTTGAGAGAAGAGATTTGATGATTTACCTCTGGGGCTCGACAATGTTAGGAGATGAAGATGAGAGTGAAAAGCAGTGGTCAGATCCTTTTGTAGTTCCTAAGTGTGTTGATTGGGTGTTCACGTGCATGTGTGAGATGTGGCACCCTTGAATCTTGTTATGACATCAGTACATTTCCCGTCTGACATGAAAAAAAAAAACAAAACTGGTGTTCAGAGATGCAGGAGAGCTGAGTGTGGTGTCCCGAAAGCCAAGCGAAGAAAGTGTTTGAAGATGGCCGGGCGCAGTGGCTAACACCTGTAATCCCAGCATTTTGGGAGGCTGAAGAGGGTGGATCACCTGAGGTCAGGAGCTCGAGATCAGCCTGGCTAACATGGTGAAACCCTGTTTCTACTAAAAATACAAAAAATTAGCTGGGCATGGTGGTGCGTGCTTGTAATCCCAGCTACTAGAGAGGTTGAAGCAGGAGAATTGCTTGAACCCAAGAGGTGGAGGTTGCAGTGAGCTGAGATCACACCATTGCACTACAGCTTGGGCAACAAGAGTGAAACTCTGTCTTGAAGGAAAAAAAAAGTGTTTGAAGGAGGGAATGATCAGGTGTGTCAAATACTGCTGACAAGCCAAGCAAGACGAGGCCTGGGAAGTGACCACTGGACTTGGTCATGTGGAACCCATTTGTTGGTGACATTGACAAGCACCATTTCAGTAGAGTGGCGTGATGAAAGCCTGATTTGAATGGGTTTGAGAATGGAAGGAGAGGAATAGAAATAGTGTGGAGGAGGCTGTGTGATCAAAGAACAATTTTTTTTAAGAGATCAGGGACATTACAACAAATTTCTATGTCAATGGAAATGACTCAGAGAAAGGAAAAGTTTTGATGCTGATGACAAAGGGACATCTTTGAAAAAGCCAAAATGCTATATTTGTATATTTATCCCCTCCAAAACTCAAGTTGAAATTTCATCCCCACTGTGGCAGAATTGAGAGGTGGGGACTTTTAAGAGGTGACTGAGGGCCAGCATGGTGGCTCACACCTGTAATCCTACCTAGCACTTTGGGAGGTAAGGCAGACAGATCACTGGAGCCCTGGACTTCAAGACCCAGCCTGGGCAACATGGTGAAACTCTATCTCTACAAAAAATGCAAAACTTAGCCAGGTGTAGTGGGGGGTATACCTGTAGTCCCAGCTACTCGGGGTAGGGACTGAGATGGGAGGATTGCTTAAGCCCAGAAGAGGCTGCAGTGAGCTGTGATTGTGCCACTGCACTCCAACCTGGGTGACGGAGTGAAACCATCTCAAAAAAAAAAAAAAAAAAATCATGAGGGAGGGCTCTGTCCTCATGAATAGATTAACCCACTACTCATGAATTAATGAGTTATCATAAGCGGGCAACTGGTGGCTTTAAAATAGGGAGACCTGAGTCCTTTGCATGCTCAGCCAGTTGCCTAATTATGATAACTCATTAATCCATGAGTAGTGGGTTAATCTATTCATGAGGACAGAGCCCTCCCTCATGATTTTTTTTTTTTTTTTTTTTTTTTTTGAGACAGTTTCACTCCGTCACCCAGGTTGGAGTGCATGCTCAGCCCCCTTGCCGTGATAGCTTGCAACACCTTGGGATTCTTGGGAGTCCTCACCAGCAAGAAGGCTCTCACCAGACACAGCCCCTCCACCTGGACTTCTCAGCCTCCATGGCTGTAAGAAATTCTTTTTCTTTATACATTGCCCAGCTTCAGGTATTCTGTTAAAATCAAGAGAAAACAGACTAATACATAGAAGGATGTGAGAAGTAGTGCACAAGAGCTAGAAGAGCAGAGTAGTATCAGGACTAGTAATACTAATACAAGGTAACACTTAGGAGGCACTTACTGTGCCAGGAACTAGGTAATTTTACATGGACTAACTTGCTTAACTCGTTCAACAACTCTGCAAGGAAGGTTCTGTTATTGTTTTCACTTTATAGCAAAGGAAATTGAGGAATGGAGGTTATATTATAGGCAAACTCAAGAGCCTATGCTTTTAAACACTATGTTATATTGCCTCAGTAGAATAGAAGCAGAGATGGCACCATGAAATAGAGCATGAGAGTAGCAACCAATATCTCTTTTTCTGAGAATAAGACCATTAGTGTTGCTGTTGAGAAGGTATAGCTATTTTTTGATTTCTAGAGTCCCTACTGTGTTCTCAGCAGGGATAAATGATATTTTGGTTCTCTTCTAGGCTTAGATGGCTGCAGAGAATTTGTTTCTTGTAAGTTAATAGAGTAAGGCTCTTACCAGCTTAGAGTAGAGCAGGACAATTACCTCCCTTATTCTGGACACTGTACTTAAATTATGTAACTGAGATTGCATCATATTTTCTGGCAGCCCCATCCTATTGTAGTCCCATCTTCAGATCAGTATTTTGCCCACATAAGCTTTTTTTGAACCAAAATATATAATTTGATATACTTATTACATTTCATTTGGTTATTGCTCATTTTCAGTGCCATTGAAGTCAATAAACACCAAAAGACAACTTTTATTCTTTTTTTCCTTTTTTTTTTTTTTTAGACAGTGTCAGTATCTGTTATCCAGGCTGGAGTGCAGTGGCATGATGATAGCTCACTGCAGCCTCAAACTCCTGGACTTAAGTGATCCTCTCACCTTAGCCGCCTGAATAGCTGGGACTATGGGCGCATGCCAACATGCCTGGCTAATTATTTTATGTTTTGTAGATACGAAGTCTCACTTTGTTGCCCAGGCTGGTCTTGAACTCCCGGGCTGGCTCAAGTGGTCCTCCTGCCTCGACCTCCCAAAGTGTTGGGATTACAGGCATGAGCCACCATGCTTGGCAAGGCATACTGTATTTAGAACAGAAGGATTGTTTAAAAAATAATAATAAATTTTATATATATGTATATATATATATAAAATCTCCTAACAACTCATTTAGATATATATATATAGATTTGGATGTATTAAGAATTGTTACTCCTTTACAGAATCAACAGATACTGTCTATATTTGATAGGAAGGTATAAGTATGCTGTCTAAAGCAATGTCTTTTACGATTCAATTAGATACCATATTCATGACACCCATGTATCTGTATTAGCATTTTTTTAAAAAATATTTTTCTTCCTTTTTCCTTTCATTTAAACATCAAAAAAAAAAAAATAGAGACAGGGTCTTGCTATGTTGCTCAGGCTGGTCTCCAACTCCTGGCCTCAAGTGATCCTCCTGTCTTAGCCTCCCGAGTAGCTGGGATTACAGAGGCATGAGCCACTGAGCCCAGTGATTTAATATTTTTCTTTAATTTGACTCACTTTTTCCCTCACTCTGGTAGGTAGACACATTATTATTTTTTTATTTTTTAGACAGAGTCTCGCCCCGTTGCCCAGGCTGGAGTGCAATGGTGCGATCTCTGCTCACTGCAACCTCCGTCTCCCGGGTTCAAACGATTCTCCTGCCTCTGTCTGCCAAGTAGCTGGGATTACAGGTGCCCGCCACTATGCCCAGCTATTTTTTGTATTTTTAGTAGAGATGGGGTTTCACTATGTTGGCCAGGCTGGTCTCGAACTCCTGACCTCAGGTGATCTGCCTGCCTCAGCCTCCCAAAGTGCTGGGATTACAGGCGTGAGCCGCTGAGCCCAGCCTATATTTTTTTCTATTACGCATCAAAACACTTATACATGTAAGTTTAAAAATAGTGTTTATCCACGTACCACGGGTAGTTGTGTACCACACTCTGATATGCGCTAATTTAGAGATGTAGAAATAACACCAAAAGAATAAACAGAGATTGTCTCTGGGCATGGGACTAAGGGATGGGGAGACTTGGTTTTCATCAAAAGCACCTCCGTGTATATGTATTGCTTTACTAAACATGAAACATTTAAATTATACGTAAAACAAAAATTCTGTCACACTGAGTCACTTATACTCTACCTGGCAAAATGGTAGGCACAAAATAACTACTCAGAAATATGTCTATATTTCACACCTCCTCCCTAATGATTTTATAATTTCAGCCATATACTCATGCTGCTCAAAACTGTCGTTCATGCACACAATTCCATTCACAAAGTTTGAGGAAAAAAAAGACAGCTATCCACTGCAAAATGAAAACTTTCAGTGTTTTATTTTTGACTGCAGCTGTTTACAGAAATATAGTTGCGAGTATACAAATGTTCCAATAGAAGCAAAATATCTTTTTAATATTTAACAAGTTATCACAGATAGCTAAAAACATAGATGCAAATGAAATTCCCCCAGAGAACAAACTGAAAATATCTGGTATCAGTGCTCTGAAATCCCAACTATGAAAGCCATATACACAAAAATGTAACCCTTATATCATTGCAGGACAATGGAAGAAGGCAGTTCAGTGGTTGATCAGTGTGCTCAAGCAAATAAAATTAAATAAAAATTAAAAATGGCAGAATGGTAGCTAAACCACTTGAGAACAGGTTAATGAAATTATTGGTACTATACTTAAAACATTAAGTAAAAGAAGTGAATGAAACTCATTTAAAGTTGTCAAAAAATTAGCAACTACTTGGAGCTTATCAATTAAAAGGAAACAAGGTAAGCAGACACATTCATTAGATCAAAAGAAATTAGATCAAGTTCACTGGAATCAGTCTGTAACTACTCAAGTCACAATGACTTCAGTGCAGGAGTTTTTTACTGGACACAGAAGTCTGATTCCAAGCCCACTCTTCAACAGCTGAGATTTTGTGTGCGTGTATGTATGTGTGTGTGTGTAGACGTTGTCCTGAGGTTCATCAGCTAAAATAATATAATAAGCAATCCCTACAAAATATTTCAAACCAGGCAAATGACTTCTGGAAGAGAGAGAAAGGAAGGGGAGAGGGAGGGAGAATATGAGTAAGCAAGCAGGGTCATATGGTTAAACATGGAATTTTTTAAAGGAGTTATTACAAGTGGGAGTCAAATAGAACTGTGGTAGAATGCTTTGGGTACAGGAATATGTTATGCAATAAAGTGAGGAAGAGAAAAAGGGAATAAGAAGGGAGGAATGTAACTAGAGCAGCTCCCAACAGTTTGCCTATGTATTTGCCAGCACCAAAATTTGTAGAGTAAGCCACTTACATTTCCACTGCTAGTATTAAGGAAAGACAGCAGTGGTGATTTTTATAAAGTGAGTATACATTTATTTTTATTCTGATATGTGAATTTTTCTTTCACGAGTTAATTAACTGGTAATTTGTAAACAGTGGGAAGAAGATTAGAACAATTATGGAGGTACTGAATTACACAAGGAGATTAAAATGAAATGAATCAATCTACCTATCTTGTGGTTAGTTTATATTTACCATGATGCATACACTTGAGAAACGAGAAATGCCCAAATTGTATAATGCATTATCTTGTTTATTATTTATTTTAGTAAATAATTCTTGTCTGAAACATAAGCTCCAAGGATAGCTATATCTATACTGATAGCTTAGTTCTTATACAAAGCAAGCTACTTTTGAAGAAGTTTTACCTATTAAAAAAATAAGTTAAGGTGCCATGTTGACCTGGCCAGCCATCTTGTTTACTATCTCAGATACAAATATAAATACAAGGAATGATGATTTTGTTCTGAGGGTTGGTCTAGCCAGGGCAAAACTGTGGTCTGCTGGTAAAGTACTAGGCAATGAAAAGAAAGCTTGTATTACACTGCCCATAATGTACCCATTTTATGGATAAACAGGAGACTTTAGCACCGGTCAATTATATTAGCTACTTAAATGTCATAACAATTAAAATAAACATAGAACATTGCACCTATATATTTAAATCAGTCATTTAATGTAAACCTTTTAGTAAGTGGTAGGAAAATGCCAAACTAAATTAACTGAATTATCAAGAATTAGACTAATTGTGTATGTACATAAAATACACTGTATCTCTATAGGCAGTACTGAGAATTAACTTTTGCCAATAAAAGATTATAGATAACCAGGTTAAGCTGAATTTACATGAAGAACAATGTATAACTATATCAGTCTGAGTGGAAGAAAAACTCTATATCTCAACAGAGTCTTAGCCCAGTGGTTCCTAAACTTTAAAGTGTGCATCAGAATCACCTGGAGGGCTTGTGAAAACAGATTGCGGGGGCCCTATTCCAGAGTTTCTGACTCAGTATGTCTGGGATGGGGCCAAAGAATTTACATTTCTAACTAGTTCCCAGGTGATACTGATACTAGCTGGTGGGCTGAGAACCATACTCTGAGAACCACTGGTTGCACATACTACATATGTAGAAAAAGATATATTGTAATGTTCTTATATACATGGCACAAAATATATAGACAACTGGTTTTAATGAATTCCCAAACATGTAGGTTAGCAAGCTGAATGTTTCTAAAATGTGACGTTTCTAAAATGATGTGCTAAAGCATAATTATTTCCCCTTATAAGTAAATTACATTTCAAAGTCTTAAGTCCTATATAGTCATTTTAGAAAAATCCATATAACATTTATACCAAGTTGGCTATCCAAAAGAAAAGGGACATAACATTCTAAATAGTTAAGATGAATTCATTAGGAAGGAATCATCACTATACAGCATTCTTGGCTTCTTTGGAATGATTAAAGTGCATAATATCAATAGGGTATTAAGAATATTGCATAAAAGTTTGCAGTCCTCAGTGCCACTAACAGTCACAGAAATACTAGCACGGGGAAAGCAGCCCTATCCCAAAGGTAGAACTATCCTGACCTGTTGCTGATGATCCTTTCTTTAAGCACCACCGCTGTGGTAAGGAGCTGGAATAGAGGCAAAATTAACAAAAACCAAGGCACTCCATCTGACTGTATCTGATCAAAAGGAATTATCTTAGGTCTGGAGGGAGTCAGATATAACCTTTTTCTCATTTCCTTTGACACTTTTTGTCTAGGTAAATTAACTGAGGATAGACAAGAAGTACACTAACATAAACAACTTTGCCCTGTCTAGTTAAAAAAAAGTGGCATAATCAGGCTTTACCTAAACTATGTTTTAGTGATTTATTTCCATCTAATTAACATCAGAGAAAATGCTTTCAACACTTTCTTCCTGAAATTTACACACATCTGGTGCATGGAGTTTCACAGATGCTAAAATTCTCATGAGTATTCAGATAAGACCTACCATTAGCTGGTTGAGATGAAGACAAATTTAGTTTATATAAAGGCTGAACAGTCTAATTCTGTAATCTTTTACCCTCTCCCAAAGAAACAATTCTAGCAATGTACCTTTTCTTTTATTCTTAAGCCAAAGGGAAGAAATGGAGAAAAGAAGGTTTAAATGGAAAAAGTAAAAGCTGGGACCTACTGAAACTATTTGTTTATGTGTTTTTGGAAATAGTGAAAAATGAAATTATAAATGATAAAAAGGCACTTTTCCATAGCATTAGATCTAGATATAAAATATTAATTTAAAAAATTTCCTGAAAGAGAAAGTAAAAACATAATTTTATTAATAAATGAGGCTAGAATGGCATAAAAATAAATGGGGATTAAAGAAGTAATTAGGCCGGATGTGGTGGCTCATGCCTGTAATCCTAGCACTTTGGGACGCCGAGGCAGGTGGATCACTGGAGGTTAGGAGTTCGAAACCAGCCTGGCCAACATGGCAAAACCCCATCTCTACTAAAAAAATACAAAAAAAATTAGCCGGGCCTAGTGGAGGGTGCCTGTAATCCTGGCTACTTGGGAGGCTGAGGCAGGAGAATCGCTTGAACCTGGGAGGTGGAGGCTGCAGTGAGCTGAGATCGCACACTGCTCTAGCCTGAGAGACAGAGCAAGACTCCATCTCAAAAAAAAAAAAAGAAGTAAAGTAACTAGAGCACTGGGACCTGGGACCATCCACAAATGATATTGTAGATATTATTCTGATATTTACTGCATTATGAGCATTATCTCTACAATTTTGCTCTAGTGACACAAACAAGCAGAGAAGAAAACCTCTTTTTAATACATGTTATGAGATTCTACTAACCCACTTACTAGGGTATATACTATGAGTTATTTTTCTAACCTATGGTCTTTCTTCATGGAGTCCCTCCACACAGTCTAAGGCATGCAGATATAAGACAGCTGTCTCGGTTAGGGATAAAACCTGTGGTCATAAAGCAGAGGAAAGCTAATTAATTTAAAAAATCTATTAGGAAACAGATATTGGAACAGAAATCTTCATCAGAAAAATGAAAAATTGTAAGATTACTATTTCTGGTGAAAATGTATAACCATGGTGATTTGAGACTTTAATTATTAAATCGTTTTGTCCTGGTCATTATTTGTTGATGCATCTAACAGATTCACTTTCCTAAAACAAGCATTTATAAAGGCTTAAATGGTCAAAACGCATTTATAAAGGCTTAAATGGTCAAAAAGAATTATCTTAGTTCTGGAGGGACTCAGATACAACTTTCTCATTTCCTTTGATACTATTTTTCCTAGGTAGATTAGCTGAGGTTCTGATGAGCAAGAAATGCACTAGAATAAAATTCCAAACTACAGCACATGTGATATTACAAAAAATAAAAATAAAAGGCAAGGAAGGATGAATGGAAGAAAGGAAGGAAGGGAGAAAGGAGGGAGGGAGGAATAAGGGAAGGAGAAACAAAGAAGGCAGGGAGGAGGGGGAGATGGAAGGGAAGAAGGGAGGCAGGGAGGGGAGGAAAGGGAGGGAGGAAGGAAAGTCCTTCATTAATACTTCTTCTATAATAAAGCCCTTAAAAACTTGTTCTTTTTTTAAACTATTTGTTTTAAAACAGATTTGCATTGGCTAAATAACATGATACTTTAATCATAAAGGTAACATGATCAAGCTTAGAGGCAAAATATGACTTTGAATTATCGTCACCCATGTTGGTGTGGATATATAATGGAATGACAATAAGGAAACACACACACACACACACACACATACACACACACACACAGAGAGAGAGAGAGAGAGAGAGAAAGAGATAAGCTCCAAGCATTAATGTGAGTTGCTGAAAGCAAGAACACTTAAATGTAACAATATAAAGAAGAAAAGGTGGCTCACAGTTTATTTAGGTCCTTCTGCCATAAATACATTTAATAAATTGTTGTTTCTATGGCCTTTGCTGGCTCACTGAGTCTCTCCCATATGTAGCTATAACTTGTAACAGTAATCAGGAAATTGCATTATTAGCACAAATATCAACCACTGAGCTTCAAAGAAGATGAATACTCTTCGTAGCCAAATTGTATTTTCAGAATGTTGTACTTAACATTGACCTTTAGGGGTAAGGAACATTTAACAATGTAAAAAAAACAACAAACCTATTATTATTGAACAAGAATATGGTAGCATAGCACAGCCCTTGTATAAATAACCACAAAATTTATGAGAATAAAAATCGGGTTTTCTGTCTCCATCCGATCAAACCACTACAGTTCAGGTATATATTCTGTTCTAAACTTAGATATTATAAAACAGAAAATTGGTCCCAGTGACTTGGCATTGCCAATTAGCATTTGATAACAATAAACCTCTTGCTAAACCACAGAAGTCAGCACACAAGCCAGTCGCCACTTCATCCACAGTGCAGTATTAACAATCATCCTAATTAGAACTTGAACAGATAGATTTCTTTAGTCTCCTATGTAATCTCTTAGAAAAAAGTTCAGAAAATTCAAAAATAACTTACAGATTTGTATTTATACTACTTTTTATACCTGCTGGGTTTGCTTTGTCTGAAATTTCAACCAACCCTACTTTAGGGTTAGAATTTTACATTTTCAAACTGAAGCACTGGATTGTGTGGCTGATCCTCCTCATAACCTGAACTATACTGGGTAATTTTTCCCAATAGGGGCTGGGGGAGAAGAGATACACTGAGGAAAATACTTTTGGTTCAGAGAATTTATAAAGTAGCTCTGGATATTACAAGATGGGAAAAATGTTATTAAAATTACAAACATGGGTTTTCTTAGTGTCTTTATAAATAAAAGGCATAGAATACAGAAAGCCAATTAATAATAACAATAACAACAATAATAAAATATTAAATATATAGTGAGCAAAGACTGAATGGCTCATTCTTGTGAAACACCATTTGACGCCATTGCCTCAATGGGTTTCCTGACTCTAACACTTGGCTGAGTGAAAGCTCCAGCAAACACACAGTAAGCTGCCTTTAGCCCACTACTGACATCAAGGAACTAACTGCCTGATGGAATGGCCACAGATGAACAGGTCATTTGTTTCAAAAGATACTTAAATACTCAATAAAGACATAACAAACCCCACCCCCCCTCACTGTTATCAGACGCCACGTTGTGGTAGAACATCAGACAAACTCACAAATTTACCACAAAAATGTGTGGCAAAAAAGAATAGTTTATATATATGTATATATATAAATTTCTATATTTATGCCAATGTACTCACTCAGTACAAATAGCAAAATAGTATACCATTTCCTAAATACAAAATATAGCTTTCCAAAAAAATGAAACACACATTAGATATAAACCATCCAAAACTTGAACGATTGAAAACTGTATTCAAAATTAAATGACCCAGAGTAGGTCTCTTTCTGAAAAGTTCCCTTCATATCGGCAAGAAGCCTGTACTACTGAAAACGTAATTCAATGCCTCTCAATCAGAGAGAGAAAGAAAGAAAGGGGTGGAGGTGGAGGGAAGAAAACATGAGAAAAAAGAGAAAAAGACAAAAGAGCACATTCAAAGAACAAAGGAAGATCATCACAAAACAAAAAGAAGGAAAAATCTGGCTGTGTAAACAAAACCAACACCACAATTCCGCACAGTTCAACTAAATGTACAGGATAGAAAAAAAAAAAAAAAAAGAACAGAAAAGTAGCCTTCAACAATTAACAGGTTATTTTTTGTACACTTAAAAAATAAATGAAACGGACAAGGATACCAAAACATTATCTCAACACATAGAAGCCACACACACGTTGGCCTTACACTGCATTGACAGCTTTCCACATGCCAAAAGGAAAATGAGACATAAGCATGTGTCCAGACACAGGTGGTAGTGAGAAGCAGGCATCCCACGGGTGGCAAGAACACCCAAAACTGTATAACTAATGCTACAACTGCCAAGTTCTGGAGTGTGTTATTTTGCTCTTTATAGATGTAACACAAGTTAATTCTTCATTTTAAGTCAATGATACAACCCTGTAAAGCCTAAGGCTTGTGGGAACCATCAGGTAAGTGACCACTTCAAACTGTAAAGCACTGAGGTGACAAGTGAATTTATACTCACTGCAGATCAGGGAGAAGTGATATTTCAAGAAATTTTAGTTTGCCTTTTTTTTTTAATTAAAATTTATACTGTTTCCTATTAGAGGGAAAAATTTGAAGACTTCAGAACAGCACCGTTCATGGGGAAAAATGTGTTGTTTCTCAGGAATCAACTCCTAATAATTCCTAAGACAGTACTCTCTGCCCTGTGCTGCAGGATTGCTAGGTCACCCTAGATTAAAGTGGCCAAAGATGCTACAGGGTCATGAAGCCAGTAGTATATTAATAGTTCTCTAAAGTAAAGTGAAAAAGAGGTGAAAAGTAATATAGATATATATAAAAAGGGAATACCAGCCTAAGACTGGGTTAAGAAGAAAACATTCAAATTTTTCTGTCAATTTAAACTACTGTAGGAGGATATCAGAACATAATTTATCATATATTATCCCCTTCATTTTTTACAGATAATTATTTTTCTATGCACAGTTATGGCTAAACCCCTTAGTAGAAACCCAGAGAACTAACAACTCTCTGAAAAAATAAAATCAAGAAGCATTCCAGCTGTTCCCAGTTTTATAAGTGTATCATCTGCCTTTGTGTTAAATCAAGAGTACTTTTATCTGCACATACAGTTTACTTGTTAGAATGTTACCCTTCAGTTTCTCCAATAAAACTGAAAAAAGATTCCTTCACTTTGGCCAACAGCTGTGCCTTTTATATTGAAAAAAATCACAGCCTTAGTTATTATTGAACTTTACTTTTTCAAAAGCCATTACTTGACTAAAACAATGCAGGAAAGAAAATAATGAAGAACAAAAGTAAACATGATATATTATTTTCTAATAGCAATAATAACTGAGTGGTCCAGCCTTGAATTTAAACTGTACGTTTAAGGAAATTGCGCCTAGGAAAATAATAACAATTAATTCTGCCAGCTGGAAACTCAAATAGATTCTCAGTCATCACTGTTATTAGGAATATAAAATATGAAGATGTTAACATTGGTGGTTAGTTACTGCAACAAGCAGCATAGGTGTGCTCTTTTGCAGTCAGAGTAAAATCTATCAGTTTACTCAAACACAGTTTTTTATATTTTGTTTTGTTTTTAAAGTAATAATTCTCATGGAACCACAAGATCTCAGGACATCTTGGAATCAGGATTTTCTTCGTGGAATTTCTAAAAAAGAGAAAAAGTTTAATTTAACTTACTAGGGAGGGAAGCATTTATAAAGTTTCTGACACCCTGAATGATCCTAAAGTATATTATGGTACTGTAAGTAAAACTTTATCATATTTGATCTTCCACAGACTTTTCTGACTCAATATTTATTTCTGGAGGAAGGGATAAGTGAGGCATGGTTATATCCAATATATAGTACAAAGGAAACACATTTTGCATACTCATCAGATGTTTTGTTATTCCAAGGCAAAGAAGCTCAGAGGCAGAAGGAATGTCCAATATAGGTTGAGTATCCCTTATCTAAAATGTTTGGGATCAGAAGTGTTTCTGATTTCTTTTTTGGATTTTGGAATATGCACATATACACAATGAGATATCTTGGGGATAAGACACAAGTCCAAACATGAAATTCACTTCTGTTTCACATACACCTAAAAAAATCTATCACAGCTGAAGGGAGCTGGAAGGATCTTTTTTACCCTTGGGGACACCAAATAAACTGCATGTTGTGAGCCTGACTTTTGACTATGACCCTATCATATGAGGTTAGGTGTGGAATTTTCCACTTGAGATGTCATGTCAGCACTCAAAAAGATTCGGATTTCAGAGCATTTTGGATTTTGGATTTTTGGACTAGGGATGTTTGGTCTGTATTTTTTTTTTTTTTTGTATTTTTTAGTAGAGACGGGGTTTCACCATGTTAGCCAGGATGGTCTCGATCGCCTGACCTCGTGATCCGCCCACCTTGGTCTCTCAAAGTGCTGGGATTACAGGCATGAGCCACCACGCCCGGCCTGGTCTGTATTAACTATATGACCATAAGCTATCATTCAGAATAATTTTATTCAGAGTAAAAAAGTATCATCTTGTGAGAAAGCCACATTTTAAAAGATTAGAACTACTATTACTTAACCTAAATCTGTTAAGAAGAATAAAATCTGATGCTTTTCAATAAGAAGCCAAAATGCAATACTTACATATCCAGTTAAAAGGAGCCAGTCAAGTTGTTCCCTTGGTTTTGCAATGAAACAAGCAAATCAATCTTTTCGATGTTCTGGTTGGTGTTTATAGAGGATGCCAGTGGAGAATTCTCTGGCATTTGCTGAGAAAGAAGTGTTGTCACAGGTGGCTGGCCCTCGTTTTGTGGTTGGCCTGGCTGACTTATGGCCATCAACTGATCAGGCAATGTAGCTGGTCCAGAGGTTAAAAGCTGACTACAGTCTGCAGAGACATTGAAAACAGAAGCTTAAAAGCTGACTACAGTCTGCAGAAACATTAAAAATAGAAGCTATCTGATTAGTAAAGATTCATGAAAAGATATTTATTAGTTGTTGGGGAAAATTCATTACTGCATTCTCCTTGTATATTACTAAAAGTTAGGCACCTGATAGTCCAAGAAAAAGGTTTTCACAGACTGGCACTGGAATTCATCTTAGGTTTCCTTTAAGCAGTCTAAAAATACAACTTTGCTTAAATATCAAAAGTCCTATATAAATTCCTTGGTATATAAACATTAAAGATGAGTTTCTACCTCCTTAGAAACTACTTACTTCAACTGGGTAAGGTATTATCTGTCATTCTGACTTCATTTTCCTTTTAAGTTTATAGCTTAAAATGGCAAACACACATTTTTATACATTGCCATATTTAATCCTCCCCAAATCCATGTAAAGTATGTAATATTATCACCATTTTAAATGAGAGAATTGAGACCCATAAAAGCCAAATAACTTGTACAAGATCTTATAGTCTATAGGTGATAGAGTTCTAACTACAATCTGTACTCTTAAAACAACTATACAGGACAGGTGTGGTGGCTCACGCCTGTAATCCCAGCACTTTGGGAGGCCGAGGCCAGCGGATCACTTGAGGTCAAAAATTCAACACCAGCCTGGCCAACATGGTGAAACCCCGCCTCTAACAAAAATACAAAAATTAGCTGGGCGTGGTTGTGCACACCTGTAATCCCAGCTGCTTGGGAGGCTGAGGCAGGAGAATCACCTGAACCTGGGAGGCAGAGGGTGCAGGTGCAGTGAGCTGAGATCGCACCACTGCACTCTGCTTCCTTCTAATAATAATAATGACCAATTAAGTAATGAAAAATTAGAGTTTCTTACTATTTTGAATGCCAAATAAGAACATTCCTGATGTCTGCTGAGATGAGCCAGGAGAATTCTGCAGTTGGTTCATTGTGCCTCCTGCTGTGTTGTGAAATAAAGTAGCCTGTGGTTGAGGCGAAGATGTGGCTCCTTGAATTCCAGGCATGTTGTTCTGAGGGGAATAAAGAGGAGACTGTTGCATATCTTGTTGATTTATACTGGTCTGCAAGGCAGACATGGATGCTGGAGATAAGAAGAGAGTTACTTGCTGCTCTTGAGAACTAGGTGACCCTTGTACCAACTGAATCTGAGGAGAGCTATGGAACAAGGGGGTCTGTGATGATTCCGACTGGGTAGGACCTGGGTTCTGAAGTGAGGAAACTGTGGACTGACTCTGAAATTGCATGGGCTGTTGCTCTTGATTCATTGGGGCCATGTTACTTTGTTGGTGAAAAATTGACTGGTTCTGTTGCTCCTGATTAGCCATTGGATTTTGATTTGGGTTGAATATCATGTTTGGTGGTGGTTGCTTTGGAGACGCCATTGTAGCCATGGTATTCTGATTACTGAATAAAATGCTCTGTTGTTGTTGCTGCTGCTGTTGCTGCTGCTGTTGCTGCTGCTGCTGCTGTTCCTGGGATGGAGAGTTACTCTGCATGGCAACTATTGAGTGCTGTGACTGGAACATGGTTCCTTGTTGGCTTTGAGGCATTGGATTAGGTGGAAGGGAGCCCAGGGCCACCTGAGGCTGAAATAAACCCTGCTGCGGGGGTTGTGCCTGTTCTTGGGAAAGCATAGGAGTCTGGATGTGTGATATTGGAGCTTGCTGTTGGAAAGCAGCTTGTTGTTCACTGTTTGATGTTGACTGAAGTGGAGAAATTGAGTTCGGTGCTGCAAAAAATGCTTCTTGGGCTACTGTGTTAGTCTGAAGATTATTCATGGGACTCTGGGAAAGAAATATGTTGGTTGACTGCTGGTCTTGAGGAACTGAAGAGCCCTGTAACACAGCAATGGTACTTTGAGAGTGAAACATTGGAGGCTGCATTTGTTCAGAGGAGGTTGTAGAAGTCTGACTGTGGACAATAGGATTTGGACTATGAAAGAGAGAACCTTGAGTTTCCTGGGAAAGGTTCTGAGCATCGGCAATAGGATTTTGAGGATGAAAAAGTTGGGCCTGTGAATGAGAAGACTGCTGCAAAAAATTTCCAGATTGAAGTGACATCATCTCATTCCCTTGCTGGAATAAACCATTACCTTGTTGTTGGGTACCACTATTCTGAACACTCATCATACTTTTTGTGGATGAAAAAAGGTTAACTTGAGGTTGATTGTCCCCACTATGTTGCATTTGGACCATGGTCTGAAAGACACTGTTCTGAATCTGTTTTGCTTGTGTTCCAGTTTCTTCTCCATCTCCTGAACTTGATGTCTGAAACATGGTAGTGCCAGGGGTTGCAACCTGCTGTGTGGTAGTTGTAGAAGTTTCATTTCCAGAAACTGCAGGAGGAGAAGAAAACAATTCACACTGCATTTGCATATCCTCATTGGTAGACAATGCACTCATCATGTGAGAAGTCTGCTGGTAAACTGGCGATTGCTGAAGGTTTCCATTTGCTGAAGCAGTTGAAGGGAATAACTCTGACTGAATCTGGGCAGCTGCCTGGCAGATACTCTGTTGCATCTCCATCACCATTGCGGCTGAAGATTCCATCACTTGCTGTTGCTGCTGCTGCTGCTGCTGTTGATTAGATAACGTGTTTTCAGACTGTGGATGAACACTTTCAGCTCTTCCAGGTAATAAATTATCTGGTCTGGTATGGACTGTTGGCTCTGTTGAGGAAAACATTCCAGGGCTTACACCACTCTGAATTTGACTGACTTGTTGAAAAATATCTGCACTAAGCTGCTCTTGAACATTCTCATTACCATCTGGAGCAGAAAATAAAACTGAAGATAACTGCTGCTGTGCCTCTAAAACTTGTTGGACCAAGTCAACACTTCCACTGCTGCCACTAGCAGTACTGCCTGTGAAACTCCCTGCTTGCAGCTGCTGAATAGTATTCTGAAGCTGACTCACACTATTTGGTGATGGAAAAATATTTGATGAAATCTGCTGCTGTAAAGTCTGTGCTTGTTCTTGTAGTGGTGACTGCTGCTGTTGTTGTGATGCCTCAGTCAGTTGTGACAAATTAACCACTGTACCATCTGACTGTAATATCTCTCTAGACTGAGTTTCTCTTGTCTGAAACTGTGTAGCCTGCTGCAATAGTGCATCGCTGTTGGGCAGCTGACTAGAAGCAGAAACTGCTGGAAAAGTACCAGGCTGTGAGATGTCCTGGGTTTGAATAGTTGTCAGGGTCTCTGGGTTGTATGCCTTGGGCTGAATCTGCTGCTGTTTTTCATTTTCAGAAGGTAGGTGGGAAGATGATGGTGATGAAAAAGAGCCATTTCCTGCTATGTTTGAGATGTTTTCTAATGTTTGCTGAGTTGATCCAACAGACTTTGTAGTCTAAAAAATAAAAATCCCCAAATATTATGAATATATAAACATTAAACAAGTTTGTAACATACATCAAAAATCACTATTGCTCTAAAAATATATGCAGGACCAGCTTTCCACTCTATATTATTATCATTTAGAAAACAGGTACAGGACTACAATTCTCCATAACATGATGTCTCATTTTCCTTGAGATATATTTTTTAAAAGTACGACAAGCAAAGATAGTCAAACAAGGAAGTAGAATAATCGGCTATTGATATGCTTAGGTGAATTAAGGGTAATCAGAACACAGTAATTTTATGGTTCATGAAGAGCAGGTATCAAAATATCTCAATTTTGTGGCTCCTCAGTAACATTACAGGGGATAAGACAAGTAAAAAAAAGAAACAGAAAGTTATGGGAAAAGACTGGGAAAAAAATAAAAACATCTCTAATTCTGAAAATGCTAAAATTAGTACTTTCATCAATATCTCATACAACATATTAATTCCTCCCTTGTATATTGGAAGTCACTATGTGGGCAATTTTGCTGAAGTATAAAGCATTCCCTCTTTACAGCAAAATTCATTAAGTGCATCCAAAGTAAAAATAATGTTAAAAAAATAGGAAAAGTAAAAGACAGCAATTTTTATATAGGAGGTTTGTGCACTAGTCAATACAGCTTACCTTAAAAATAGTGGAAGATCTTTTTTCTGCTGTTACTTCCATTGGAGTAACATCTTCACTCTTAATCATACTGCTTGGTATGAGTGGAGTCATCAGGGCATTAGGGATAATATTTACCTTATCTAAATTACATCCAGTAGTTTTCATTGCTGCATATACACACACACAAAAAGAAAAGTTTAAAATCACAAAATTTACCAACTATTTCATTCTAAAATTTGTTATTAGCCATGATTTAAATGTCTATTTTTTTGATGCTACAATGGTAGCATGAGATACAAACCTGGTATATTAAGATATATCTTCCCTTTTATGAAGTGCATTGGCTGGGGGACCTCTGGAATGGGCCTGGAACTATAGCTTAAATATTAATAATAAGCTTAAGCAGTTCAATTACCAAGCTATATTCCCCAAGACGGTTCCAAGTGCCTTGAATCATACTACCCAACCTGACCAAGAGTATATTATAGGATACAGCTTAAAAATCTCCAGGAGGATAAAGCTACTCAATTACAAACTACACTCTCCTCTTAGCATTTAGCTATCTGACAATATAGTCTCAGAACTTCTTAAGGACTATGAGATTGTCAGAGCACTTCTTTCTTA
The DNA here is from genome assembly GCF_000001405.40 of Homo sapiens. Lineage (NCBI taxonomy): Eukaryota > Metazoa > Chordata > Mammalia > Primates > Hominidae > Homo > Homo sapiens. The sequence goes on along the minus strand of NC_000016.10, from coordinate 69,690,482 downwards.
AACTAAGTTCAAGCTTCTCATTAGAAAATACCACCCAGTGATTAATAAATTTTGCTTTTCTAAATTAAAAGAAAACTAAATTAATTAGAAAACTTGAATATGACAAGTTGACACATGGACACAATTCTCTTTTAGACTGGACTTTAAACATCTTTTTTTTTTTCCCCAGAAATAAGGGCTATTTTAGGTTTACAAACCAAATTTCCCAAGCAAAATGAAAAATTATTTCCCACCTCCTACTACCTCCATTTTCAGGAGTAGTTAGTTCTAGATTTATACCTAGAGGCAACATATAGCAAGATTCTACCACTTCACTATATCTACCTTTCCCCCTTGATTGCTTTTCTTTCTTCTTTTTTGTCTACTTGAGTCCGCAGTGGCACTCAGTGGTACCTACTGCTATTGCTAATGACAGTCTTCTGAGTTGAGCACATAGCCAAATCCTGATTTAAAAGTTTACTACCACTTGGAAGCTCTATGGAAACAGTCTTCAGAAAGCATAGCTGTTAAATTTCTTAATTTGATATCGAGAAGAAATCTTGGCTATAAAGAAGCTTTTAAAATGGCACATGGTCTATAAGTTGGATCGCTCCCTTCATAAATTTTTGTTGTTGTTGTCAGTCAATATGCTGCTGAAAGGCCAAGTGTGGTGGCTCATGCCTGCAATCCCAGCACTTTGGGAGGCCGAGGCAGGTGGCTCACTTGAGGCCAGCAGTTCGAGACCAGCCTGGCCAACATGGTGAAACTCTGTCTCTACTAAAAATACAAAAATTAGCAGGGCATGGTGGCACATGCCTGTAAATCCCAGCTACTTGGGAGGCTGAGGCACAAGAATTGCTTGAATCCAGGAGGAGGTGGTTGCAATGAGCTGAGATCGCTCTACTGTACTGCAGGCTGGGCAACGGAGCAAGACTGTCTCAAAATCTGCTGAAAGTAAATATTTTCATCTAAAAATATTTGCAATTTTCTTGTCTTACTTCAACTTGCCTCACAGCCATTTGGCTAAAAACCTAATTCCTATGAAAACTGATTATTTTGACAGAGGGGAAAGTGCTCATTTAACTTTTGACATTCCATGTTTTATTATTCTACCTAAGTAGTTTGAGAAATGAATCATTTATTCATGAGTTCTTTGGACCTATTTTCACCTAAATTCTAATACCAATACAATTCCCCTAACAACCAGATTTTTATTTTATTTTATCTTATTTGAGACAGGGTCTCTCTCTGTTGGTGGGAGTGCAGTGGTACAATCAGGCCTCACTGCAACCTCCACCTCCTGGGCTCAGGCAATCCTCCCACCTCAGCCCCATAAGTAGCTGGGACTACAGGCACACACCACCATGCCTGACTAATTTTTAAAATTTTTTTGTAGAGACAAGAGTCTCGTTACTTTGCCTAGGCTGGTCTTGAACTCCTGAGCTCAAGTGATCCTCCCTACTAGGCTGCCCAAAGTGCTGGGATTATAGGCGTGAGCCACCACACTCGGCCTACAACCTAATTTTGACTGAGACAAAACTTCAGATCATGCACAGGGCAGGCATTTAAAAGTAATCTAAGAATATCCCATAGAACATTTTGAAAAACCATTAGTGTTATCTTAAGTTGATCCTGTAATAGTCAACTACTATTCTTGCTTTTGAATTCCATTAGATCATGAGCTCTGTGAAGGCAGATGTTGTTATCACCTGTTGCACAGTAGGTAATCAACAAATGTTTGCTGAATGAATGAAGAAAATAATCTTACTTTAGCTTTATCACTGTCAATTTAGTTTGTTGTGGATTGTTTGGTTAATCCTATAAAAATAAAAATATGGGCCAGGCGCATTGGCTCATGCCTGTAATCCCAGCAATTTGGGAGGCAGAGGTGGGTGGACCACGAGGTCAGGAGTTCGCCAGCCTGACCAACATGGTGAAACCCCGTCTCTACTAAAAATACAAAAAAAGTAAAAATAAAAAAAAGCCAGGTGTGGTAGAGGGCACCTGTTACCTCAGCCTCTGGAACCCAGGAGGCAGAGGTCAGAGGTTGCAGTAAGCCGAGACCACGCCACTGCATTCCAGCCTGGGCAACAAAGCAAGACTCCATCTCAAATAATAATAATAATAAATAAAAATAAAAATATACAGTCTGTATTTTTCTTTTTAAAAATATTCATTCATTCATTCATTCATTTACTCACTCATTCATTCAATTAGAGACAGGGTCTCACTCTGTTACCCAGGCTGGAGTGAGTACCTGCAGCCTCAAACTCCTGGTTTTTTTTTTTTTTTTTTTTTTTTGAGACGGAGTCTCGCTCTGTCGCCCAGGCGGGACTGCGGACTGCAGTGGCGCAATCTCGGCTCACTGCAAGCTCCGCTTCCCGGGTTCACGCCATTCTCCTGCCTCAGCCTCCCGAGTAGCTGGGACTACAGGCGCCCGCCACCGCGCCCGGCTAATTTTTTTTGTATTTTTAGTAGAGACGGGGTTTCACCTTGTTAGCCAGGATGGTCTCGATCTCCTGACCTCATGATCCACCCGCCTCGGCCTCCCAAAGTGCTGGGATTACAGGCGTGAGCCACCGCGCCCGGCCAAACTCCTGGGTTTAAGTGATCCTCCCACCTCAGTCTCCTGAGTAGTTGGGATTATAGGCACTAGCCACTGTACCTGGCTTATATTTTTATTAATAGTATTTTTGATCTAAAAATGTCCATGTTTACAGATAAGATTATATTATAATTCAATTAGAAATTACATATAAATAAATATATCACCTATACACTTACTGCTTAACAGATCTACAATTTTTCTTAAAATGTATTTAGATAGTAATGCTTATTATCTTCTCCCCCTTTCTGGAAAGTGAGACTAGGTAGAGAAAGTTGAGCAAGAGTCTTTTACCTATCCTCAGTTGACCACTGACAAGTATGTCTACTGGTAAAGACAAACAGTAAAAGGACATTTAGTCTAATGCTCATGCAAAGACACAAGTCCTTCTACGGCCATATGCACAAAGGTCACAAAGGTTAATTTTATTTATGTTCCAATCCTTTTTTTTTTTTTTTTTTTCAGAGTCTTGCTCTATTGCCCAAGCTGGAGTGCAGTGGCTCAATCTGGGCTCACTACAACCTTCGCCTCCTGGATTCAAGCGATTCTCCTGTCTCAGCCTCCCAACTAGCTAGGATTACAAGCACACACCACCACGCCCAGCTAATTTTTTTATTTTTAGTAGAGACAGGGTTTTGCCATGTTGGCCAGGTAGGTCTCAAACTCCTGACCTCAGGTGATCCACTGGCTTGGCCTCCCAAAGTGCTGGGATTACAGGTGTGAGTCACCACATCTGGCCTTGTTCCAATTTTATTTAAGTCTAGTCCCACCAAAAACAGTCCAAAATGTCTCCAGGCCAGACATTAAGTTTGTCAGATATGTTCCATCTTGTTAATTCAATAATAATCTTCTAGTCAACTTCAATTTAGTAGTACATTATAAATGAAAATATCAGATTAATCTTTTTCTCCTCCTAAGAATTAATTTGCTCTAAGAACATCAAGCTGGTGTCAATGCATTACAATCCAACACTTGCATTTTTTCTCAAGTAATCTCTACCAAACAATTTCTCATATGTGATTTATATATATTTTTTGAGGTGGAGTTTTACTGTGTCGCCCAGGCTGAAGTGCAGTGGCATGATCTCGGCTCACTGCAATCCCCGCCTCCCGGGTTCAAGCAATTCTTCTGCCCAATCTCCCAAGCAGCTGGGATTACAGGCACGCACCACCATGCCCAGCTAAATTTTGTATTTTTAGTAGAGATGAGGTTTCACCATGTTGGCCAGGCTGGTCTCAAACTCCTGACCTCAGGTGATCCAATCACCTCAGCCCCACAAAGTGCTGGAATTATAGGTGTGAGCCACCGTGCCCAGCCTGATTTAAATTTTTTATCAAAAAAGTATATAAACCAACCAAATTTCTGCTTTGTTTTGTTTTTGAGAACCTTGTTCCTTTGCCCATGCTGGAGTGCAGTGGTACGATCACAGCTCAATGCACCTTCGACCTCTTCAGATCAAGCAATCCTCCTACCTCAGTCTCATGAATAGCTAGGATGATAAGTGCATGCCACCATGCCCGGTTAATGTTTTTAATTTTTTTTTTTTGAGACCGAGTCCCGCTCTGTTGCCCAGGCTGGAGAGCAGTGGCACAATCTTGGCTCACTGTAGCCTCCACCTCCCAGGTTCAAGTGATTCTCTTGCCTCAGCCTCCAGAGTAGCTGGGATTACAGGCACACATCACCATGCCAGGCTAATTTTTTTTTGTATTTTTAGTAGAGATGGGGTTTCGCTATGTTGACCAGGCTGGTCTCCAACTCCTGACCTCCGATGATCTGCCAAGCTCAGCCTCCCAAAGTGTTGATATTAAAGGCATGAGCCACCGCGCCTGGCCTATTTTTCTTTCTTTCTTTTTTGGAGATAGTTTTGCTCTTGTTGCCCAGACTGGAGTGCGGTGGCACGATCTCGGCTCACCGCAACCTCTGCTTCCTGAGTTCAAGCGATTCTTCTGCCTCAGCTTCCCAAGTAGCTGGGATTACAGGCATGCACCACCATGCCTGGCTAATTTTGTATTTTTAGTAGAGAATGGGTTTCTCCATGTTGGTCACTCTGGTCTTAAATGCCTGACCTCAGGTTATCTGCCCACCTTGGCCTCCTAAAGTGCTGGGATTACAGGCGTGAGCCACTGCGCCTGGCCTGTTTTAATTTTTTTGTAGAGACAAGAAATCTTCTCACTGTGCTGCCCATATCTGTTCAGCAATAACTATAGATGATGCATTTAATTATTAGCCAATGGATATTTATCATCTCAAATTTCTGGACTCAAGTAATCTTCCTACCTTGGCCTCTGAAAGTGCTGGGACTATAGGTGTGACCCACCGTGCCTGGCCTTATTTCACTTTTTTTTTTTTTTTAAGACAGGGTCTCGCTCTGTCGCCCAGGCTGGAGTACAGTGGCATGACCTTGGCTCACTGCAACCCCTGCCTCCCAGATTAAAGAGATTCTCCTGACTCAGCCTCCCGAGCAGCTGGGACTACGGGCACCTGCCACCACCCCTGGCTAATTTTTGTATTTTCAGTAGAGACAGGGTTTCACCATGTTGGCCAGGCAGGTCTTGAAGTCCTGACCTCAAATGATCTACCTGACTCGGCCTCCCAAAGTGCTGGCATTACAGGCATGAACCACTGTGCCCAGCCTCATATACTTTTAATATTGGGTAATTAAAAAAAAAAACAAAACTCCTCCACTCCAATATACTTAAAAAAAAAAATATATATATATATATATATAAAAACATATTCAGCAAGAAAAATATCAAATTGGAAAACAAGTCTCTACATTTAGTAAAGTTAAACACATATTTATTTTACAATATGAAGATACCCTGCAAAGTATTATAAGTACCTAAGAGAAAACAAAATAGTAAGGTGTGCTAGAGAAAACATACAGGAGCACCCAATTACGATTTTTGAGAAGAATTTACTTGGTACCTTTCATGGCCTCTTCAAAAGAGCAAGGTCTTGCTGGACTAGATATTTCCTTCTTCACATTTACATTCAAAGCACCAGCTGCTGCTATTAAAAAAAAGATTAATGTATTTATCTACATTTACTCATCCTAAAAACCTCGTATCTTAAATTCTTTAATTAGAATATCTTGTCACAAAGTATCATTTAATTATTTATTTAGCAGAAATTCTAGTTGAGGTAAATTTCTATCCTCTAAATTCTCCAATCTCCAAGTGGGCGGAGCATGTGATCACTTAGCAAAACAATACCAGGCCATGTGTAGTGGCTCACGTCTGTAATCCCAGCACTTTGGGAAGCCAAGGCGGGTGATCACTTGAGGTCAGGAGTTCAAGACCACCCTGACCAACATGGTGAAACCCCATCTTTTTTTTTGCGACAGAGTCTCGCTCTGTTGCCCAGGCTGGAGTGCAGTGGCGTGATCTCGGCTCACTGCAACCTCCACCTCCTGGGTTCAAGCAATTCTCTGCCTCAGCCTCCCGAGTAGCTGGGATTACAGGCGCCTGCCACCACTCCCAGCTAATTTTTTTGTATTTTTAGTAGAGACAAGGTTTCACCATCTTGGCCAGGCTGGTCTTGAACTCCTGACCTCGTGATTCACCCGCCTCGGCCTCCCAAATTGCTGGGATTACAGGTGTGAGCCACCGTGCCCAGCCAATTTTTTTTTTTTTTTTTTTTTGAGGCAGTCTCGCTAGGTCGCCCAGGAGGAGTGCAGTGGTATGATCCTGGCTCACTGCAACCTCCACCTCCCAGGTTCAAGTGATTCTCCTGCCTCAGCCTCTTGAGTAGCTGGGATTTCAGGTGCACGCCACCATGCCAGGCTATTTATTTATTTGAGACGGAGTTTCGCTCTTGTTACCCAGGCTGGAGTGCAATGGCGCAGTCTTGACTCACTGCAACCTCCACCTCCCGGGTTTAAGGGATTCTCGTGCCTCAGCCTCCCAAGTAGCTGGGACTACAGGCGCACACCATCATACCTGGGTAATTTTTGTATTTTCAGTACAGATGGGGTTTCACCATGTTGGCCAGGCTGGTCTCAAACTCCTGACCTCAGGTAATCTGCCCACCTTGGCTTCCCAAAGTGCTGGGATTATAGGCGTGAGCCACCGCACTGGCTGCCAGGCTAATTTTTGTATTTTTAGTAGAGATGGGGTTTCACCGTGCTGGCCAAGCTGGGTCTCAAACTTTTGACTTTAAGTGATCTGCCCGCCTTGGCCTCCCAAAGTGCTGGGATTACAGGCTTGAGTGCCCAGCCTACTGTAACAAATTTAAACTATAAATTTAATGGGCCTAAATATAAATCAGTTCTAAAAAATAAAGTTTAATAAATTACAAATAAATTCGTTCTTGCTTCAAATGATTATATATTTTATTTGAATATACATATATATTTTCTTCCTTTGAGACAGGGTCTGGGGCTCTGTCACCCAGGCTGAAGTGCAGTGGCGTGATAACGGCTCACTGCAACTTCCACCTCCCAAGCTCAAGCCATCACCCACCTCAGCCTCCTGAGTAGCTGGAACTACAGGCACACGCCACCACGCCAGTCTAATTTTTATATTTTTGGTAGAAATGGTGTTTCGCCATGTTGCCCAGGTTGGTCTCAAACTGCTGAGCACAAGCAATCTGCCCACCTCAGACACCCTAACTGCTGGGATTACAGGCATGAACCACCGTGCTTGGCCTTAATTTCTACTTTTCTTTTTTCTTCTTTTTTTCTTTTGAGACGGAGTTTCGCTCTTGTTGCCCAGGCTGGAGTGCAGTGGCGCGATCTCAGCTCACTGCAACCTCCGCCTCCTGGGTTCAAGCGATTCTCCTGCCTTAGCCTCCCCAGTAGCTGGGATTACAGGCATGCCCCACCGCACCCTGTTAATTTTGTATTTTTAGTAGAGATGGGGTTTCTCCATGTTGGTCAGGCTGGTCTCTAACTTCTGACCTCAGGTGATCTGCCCACCTCGGTCTCCCAAAGTGCTGGGATTCTATGCGTGAGCCACCACGCCCAGCCAATTTCTATTTTTCAATATATTTATTTTATATTTTCTAACATGTCAAATGATAGTTATAACAAAAATAAAGAGGGAAATCTGTACACATCTCCTGAGAATGAAGTTAAATAATTTATCTTAGTATGCTTCACAGTAGGTCCAACAAATGATTTATAGGCAACTGAATGGAAAAAAAACACACATATTTATGCATGACATTAATTCTAGTAATAAAAGATTTAAAAATATAAGCTAATCCTTGAAAAAAATTTAAATTTCTACTTATAAATCATGTTATGAGTTATTTTTAAATTCTTCTTATTATTTTTTTGAGACAGGGTCTTGCTCTGTTGTCCAGGCTGGAGTACATTGGCATGATCACGGCTTACTGGAGCCTCAATCTCTCAGGCTCAAGCGATCTCTCACCTCAGCCTCCCAAGTAGCTGGGACTACAGGTGCATGCCACCAAGCTCAGCTTAGTATTATTTTTTCTTTGTAGGGATGGCGGGGGGGGGGGTCTCACTATATCGCCCAGGCTGGTCTCAAACTCCTGGGCTCAAGTGATCCTCTTGCCTTGGCCTCCTGAAGTGTCAGGACCACATATGTGAGCCACCTCACCCAGCCAGTAATTTCTTTTTTAGAAAAAAAAAAAAAATGTTAAATATTACATTCCCATTTCTTATAGAAATCACCACTGTGGAGTTACAGCAAATAATGTGTGATTTTTGTGTCTGAATAGGCTGAAGTAAAAAAAAAAAAAAAATTAAAATGTTTTAATGGCTAAGCAAAGCTTCAGAGACTATCAATAATACAAAGGTTTTATGACTCTGAAAAGTATCTAAGTGCCTGAGAGAATACACATTTTGATTTGGGGCAGTATGGCCCCATGGGATGTTAGAAGGTCTGTACCTGGAAGAATGTGTGGAACCAGGACATGTTCACTTGAGCCTTTGCCTTGACCCTACCTTTAGACCATGTAACAGGCACCCAGGATCCCTAGATTTTCTTTTCTTTCTTTTTTTTTTTTTTTTTCAGATGGAGTCTTGCTCTGTTGCCCAGGCTGGAGTACAGTGGCGCGATCTCAGCTTACTGCAAGCTCTGCCTCCCGGGTTCATGCCATTCTCCTGCCTCAGCCTCCTGGGTAGCTGGGACTACAGGCACTTGCCACCACACCTGGCTAATTTTTTGTATTTTTTAGTAGAGACGGGGTTTCACTGTGTTAGCCAGGATGGTCTCGATCTCCTGACCTCATGATCCGCCCACCTCGGCCTCCCAAAGTGCTGGGATTACAGGCGTGAGCCACCGTGCCCGGCCAATCCCTAGATTTTCTGTACAACTATCCTAGATTTTGTGAGCACTCTTAGGCATATTAGGTGGAAACACTGATTAAGGTATCAAAGGCTTCCAAGTATAGGATGGAGCCAAAAAGTGGCAAAAGAAGGGTGGCAGGCAGGGATGCTCTCTCCTCATGCTACCATAGCCCAGCTTAGAACTCAAAGCAGTTTGAAAATTCTAAATTCAAATTTAGCCTTTCAGGTTGTTATGAGGGTATTTTGGTCAAAGTAAGATAGGAGGTATTTCACTTAATGATTTGTTAGTTTTATTTATAACTTTTAAGTATTTCAACTAATAGTATTAACAGTCACCACTTCTACTCCAACCCGTAAATATTAGGATGGACCTTGTTTTGGCTGCTATAATAATACACTATCGAGTAATCAAATATTTAACAACAGTCCCTAAATGAATCACAACAGCTATTAGTTTGTCATACTGAGATAGGCCAAATTCTCTGTGCCCAAGTTTTCCTGAAATCATATTCTCTCTCATGGCTTCCAAGACACTTCTCATGGACACTTGAAAAGATTATTACATTTCATAAAATACAAAAAAGTACAACTGTGGCTCATGCCTGTAATCCCAACACTTTGGGAGGCTGAGGCGGGCGGATCACTTGAGGTCAGGAGTTAGAGACCAGCCTGGCCAACATGGTGAAACCCCGTCTCTACTAAAAATACAAAAATTAGCCAGGTGTGGTGGTGGGCACCTGTAGTCCCAGCTACTTCGGAGGCTGTGGCAGGAGAATTGCCTGAACCTGGGAGGTGGAGGTTGCAGTGAGCCGAGATCACGCCACTGTACTCCAGCCTGGGTGACAGAGCAAGAATTCATCTCAAAAAAACAAAACAAAATAAAAACAAAAAAACAAAAAAATGAAAATTGCAGGAAGACTAATTAGCTGTATCATAGAGGCAGAAGCTAAGACATTAGATTGTATTACAAAGTTTGCATACCTTATATTTATTCAAACAAGGTTTTCTAAGAGTGATTGCTATCTGTAACATACAAAATATGCTGGGGGAAAACTTGAAAGAGCAAACATACAGTAATGATTGCCTAAGAATGGCCAAAATTAGGCAATTAGTATAGCCTTTGAAGTAGAATACTTAAAAGTTGTTTGTTCAGCAATTTATCAAAGGCCAATTTCTAATAATTAGCATTTATCACTAAGAAATGATGATTCTTAGTGTTGATGCTAAGTACTTCAAAGTCCTGAAGTCTCATATCAATAAAAACAAAGAAACAAGTGAAGACAAGAAAATCTCAGTGTTTTCAGGATAGCAAAACCTTTAAGGCTATTTCCTGACATAAATTCCTTTCCCTTCCAACACAACTGATGCAGAAGCTCATCAGGAAACAAATCCTATGTATTAATTATACCATCTTTCTTCTCATGTTTGTGCAAGCTCCTGCCAAACATTAAATGTCAATATTTAGTAACTATCAGTTACTAAAATGCTTTAACTATCATTAATTTTCTTTCCTTTTTCTTTTGAGATGGAGTCTTGCTCTGTCGCCCAGGCTGGAGTACACTGGCGCAATCTCAGCTCACTGCAAGCTCTGCCTCCCAGGTTCATGCCATTCTCCTGCCTCAGCCTCCTGAGTAGCTGGGACTACAGGTGCCCACCACCGCGCCCGGCTAATTTTTTTGTATTTTTAGTAGAGATGGGTTTCACCGTGTTAGCCAGGATGGTCCTGATCTCCTGACCTTGTAATCCACCTGCCTTGGCCTCCCGAAGTGCTGGCGGGGATTACAGGCGTGAGCCACCATGCCCAGCCAACTATTATTAATTTTATATCAAATTTCCTTAGATGTTTTAAGCCTTCCTAGAAAGGAAACAATAAAATATTTGGTCTTTGAGAATAAGCCAATCTTCTTTCTCCTATTTTTGTTGAAGCCAGGATGTTATTTCTAAACTTTGCCTTTTTGGTCCAATGTTTTCACACATGATCTTTAATTCTGAGACAAATATCAAGGTTATTTATTTATTTATTTATTGACAAAGTCTCACTCTGTTTCCCAGGCTAGAGTATAGTGGTGTGATCTTGGCTCACTGCAACCTCCACCTCCCGGGTTCAAGAGATTCTCCTGTCTCAGCCTCCCACGTAGCTGGGTAAACAGGTGCCCACCACCACGCCTGGCTAATTTTTGTATTTTTAGTAGAGAGGGGTTTCACCATGTTGGCCAGGCTGGTTTTGAATTCCTGGCCTTAAGTGATTCGCCCACCTCGGCCTCCCAATGTGCTAGGATTACAGGTGTGAGCCACCATGCCAGGCCTTCAAGGGGTATTTTAACAGTGCTGTACTGTGGCATACCTTTTGTAACAAATTAGTAGAAAATAATGTTGCAAAATTCAGATACGATTAAGAATAAAATATGAGGCTGGGAGTGGTGGCTCACGCCTGTAATCCCAGCACTTTGGGAGGCCGAGGCGGGCAGATCACCTGAGGTCAGGAGTTTGAGACCAGCCTGGCCAACATGGCAAAACCCTGTCTCTACTAACAAAAATTAGCCATGTATGGTGGTGCATGCCTGTAGTGCCAGCTACTCATGAGAGGCTGAGGTAGGAAAATCGCTTGAACCTGGGAGGCAGAGGTTGCAATGACCCAGGATCACGCTACTGCACCCCAGCCTGGGCAACACAAGACTCCATCTCAAAAAGAAAAGAAAAGAAAAGAGAATAGTGAATAGAAAAATTAAGTGACAGAAAGCAATTAACTTAAATTAGTTGTTATTCTGTCCTAGCTACTGTTTTCTTCACTTTTTGATGCCAGGGCTTTCTTTCTTTGCCCCATTCTTTACCTTCTACCTCACTGGATCTTGAACTATATGGAAATAACATACTAATAAACTACAGATAGAGAAGAACTGCTAATTCTGAAGTATGCTTGAGACTGGACTGAACTGAACCAATGGTAAACATGGCAGAAGCCAAGCCTAGGTCAATGGAGCATGCAAAGAGTTTCCATTTCCAAAATGTTCTCCCCATTTCTGCCAAAAGGAGGCTTTTTGCTTTTTTCAGGCATCTAAATGAATGCAGGCAAATAACTTGTGAGACACTTCATAAATAGGTATCTTCTAAACTTTGAACATTTTAGGGTCGGACGTGGTGGCTCATGCCTGTAATCCCAGCACTTTGGGAGGCCGAGGCAGGTGGATCACAAGGTCAGGAATTTGAGACCAGCCTGGCTAACATGGTGAAACCTCGTCTCTACTGAAAAAACAAAAATTAGCTGGGCGTGGTGGTGTACACCCGTAGTCCCAGCTACTCGGGAGGCTGAGGCAGGAGAATAGCTTGAACCCAGGAGGTGGAGGTTGCAGTGAGCCAAGATCGCGCCATTGCACTCCAGCCTGGGCGACACAGCGAGACTCCGTCTCCCACTCACATGCAAAAAAAAAAAATTTAGTTCCTCTCATTTCTAAAATATCAGGTTTTTGTTTTGTTTTCTGTCTTTGAGACAGTCTCGCTCTATCGCCCAGGCTGGAGTGCAATGGCACAATCTCAGCTCACTGCAACCTGTACCTCCCAGGTTCAGGCAATTCTCCTTCCTCAGCCTCCCCAGTAGCTGGGATTACAAGCACCCATCACCACACCCAGCTAATTTTTTTTTTGTATTTTTAGTAGAGACAAGGTTTCAACATGTTGGCCAGCCTCATCTCAAACCCCTGACCTCAGGTGATCCACCCGCCTCGGCCTCCCAAAGTGCTGAGATTACAGGTGTGCATCACCGCACCCAGCCTAAAATATCGTTTTAACCCAACCAAAGTTTTATTTAAAATATTTATCAGGTATTATGGGGCAATATAGAAAGAAAAAAATATTTATTCACCATCAGTCTTTGGGATTTTTTATTTTATCACCTGTCACTCTAGTTTATCTCTTCTCTCTCTCAAAATGTACCCTATAAACCAGCCAAACTAAACTATTAGCAATTTCCCAAAGTTGTCACTTTCAGGTTTCTGCACATAAGCGGTAGTCAATGCATGGAAATTCTTATGGAGGAGTAACCTGTCAGATAGCTTCAGAGAATCTGACTTCAGAGCATTGCTGCCTTTTATTATTATAGCATAAGGTAGAAATGATTCCTTAATATAAGAGTAAAAGCAGTATCTGGCGGCTGTCCTCTTAGAAAATAATGTCATTTCCAAAAGAAACTAACATCAATTCATCTTAGTGAGCAACTTTCTTTTTGGTTGGCTAGTCATCTTCATATTCTTTCAAAAAACTGGAAATTAATTATTTGTTTTAGTTCTGAATTTTTCATTTTGACATACCTGGGTCTGGAGTGTAAGTGAATGGTTGAACATCATGAGATCTTCCAGCATTTGTCACTACATATATTCCCACTGACACAGGCAAAGTTATATGTTGGTCATGATAGGGAGGAACCTTCACAATAAGATGATTCTAATGTAAAGAAAAGCACAAGAGTTGGAAAAGAAGCAATACTTAAATTTAAAAATTTTAAATGAAGTATATTTCCTGTTAGCTGTAAAGTTTAAAAAGTGATTAAAAAAAAAAGAATGCATTTTAAAGCTCAGGTTCACAGGCATCAGGATATTAATCTTAACACTGCTTTTAAGGTAAAATCCAAGTGTTTTATAATGGCTTACAAGGTCAAGATCCCTGCCCTGTCAACTTCATCTCATTCCTGCTCTTCTAGCTCACTACACTGTAGCCACACTGACCTCGGTCCCTTCTTTTAACATACTAAACTCAGTTTTACCTCAGATTCTCTATACTTGTTATTCTCTTCAATTGCAATATTATTCCTTCACCTCCTCAAATGGTGAGTTCCTAACCCATTATCAGGTCAGATACAAATGTCACCTCAAAGAAGCCTTCCCTGATCATCCTATTTAAAGCAAAACCCTTCCCCAACCTTATAACATAATCTTGTTTATTTCCATAACAGCACTTATCCTCACCCCTGCAAATTACCCTATTTGCTTGTTTTTTGGTCTTTCTCCAAACATAAGAATGTAAGCTCCATGAGGATCTAGGCTGTTTTGTTCTTCACTCTGTCTCACTTGTAAAGAATAGTACCTTACATAAGGTACATATTGAATAAAAGAATGAATAAATTATTAGAAAAAAAATATGCCCACCAAGGGCAAAGTCAGTTACCATACATTCTGTACAACCTCAATGTGAGATGTATTTCACAATGCAGTTCGCTACTCCTAACAACATAATTCTCATTTTAAGTCAAATTGGGTTCAGTTTATCCACATCTCAGTAAACCAAAGATGTTTTTAGTTGGAACAGTGGCAGAAGCATCCTTATAAGAGAAAGGCAGAGTTCATAAAAGTTTCACCAGTACTTACTCAAGGGTACTATATCTTCTTAGAGGGTAATATGAGCCATATTTGACTTTTTTTTCTTCTTCCCTAGTAGATTATTATAATGGTAGGGGATATCACAGGGTAGTGATTATGCTTTTTCACTAATGATCTGATTTGCAGGAGGCCGAAGCTGACAGCTGAGGGTGACGTGAGTTTGATGACATTTAAAATTTAGTTAGACTACATAGTTCGTTGACTCAGTTGAATAGAAAATATGGGACAAATGAGATCAAGGTCAAGGTTTCCATTTCTGAGAATTTAATTTGTTTCTGAGCCATCTTAAAACACTCTCTGAAATACAGTCACATTATAAATAAAGAACTAGGCCAGGCATGGTGGCTTACGCCTGTAATCCCAACACTTTGGGAGGCCGAGGTGGGCAGATCACCTGAGGTCAGGAGCTTGAGAACAGCCTGGTTAACATGGTGAAACCCTGTTTCTACTAAAAATACAAAAAATTAGCCAGCCCTGGTGGCACATGCCTGTAATCCCAGCTACTCAGGAGGCTGAGGCAGAAGAATCGCTTGAACCCGGGGGGCGGAGGTTGAGGTGAGCCAAGAGCGCGTCATTGCACTCCAGCCTGGGCAACAAGAGCGTAACTCTGTCTCCAAAACAAAAAAAACAAAAAAACAAAAAACTAGCTTCTAATTTACGGCATTAACAGAATGCCTCCTAAGTTGGCCATCTCAAAAAAACCACATTCTTTTCAACTAGGTGGAAAAACATGTACAAATATGCATACATCCACAGTTATAAGGCAGGAGCTAAATCTGAACACATACAAGGTCATAAAAAACGCACTGGTATTGATCTAACTTCTAAGAAACAGAGTTACTGAATCTTGTCTACCTCATTTTTACTCTGTTGTTTAAACACTACAACTATGTCACAGAAACAGTCTATCTAGAGTTAAGGAGATGGTTGAATGAACAGCTTGTGAGAGCTCTCACTCTTAAAATTGTTTGGCAAACTCCATAATTCAAACTATTCTTTTGAATAAAAACTTGTTTCTTGGCAATTAGTAACAGGACTAGTGTCTACAAATCAGATGCATATTTTATCAAAATACTTTTACTCTACTTGCTTTGGAGAGCACATTTAAGTAAAACTAATTTTGAAACCTTTTAAAAACCAAATGAACCTATTTTGCTACTAATTCTTCAAACTTCCTCAATCTGAATCTAGAAATTCTACAACTGATCTGAATTAAAAATTAGGTAAACTGTCACTAGTGATCAAAAGCTATTTTTAATACCCTCTCATAAATTAGAAACAATTAACTATCACTGAGCTAGGGATACAGTACATACAAAACATACAAAGGGTTGGGAGGCTTTGGGAGCAGGTATAATGCTCTTTGGGATAAAAAGAGGAAAACAATTGAATTTTAACTTCTTAGAAAAATCTGCTTAGATTCAAATAACTTTTTCCCTAGCAGATAATCTTTTTCAGAGTGTACCAGCAATGGTGCTAGATATCTTTCACTCTTCTATGAGATACTTTTTATTTTGTCACATTAATTTTACAGTTGGGAATATATATAATCAGAATACCTACATAATTAGAATATCTACAATTAGACTTGACCAAAGACCCATTACAAAATTACTCTTAGAACTGATTTGAAAAACATAACTCTAAGCTTTCAAGTCTTTGTTTAGTCTAGTTCTTCCCACAAATTCTTCTGAGGATCTTTTTTTTGTACTTCTTTCAAGAATTTTCTTTCCACATTTATACCATCTTCCCCTGAGCTATCCTTTTATGTATATTTGTATATATAGATTGAATATCCCTTTATATATATTTTTAATAGGTAATTAATGTTATATATAACTCATCTACAGTTGTTAAAAGGGAATAGACATAATGAATGATCATGTACCCATCATATTTGGTATACATGAGCATGAGGTATACTATGGACCAGAAGACCAGAAAACAATTGAACAAAGAATTGTTTTTCCAGACTTCATTAGTCTCAATATTTATAATACCGTATTACTTTTTTTTTTTTTTTTTTTTTGAGACAGTTTCACTCTTGTTGCCCAGGCTGGAGTGCAATGGCGTGATCTCAGCTCACTGCAACCTCCGCCTCCTGGGTTCAAGTGATTTTCTTGCCTCAGCCTCCTAAGTAGCTGGGATTACAGGCATATGCCACCACACCCAGCAAATTTTTGTATTTTTAGTAGAGATGGGGTTTTGCCATATTGTCTAGGCTGGTCGCGAACTCCTGACCTCAGGTGATTCACCTGCCTCGGCCTCCCAAACTGCTGGGATTATAGGCATGAGCCACACGCCTGGCAATATTTATAATATGATAGAAAAAGTGTAATACCTGATGAATTGATTTTGGGTTTGCAACTGAACAGCTATTACAATCTTTCACAACTGCAATTTGTGAAATTATCTTTAAATGGTCTTTTCTACTATACCATCTGCTGGGTATTTTTAAATATTGTAGAGATTCCCTTTCAACTTTTTTTGTGTAGGCCTAATATTTCTTTACTGATCACATCCAAAGTGTGTTGTCTTTTTTTTTTGTTTGAGACAGGGTCTCACTGTCACCCACGTGGAAGTGCAGTGGCGGAATCAGGGCTCACTGCAGCCTCAACTTCCTGGGCTCAAGTGATTCTCTGACCTCAGCCTCCCAAGTAGCTGGAACTATATGCATGTGCCACCATGACTGGCTATATTTTAAATTTTTTGTAGAGATGGGATCTCACTATGTTGCCCAGGCTGGTCTTAAACTCCCAGCTTCAAGCAATCCTCCTGCCTCTACCTCCCAAAGTGCTGGGATTATAGGTATGAGTCACTATGCCCAGTCTCAACACATTTTCTTCCCCCTAAAGGTTTGCTTTGTGGGTTTTCTTCCTTTATATAATCTCTAGAATCAATTCTCTAGGATCTCAGCTCTGATTCCACTCAAAGAAAAGGCTTCCAAGAAAACCCCTTTAGAAAAAAAATAAAATAAAACCTCTCTCTGAAAAAGATAAAAATGAACAAAACCACAGAATTAATGACAGATTATATTATGATTTAGTTTGTTTACATACTTGCTTGCAAAAACCCCAGGACCTCTAGATATAGTCACCAAATAAGGATATAATTCCTTTCCATTCCACCACGTGTCTTATTTTTATGATTATTATTCTTTAACCTACTGTAGCTGGCATAACTGCCCTGAAAAAAAGTGTTTTAAAAATATAACTACCCCATGCCTCAAAAGGCAAGAGAGAGAGAGAGAAAGAAAAATGGAGGTAGGGAGGGAGGATAACTTATGAATATAAAGTTCTATACAAAATAGCAAGTTAATACTACAATTTGTTGGGGCTATGTCATTGATATTTTGTATAATTTATAAGGCAAGTCTCTCAATCTCCAGAAATAGTCTCCTTATCTATCAATCTTTATCATAAGAATAACAATCATAATAGAGCATTACAAGCAAGGGAGTCTACATTAATCTAACTAATTTGTCAAGAAACAAAACATGTTCATAGCATACAAAAGTACTGCATGAATAAATTAAGTTTCAGTTAGGATTACAACTCTAGGTATTTAAAGACCTGGCTGAAATTAGGGTTTGAAGTATCCTCGGAAAGAACAAATGAACCTTACTTAGACCACACAGTCACCCATTTTTTTCTTCAAGGTGAATAAAATGAACTAATAAGTTTTTCTTGTGTATCTATTAAGTGTTTGGTATTACAAGGAACACAGAAGAATTATAATACATTGCCTCTAACCTCCAGGAGTACTCCAGAGGAAGCTATTGTTGGTTCATGGGAGTGGAGATGGTCTGATCAAATAATATAAGAAATAATAAAATGTTAGAGTCAGAGGAGTCTCAAATAATCTAATGAAAGCGCTTATCTTACAGATCAGAAAACTGGAGCACAAAAGTCATTTGTCTTACTTAGTTAACACAGATTGCTAATGACAAAGCAGGTATTAAAACTTCAATTAAGACTAGTCTGACTATAAACCCTAGGAGATATTGCCCAATGGTCTGTGTGACAAAGGAATGTTTGTTAAGTCCCATTATCTCTTTTCCACAACATGTAGTTGCATAAGGCCAGAGGAAAACTTGCCACATAGCATTTGTCTAGATATATAGGAATCTCCACACTATACGATATTGTCTAGGAAATAATTAACTTTACCCAGAGAGAGTTCTGGTCTTTACCTCTGGCTGCTAGGAGGTAATCTCTAGGTTCCTGCAATGTCTTGTGTGACAGTGATATTTACTTGAGAGCTTTGGTCGCTGGATAGTCTAACAATGTGATTTATAACAGAGGCTTTGGAACACACCATATCAATTCTAACCTTGTGGAAGTGAAGACCAAAGGTAGCTGCATGGGCAGTATATAATCAGGTCTGAAATAATAACTCTGGACACCAAAGGCTTGGGTGAGCTTCCCTGCTTGGTAATTCTCTGCATATTGTTATCATCACACATTGCTATGCCAAGATGGTAATGTCTTCCTGAGGATGACAGAAGGTTAGTGCCTGGGACACTCCGAGACCTTGTGTTATGCATCTCTCCCTTTAGCTGATTCTGATTTCTGTCCTTTTGTTGTAAAACTATAGGCACTAGGCCAGGCACAGTGGTTCACACCTGTAATCCCAGCACTTTGGGAGGCCAAGGCGGGCAGATCATGAGGTCAGGAGATGGAGGCCATCCTGGCCAACATGGTGAAACCCCGTCTCTTCTAAAAATACAAAAATTAGCTGGACATGGTGGCACATGCCTGTAGTCCCAGTTACTCAGGAGGCTGAGACAGGAGAATTGCTTGAACCAGGGAGTCAGAGGTTGCAGTGAGCTGAAATCGCGCCACTGTATGCCAGCCTGGCGACAGAGCAAGACTGTCTTAAAAGAACAACAACAACAAAACAAAAACAAACAAACAAAAAAACTACAGGCACTAAGTATAGCACTTCCCAGAGTTCTGTGAATTTTTCTAGGAAGTTATCAAATCCAAGGGGACAGTAGGAAAAATACTGTTTGAGCCACTCGTTCAAAAAAAGAGGGTGGCCTGGGGACCTTTGAACTTGTGTCTGGTGTATGAAGTGGCAACAGTCTTGGCTGTGCCCTGAGCCTTGAGTGTGGCAATATATTGGATATATGTTTTAAATTTTATTAGGTTTTTAAAAATACACAAAGGAATAAAAAATAAATTTTAAAACAACAAGGAAATTATAAACTTTTTGGATAAAGTGGCTATAGATTGTCTAATTTTTGCATCTTCTATTTCTCTACCTTCTGTCATGTGCTCTTTTCTTTCCCCATCAGCTTACACTAAATTTTAGGCTTTGGGTAATTTACACATTAGCTTGTTCCTGTTTCTCTCTTCTCTCTCTGTCTCAGTTCTACACCTGTACATACTACCTCTTCTCCATGTGCCTTCTAACTTGCTTATAAATTTGGCCTTCTGTTAGTCTCAATTTCTAGGGGTTTGGTCCTGTCTGCTCTAAATACGAATTCCTAAGTCAGGTCTTGATCCTTGTTTTCAAGTTTTCATTGTTATTTGGGAAACAATACATGGTGAGGTCCTGCAAATACAGACTAATATCAGTGTGATGAGTGCTTCTAAACACAAGAAGGTTTAACAAATATAAAGTACCTGAAACATAACAGATTCTCAATAAATATTGGTTTCCCTTTTATTTAACTATATAGTGGATTAAGATTATGCAAATCCTCAGAGAAAATAAGTATCAGGAAAGAAAGATTTTGTTTATTAACAATGGAAACATTTGTTAATGATCCTAACTTTTTAAAATAGAGGTGGTCATGTTTACCATTAGGAAAATAATTCTATTTCAGTTAAAGAAACTCAAGAAAGAAACTTTAAATAATTCATATCAATCCCATAGGAAGAAGAAATTTAATCTATTGATTCAGGAAAATTTCAAAACAAAACTGAATTGCTCAGAGAGTAAATAACCAAATTATAAAAAAAGCTTAAATTTTACCTGATGAAATAGTTCCATATCAATTTCAGCTTCTGACTTCCAAGAGTTTTCATCTGATTGAAATAAAAAGTGATTTATTAAATTTTTGAACTATTTTTTTTACTCTGTAGCTATGACTATATCCATATAACAAAGTGAAAACATACAAATATCTGTACCACAAATATGCGTACTTACCAGAAACATTTTCTTGGAAAATAACTTTAGTTCCTTTCAGAAAGTTCTTGCCGATTAAAAACACTTCTTCTTCTCCTTTCACTGAACAGCTATGCAAGCTTTTCTTTAAGATTTCTGGCACTCCTGCTGGCTGAGCTGTGGAGATACATAAGCATTCTATAAGAAGAACCACCAAAACTTATTTCTTACCTAAAATCAACTTGCAATCATCCGGTTCTATGAGTTGTCTTTATTGAAGGAGGAGTAATAAATATTTTTATAGTTACACAATTATCTGGAAAGGCTATAATTCTTGCTCTACTGACAGGCTTGGTCATGTGACTGGTTTGGATAATCAAATATGAACTGAAGTAATGTGCCAAGTCCAAGTGAAAGTTTTGAGAGCCATCACATGGTTTTACCAACTCAGTTGTTGTAAGCCACTGAGTTTTGTTTTGTTGTCTTCTTTTAAATTGTGTGTTATTGCAGTATCATTTAGCCTTCAGCTATTGATACAAACAAGTATCCTGTCTTTGTTAAATACAGGTTGAGCATCCCTAATCCAAAAATCTAAAATCTTTTTTTTTTGAGACTGAGTCTCACTCTGTCGCCCAGGCTAGAATGCAGAGGTGTGATCTCAGCTCACCGCAACCTCTGCCTCCTGGGCTCAAGTGATTCTCCTGCCTCAGCCTCCTCAGTAGCTGAGATTACAGATGCACACTACCACGCCCAGCTAATTTTTGTATTTTTAGTAGAGACGGGGTTTCACCATGTTGGTCAGGCTGGTCTCGAACCTTGTGATCCACCCACCTTGGCCTCCCAAAATGCTGGGATTCAGGCATGAGCCACCATGCCCAGCCAAAAATCTAAAATCTTAAATGCTCCAAAATCCAAAACTTTTTGAGTGCCAATACAATGCTCAAAAATTTACACACCTGGGCTGGGTGCAGTGGTTCACACCTGTAATCCCAGCACTTTGGGAGGCTAAGGTTGAAGGATCACTTGAGCCCAGGAGTTCAAGACCAGCCTGGGCAATAGTGAGACCTTGTCTCTACAAAAAAATCAAAAAAATTAGCTGGGCGTGGTAGTATGCACATGCAATTCCCAGCTACTTAGGAGGCTGGAGTGGGAGGATCACTTAAACCCCAGAGGTTGAGGCTGCAGTGAGTCATGACTGCACCGGTGTTAAGTACTTACGTGTGAAGAAATATAAGAAAAGGATTGCTTATTGGTAGCATATAAATTCAGAGTCGGGTGAAACCCTGTTTCTACTAAAAATACAAAAAATTAGCTGGGCGTGGTGGTGGGTGCTTGTAATCCCAGCTACTTGGGAGGCTGAGGCAGGAGAATCTCTTGAACCTGGGAGGTGGAGGTTGCTGTGAGCCAAGATCGTGCCACTGCACTCCAGCCTGGGTGACACAGCAAGACTTCGTCTCAAAAAAAAATAAAAATAAAAATAAATTCAGAGTCAGGAATGATGGTGATGCCCAACAGGTTATTTACAAAGATTATTTACAAAGGTGGCTGAAACAGTGACACCTTTGCTTTTTGAAACTCTGATGCACAAAATTATTTAAAATATTATGTAAAATTACCTTCAAGCTATGTGTATAGCTGTACATGAAACACAAATGAATTCTGTGTTTACACTTGGGTACCATTCCCATGAAACCTCATTATGTATATGCAAAGAAATTCAAAGTCCAAAGAAATTCAAAACCTGAAACACTTCGGGTCCTAAGCATTTAAGATAAGAGATATTTAACCTGTTTGTATATGATAAATGACATTTTCAACAATGCTGGGGAGTTTAATAGAAATTGTTAATGTATAAACAAATACACTGGCCGGGTGAGGTGGCTCACGCCTGTAATCCCAATACTTTGGGAGACCGAGAGGGGCAGATCACCTGAGGTCAGGAGTTCGAGGAGGTCAGGAGTTCAAGTTGGTCAGCCTGGCCAACATGGTGAAACCCCATCTTTACTAAAAATACAAAAAATTAGCTGGGTGTGCTGGCACATGCTTGTAATCCCAGCTACTCGGGAGGCTGAGGCAGGAGAATCGGTTGAACCCAGGAGGCAGAGGTTGCAGTGACCCGAGATCACGCCACTGCACCCCAGCCTGGTAAACAAAAGTGAAACCTTGTCTAAAAAAAGAAACAAACAAAAAACAAAAAAACAAAAAATAAGTATTGTCTAGAACCTATAGGGTAAATGTGTGAACAGAATGGAAAGGGTTATTGGTCATACACTGACAATGATATACCCTTTTAAATGAAGAATTAACTAAATCAGTTTATTCAAAGGTAACTTTTTGGAGTAACAGGAAATAGATACTTGTTTTTAAAAACATTCCAGAAACATATGGTATATCTTGTTAAAATTACATTAATATATTGTATTACCAAAATGAAACGTAAAGCATATAACCTTTCCCTCCATTTTCAAATACTGTGTGGAAATTCCACTTCACTGATTACTGATAAAACTTTTTCCCATATCTCATTTTTTAAATTTATTTGTTAAAGGCATAAGACAGCCAAATGAGGCCCCAAGGTTTAGAATATATTTATCTTCTACATATTCGTATTTACATTACAGAAAGAACTAGTCGGTTACTTTCTTTTTTTTTTTTTTTTAGTTTCTGCAAAAATGACCTGCTTTATTCACAAGTTATACAGTACAAGTCAGAAAAGAAGTATATTGAATCTTGACATTATACAATTATGCAAAAGAGATCCCACATATTATACAGTTTTGTTACTTAAAATTTACTATTCTTGTAAAGTTTTTTTTTTAAATGTATTATTATTATACTTTTAAGTTTTAGGGTACATGTGCACAATGTGCAGGTTAGTTACATATGTATACATGTGCCATGCTGGTGTGCTGCACCCACTAACTCGTCATCTAGCATTAGGTATATCTCCCAGTGCTATCCCTCCCCCCTCCCCCCACCCCACAACCGTCCCCAGAGTGTGATGTTCCCCTTCCTGTGTCCAT
Organism: Homo sapiens; assembly: GCF_000001405.40. Taxonomy (NCBI): domain Eukaryota; kingdom Metazoa; phylum Chordata; class Mammalia; order Primates; family Hominidae; genus Homo; species Homo sapiens. Next base: position 69,667,130 of record NC_000016.10, on the reverse strand, counting down.
GTGTTCTCATTGTTCAATTCCCACCTATGAGTGAGAATATGCAGTGTTTGGTTTTTTGTTCTTGCGATAGTTTACTGAGAGTGATGATTTCCAGTTTCATCCATGTCCCTACAAAGGACATGAACTCATCATTTTTTATGGCTGCATAGTATTCCATGGTGTATATGTGCCACATTTTCTTAATCCAGTCTATCATTGTTGGACATCTGGGTTGGTTCCAAGTCTTTGCTATTGTGAATAGTGCTGCAATAAACATATGTGTGCATGTATCTTTATAGCAGCATGATTTATAGTCCTTTGGGTATATACCCAGTAATGGGATGGCTGGGTCAAATGGTATTTCTAGTTCTAGATCCCTGAGGAATCGCCACACTGACTTCCACAATGGTTGAACTAGTTTACAGTCCCACCAACAGTGTAAAAGTGTTCCTATTTCTCCACATCCTCTCCAGCACCTGCTGTTTCCTGACTTTTTAATGATTGCCATTCTAACTGGTGTGAGATGGTATCTCATTGTGGTTTTGATTTGTATTTCTCTGATGGCCAGTGATGGTGAGCATTTTTTCATGTGTTTTTTTTCCTGCATAAATGTCTTCTTTTGAGAAGTGTCTGTTCATGTCCTTCGCCCACTTGTTGATGGGGTTGTTTGTTTTTTTCTTGTAAATCTGTTTGAGTTCATTGTAGATTCTGGATATTAGCCCTTTGTCAGATGAGTAGGTTGCGAAAATTTTCTCCCATTTTGTAGGTTGCCTGTTCACTCTGATGGTAGTTTCTTTTGCTGTGCAGAAGCTCTTCCGTTTAATTAGATCCCATTTGTCAATTTTGGCTTTGGTTGCCATTGCTTTTGGTGTTTTAGACATGAAGTCCTTGCCCATGCCTATGTCCTGAATGGTAATGCCTAGGTTTTCTTCTAGGGTTTTTATGGTTTTAGGTCTAACGTTTAAGTCTTTAATCCATCTTGAATTGATTTTTGTATAAGGTGTAAGGAAGGGATCCAGTTTCAGCTTTCTACATATGGCTAGCCAGTTTTCCCAGCACCATTTATTAAATAGGGAATCCTTTCCCCATTGCTTGTTTTTCTCAGGTTTGTCAAAGATCAGATAGTTGTAGATATGCGGCATTATTTCTGAGGGCTCTGTTCTGTTCCATTGATCTATATCTCTGTTTTGGTACCAGTACCATGCTGTTTTGGTTACTGTAGCCTTGTAGTATAGTTTGAAGTCAGGTAGTGTGATGCCTCCAGCTTTGTTCTTTTGGCTTAGGATTGACTTGGCGATGCAGGCTCTTTTTTGGTTCCATATGAACTTTAAAGTAGTTTTTTCCAATTCTGTGAAGAAAGTCATTGGTAGCTTGATGGGGATGGCATTGAATCTGTAAATTACCTTGGGCAGTATGGCCATTTTCACGATATTGATTCTTCCTACCCATGAGCATGGAATGTTCTTCCATTTGTTTGTATCCTCTTTTATTTCATTGAGCAGTGGCTTGTAGTTCTCCTTGAAGAGGTCCTTCACATCCCTTGTAAGTTGGATTCCTAGGTATTTTATTCTCTTTGAAGCAATTGTGAATGGGAGTTCACTCATGATTTGGCTCTCTGTTTGTCTGTTGTTGGTGTATAAGAATGCTTGTGATTTTTGTACATTGATTTTGTATCCTGAGACTTTGCTGAAGTTGCTTATCAGCTTAAGGAGATTTTGGGCTGAGACAATGGGGTTTTCTAGATATACAATCATGTCGTCTGCAAACAGGGACAATTTGACTTCCTCTTTTCCTAATTGAATACCCTTTATTTCCTTCTCCTGCCTAATTGCCCTGGCCAGAACTTCCAACACTATGTTGAATAGGAGTGGTGAGAGAGGGCATCCCTGTCTTGTGCCAGTTTTCAAAGGGAATGCTTCCAGTTTTTGCCCATTCAGTATGATATTGGCTGTGGGTTTGTCATAGATTCAAGATAATTTAACTTCTGGCCTTTTAAAAGGTCCTTTCTTTAAAGTTTACGAGATGAGTCCCCAACAGACGCCATACTAAACACAACTAAAGTCAAGATTACTTAAGCATTAACTGTTTTATTTTTAAGTTATTTACTTATTTATCTATTTATTTGAGACGGAGTTTTGTTCTTGTTGCCCAGGCTGGAGTGCAGTGGCGCAGTCTTGGCTAACCGCAACCTCCACCTCCCAGGTTCAAGCAATTCTCTTGCCTCATCCTCCCGAGTAGCTGGGATTACAGGTATGCACCACCAAGCCCGGCTAACTTTGTATTTTTAGCAGAGATGGGTTTTCTCCATGTTGCTCAGGCTGGTCTCAATCTCCTGACCTCAGGTAATGGGCCCACCTTGGCCTCCCAAAGTGCTGGGATTACAGGCGTGAGCCACTGCGCCCGACCAAGTTATTTATAAGCTGACTCTTGAAAGGAATAATGCTTAAAAATTACTTGAAAGGAATAATGCTTAAAAATTAGAACACACAAAAAATCACCTTTTTGGTATTGTAAAAACTGTGTGCTTTTAGATGCTTTTCAACTAGCAGTCTGAAAAATAAAGTTGAGGCCGGGTGCGGTGGCTCACACCTGTAATCCCAGCACCCTGAGAGGCCGAGGCAGGCGGATCACGAGGTCAGGAGATTGAGACCATCCTGGCTAACACGGTGAAACCCCGTCTCTACTAAAAAATACCAAAAATTAGCCAGGCGTGGTAATGGGCACCTGTAGTCCCAGCTACTCGGGAGGCTGAGGCAGGAGAATGGTGTGAACCCCGGAGGTGGAGCTTGCAGTGAGCCGGGATCGCCACTGCACTCCAGCCTGGGTGACAGAGTGAGACTCCGTCTCAAAAAATAAATAAATAAATAAAGTTGAAAAAAATAATGAATATCTGAATACTGAAAAATAAGTAAGCAAATATTTCAACCTGTCAAGAGAATAAAGCTTTGTAATAATGTCTAGTAGAACAACATAGTTAACAGAATATTTTAGAGTATAAAGCCTACATCTGACTATGTAAATTACTAATCCTATCCAAAATTTTAAGAGAGGGATAGTTTGCTTAACAATACCATCCTTTCCCCATAGCTGTGGGATAGGTAGAAATAGGGGAAGTAGAAAATTCTTAAATTCAGAGTCATATTTAATTGAGTAACCATAAGATAAAATCTAATATATATTACATGTAAGAAAGCCATGATTAATTTTGTCCTATTAAAAACTACTACAGAAGGGTAGATATGAAAATTTTTTCTTTTTTCTTTTTTAAGGACAGATCAATAAGACCTCACTCTGTTGCCCAGGCTGGAGTGCAGTGGTGCCACCATAGCTCACTGTATCCTTGAACTCTTGGGCTCAAATAATCCTCCCATCATAGTCTCTCAAGTAGCTGGGTCTACAGGGACATGCCACCACGCCCAGCTAACTTAAAACATTTTTTTTGTGTGTGGAGATGGACTCTTGCTATGTTGTCCAGGCTGGTTTCCAACTCCTGGCTTCAAGCAATCTTCCTACCTCGCCCTCCCAAAGTGCTGGTATTACAGGCGTGTACAACTGCACCTGGCCTTTTTTTTTTTTTTTTTTTTTTTAAAGAGATGGGTTTGAATCCCAGGCTGGATTCAAACTCCTGGGCTCAAGTGATTCTCCTTCCTCAGCCTCCCAAGTAGCTGGGACTACAGGTGCGTGCCACTGCACCTAGCTGAAAATTAATATTCTTAATTTGATATAACATAACAAAATAATATAAACATACATACCAAAACAAAAAACATATACACCTATATTGTCTGGAGAACATGAAAGATGTTAAGAATGTAAAAAGGGATGATCTTCTATCCCCTTAAAAACAAAAAGACAAAGGATCCAATGGCCATTGTTAAACCAATAATTAGAAGTAATTTTTTTAAAGCCACAAGGCACTGCATGAATCCTGATATTAGAAATTCTTTCCACTGAGTATCTATAGAAGGAAGATCAAGTATCTGTTTCCTCTTCTCCCTTCCAACTCTGTCACCTTTTGGCCCCTTTCCTTTTCTACCTCTCTCTCTTCCTGTTTCCTTCTATCTCCCATTCCAATCCCAACTCTTTGCACTAACCAATTTCCTTTTTACCTCTCATTTTACTGCAACTGCTTAAAGCTGCCAAAAAGTTTATATTCACGGAAAGAAATACAAGCCAGAAACTTATAATGGAACAAACATTTTAATTTTTTTAAATAAAAAGATTTTTTGGGTCCTGTGTTTTACTGTAGATCATTTTTATGTTTATTCTTCTTTTCCTCCCATATCCAGCCCTCAAAGTCGCAAGTTCAAGCATCAAGCTTCCTAAGTGGTCAGGATAAAATTCAAATTATTTTGCTGAATACACAAGTCTCTTTATGAAAGAGGTGTTGTCGGCCGGGCGCAGTGGCTCACGCCTGTAACCCCAGCACTTTGGGAGGCCGAGGCAGGCAGATCACGAGCTCAGGAGATCGAGACCATCCTGGCTAACACGGTGAAACCCCGTCTCTACTAAAAAATACAAAAAATTAGCCGGGCGTGGTGGCGGGTGCCTGTAGTCCCAGCTACTCGGGAGGCTGAGGCAGGAGAATGGCGGGAACCCGGGAGGTGGAGCTTGCAGTGAGCAGAGATCATGATGCCACTGCACTTCAGCCTGGGCAACAGAGCGAGACTCCGTCTCAAAAAAAAAAAAAAAAAAAAAAAAGAAAGAGGTGTTGTCTACCTCTGTAACCTCAAATCTTACCACTTCATAATGTATATCTTTTTATTCCAATCACATAAAACTCTTTTTATTTCCCCCAAAAGAATCATATCCTTCCAGGGAGCATATTTATACATGAATCCCTCTGCCCAGAATTACTACAGAAGGGTAGATATGAAAATTTTTCAAGTAAATCCCATTTTACTTGTTTTACTTCTATTTGTGTTTTAAGACAAGACAGAACAAGTTCTACCATCTCTGAGCAGTCTGAATTAGATGCTCTTACTATGTTTCCACTGTACTTTATTCACACAGCTACTGTGCAGTATAGTATCTTTATATAACTTTATAATACAATTGGAAGCTTATATAATTTTTATATGCAATTAAAAAAATAGAGACAGGGTCTTGCTTTGTTGCCCAAGCTAATCTGAAACTCCTGGGCTCAAGCAATCCCCCTGCCTTGGCCTCCCAAAGTGCTCCGATTATAGGTGTGAGCTCCCACGCCTGGCCTATATACAATTTTATATACACATATATGGAAGTTAATATAATTTTACTATAAAATTAGACATTTACTTGCCTGTTTTTTCCCCAGCCTGCTAAACTGTAAGCTCCTTAAACTATAATCTTTAATTTCAGAGTTAGGCACACTGTAACTATCCATTGAATTAACTATGAAGTTTTCCAAAAACAAATCATCAATTGGCATGCCTTTTTGTTTGTTTTAAAGCACTACAGGTGACTCGAACCTACACCCAGGATTGAGAACAACTGCATTTAATTTATGTTGACTAAATGAGTGACTGAATGAGCAATGAGGCATATTTTGTTATCAGAACACAATAAAAATTAAAAACAAAAAGCACTCATCTGAACAATTTCCTTTTTTTTTTTTTTTTTTTTTTTTTTTTAAGAGACTGGGTCTCTTATACAGGCTGGAGTGCAGTGGTGTGATCATAGCTCACTGCTATCTCAAAACTCCTGGGCTCAAGTGATCCTTCTGCCTCAGCCTCCTGAGTAGCTGGGACTACAGGCACATGCCACCATGCCTGGCTTTTTTTTTTTTTTTTAATTTTTGTAAAGACAGGTTCTCTCATTATGTTGTTCAATACACTTCCATTATAAGTTTCTGGCTTATGTTAGTTTCCATGAATACAAACTTTTTGGCAGGTTTAAACAGCTGGAGTAAAATGAGAGGTGAAAACAAAGTTGGTTAGTAAGAAGAGCTGGGATTGGAATGGGAGACAGAAGGAAACAGGAAGAGAGACCAGCCTCGGCTGGTCTCAAACTCCTGTCCTCCTGCCTTGGCCTCTCAAAGTGCTGGTATTACAGGCATGAGCCACAATCTAACAAAAAAAAAAAAAAAAAGGGTGGTGGGGGGTGCTGGGAGGAGTGGGCAGATCATTTGAGGTCAGGAGTTCAAGACCAGCCTGGCCAACAGGGTGAAACCCCACCTCTACTAAAAATACAAAAATTAGCCAGGTGCTAGTGGCACACACCTGTAATCCCAGCTACTCGGGAGGCTGAGGCAGGAGAATCGCTTGAGCCTGGGAGGTGGAGGTTGCTGTAAGCAGAGATCACACCATTGCACTCCAGCCTGGGCAACAAGCGAAACTCCATCTCAAAAAAGAAAAAAAAAAGAGAGAGAGAGACGTGAAAAGGAAAATTTTTCCTATTTATTACCTATAACAATAATCATTAGAGAGAAACTACAATTATGGTGAGACATATATAACAACATAATTGAATTTACACACACAAACACGCACACATCATTTTCTATCCATGTCAAGGTTAGTGATAAGAATTGAATTTCCCACTCCCAACACTATACTATAATATTATAATTAATAATTGAAACTTCTGACATGTTGTTATTTGCAAAGTTCTGCTTACCTTACTCATGTTCTAACACAAAACAGTTAGAACCACAGTAATTTACCACACAGTGAAGATGCTTAGAAAATGCTTTCGCTTTGTAATTTACTTCTGATAACCAGCTCAAATTACTTTCTTTTTTTTTGAGACAGTCGCAGTCTGCTGCCCAGGCTGGCGTGCAGTGGCACGCTCAAGGCTCACTGCAGCCTTGACCTCCTAGGGCTCAAGTGATCCTCTTGCCTCACCTTCCTGAGTAGCTGAAACTACAGGCACAAGCCATCACACCCAACTTATTATATATATTTTTTTATTTTGTAGAGACAGGATTTTCACTACATTGCCCAGGCTGGTCTTAAACTCCTGGGCTGAAGTGATCCTCCCACCTTGGCCTCCCAAAGTGCTGGGAGCCACCCTGTCTGGTCCAAATTACTTTTTAAATCAGCATATTATGATAATAGGAAACTACAAAATGTTCCACATCTTTTGAATTGTATCCCAAGTATTCACCTCTAGTTTGGTCTAGAAAATCTGACTACTGCTTTTAAAATATTTCAAATTTTGCATGATCACAAGCCGGAGCATATGAAATATCTAAAATTTAGAGATGTCTAAAAGATTAACAGAAAATGAAAGAAACTCCATATGTTTAGTATCTCCGTATCTTCTTACTTACTACACAAAATTGGAGAAGAGGGTGTTTGCAGTGTCAAAGTGGAGCCATCTTTCCTCATGATATTAACTCGAAAAACCAATCTGGCACGAGTGCTTTTCTTCTTGGAACCAGCAATTCCTATTCTGGCTTCGACATCAGCATTCCTCAATTTCAATATCCCTACGCAGTCCACCCTAATACAGAAAAAAAATATATAAAGGGACATTTTGTTGTATAAATAGTATAATGTTCTTAATCAACAAGTTTGTTTTTAAAATTTTGCTTATCTATTAATTCTGTGAATATGTAATAAAGTTACAAAGTTCCAAGTTCAAAAAGTACAAAAGGGTAAATTCTAAACATTCACCACTGTTCCTAATCCTGTCAATCTTTTGTTTATAATAATAAAAAGTAAAAAAAATAAAATCACTATTTTAAAATCTGAACATAAATAATGGCTTATAAGAGATCTTTTTTTTTGAGATGGAGTCTCACTGTCACCCAGGCTGGAGTGCAGTGGCGTGATCTCGGCTCACTGCAACCTCTGTCTCCTGGGGTTCAAGGGATTCTCCTGCCTCAGCCTCCTGAGTAGCTGGGATTACAGGTGGCCGCCACCATGCCCAACTATTTTTTGTATTTTTAGTAAAGATGGGGTTACACCATGTTGGCCAGGCCGGTCTTGAACTCCTGTCCTCAAGTGATCCACCCACCCTGGCCTCCCAAAGTGCTGGGATTACAGGCATGAGCAACCATACCTGGCCAGAGACCTTTTTTTTAAAAAAAAAAAAAAAATAAAAAAATACATTTAGTCTCTTTCTTTACAGAGCTAATTCAGAAAACAGATAAAATGGATTTTACTTTTAAAAAATTAGTAGCTGCCTCCAGAAGGATAGAATAATAGCCACTAAAAAGTATGTTACCACATTGAATGATATGTGAAAAATGCTCATGATATGTTAAGTAAAAAGCAGATTACAAAACAGTGGGTACAGTATTTTCTCAATTTTGTCCAAAAAAGACTGGGAAGATACACATTAAAATAGCGGTTATTTCCAGGAAGTTGTTTTTTATTTATATTTTTATTTTATTTTTTTGAGACAGAGTCTCGCTCTGTCACCCAGGCCTGAGCGCAATGGCGCTACCTCAGCTCACTACAACCTCTCCCTCCTGGGTTCAGGTAATTCTCATGCCTCAGCCTCCTGAGTAGCTGGGATTACAGGCACGCACCACCACTCCAGCTCACTTTTGTATTTTTAGTACAGTCGGAGTCTTACTATGTTGCCTAGGTTGGTCTCGAACTCCTGGCTCAAGAGATCTGTCCACCTCAGCCTCCCAGTGTTGGGATTACAAGCCACTGTGCCAGGCCACAAGTTAGTTTTTAAAGGGCATGTTTTTAGCTTTTTTTACCCTGTGTTTTCAACTTTTTTTTTTTTTTTTGAGACAGAGTTTCGCTCTTGTTGCCCAGGCTGGAGCACAATGTTGCAATCTCAGCTCACTGCAGCCTCTGCCTCCAGGGTTCCAGAGATTCTCCTGCCTCAACCTCTCAAGTAGCTGGGACTACAGGCATGCACCACCACTCCTGGCTAATTTCTATATTTTTAGTAGAGATGGGGTTTCGCCATGTTGGCCAGGCTGGTCTCAAAGTCCTGGCCTCAGATGATCTGCATGCCTCAGCTTTCCAAAGCATTGGGATTACAGGCATGAGCCAGCACGCCTGGCCTGTTTTCAACTTTCTTATATTGAATAAGTACTATTTTTATAATCAGTAAATTCCTTCCTTTCCTCCTCTACTATATGTATTTATTTATTTATTTTACTTTATTTATTTTTTTTTTTTTGAGACAAGTCTCGCCCTGTCGCCCAGGCTGGAGTGCAGTGGAGCGATCTTGGCTCGCTGCAAGTCTGCCTCCCGGGTTCACGCCATTCTCCTGCCTCAGCCTCTGGAGTAGCTGGGACTACAGGCGCCCGCCACCACGCCTGGCTAATTTTTTGTATTTTTAGTAGAGACGGGGTTTCACCATGACAGCCAGGATGGTCTCGATCTCCTGACCTCGTGATCCGCCTGCCTCGGCCTCCCAAAGTGCTGGGATTACAGGCGTGAGCCACTGCGCCCGGCCTATATGTATTTATTTTTATAATTGTCTTTTTTTTTTTTTTTTTTTGAGATGGAGTCTTGCTCTGTTGCCCAGGCTGGAGTGCAGTGGCATGATCTCAGCTCACTGCAACCTCCACCTCCCGGCTTCAAGCAATTCTCTGCTTTGGCCTCCCAAGTAGCTTGGATTACAGGCGCCCACCACCACGCCTGGCTAATTTTTTGTATTTTTAGTAGAGACAGGGTTTCTCCATCTTGGCCAGGCTGGTCTTGAACTCCTGACTTAGTGATCCACCTGCCTCGGCCTCCCAAAGTGCTGGGATTACAGGTGTGAGCCACTGCGTGCCCAGCCCCTTTTTTAGTAATTTTCAAAAGTTACAAGTTAAAAAATATTTATGAGGCCAGGCACGGTGGCTCACGCCTGTAATCCCAGCACTTTGGGAGCCTGAGGTGGGCGGATCATTTGAGGTCAGGAGTTCAAGACCAGCTTGACCTACACAGTGAAACCCCGTCTCTACTAAAATACAAAAATTAGCCAGGTACGGTGGTGGGCGCCTGTAATCCAAGCTACTCGGGAGGCTGAGGGAGGAGAATCGCTTGAACCCAGGAGGTGGAGGTTGCAGTGAGCCGAGATCGTGCCACTCCACTGCAGCTTGGGCAACAAAGCAAGACTCCCTCTCCAAAAAAAAAAAATTTACAAAATATTTCTCAAAATGTCTTTTCCAACTAACCTTTTACCAATCTATTTAAAATGGCTTTCAAAAGAAAACTGAAAACCAAGTAAAGTCTTTAGCAACTATCCAATATACAAATAATTACAACATAGATCTACCCCATACCAATATATTTCCTGCTGTTACGGTTCAATTTTAGGATTAAAGGTCCTTTACAAAAGGCTTAAGGAAAAATAATTTTTAAAATTTAAATGCACAAGATGAAAAACACATAATCTAAATCTAAAGATATATATTTTTTAAACAGAGGAAAATAACAACAGACGGTGAATTTAAACCAGCAATATGTGTTTCACATCAAGATGGAATAAGGCACTTCATAGTCTCTGCTGAACAGTTTTTCGGCTGGGTGCAGCGGCTCATGCCTGTAATCCCAGCACTTTGGGAGGCCAAGGTGTGTGGATTACCTGAGGTCAGGAGTTGGAGACCAGCCTGGCCAAGATGGTGAAACCCCGACTCTACTAAAAATACAAAATTAGCCGGGTGTGGTGGCAGATGCCTGTAATCTCAGCTACTTGGGAGGCTGAGGCAGGGAGAATCACTTGAACCTGGGAGGCAGAGGTTGTAGTAAGCAGAGATAGCACCACTGCACTCCAGCCTGGGCGACAGACGGAGACTCTGTCTCAAAAAAAAAAAAAAAGTTTTTAAAGCAAACATTAAGAAAGTGGAATTCAGGAAAGCAAATCAAATTGAAGTTTTTATTTTCAATGTTACTATTATAAACCCAAAAAAGTAAGTCTTTGGCCAGCTTTCCACTTGGCTTTGATTTCCCTGCCTTTACCACGGGAATTCTTTTTTTTTTTTTTTTTTTTGTGAGACAGAGTCTCGCTTTGTTGCCCAGCTTGGAGGGCAGTGGCACAATCTCGGCTCACTGCAAACTCCGCCTCCTGGGTTCAAGTGATTCTCCTGCCTCAGCCTCCCAAGTAGCTGGGATTACAGGCACGTGCCACCACACCCAGCTAATTTTTGTACTTTCAGTAGAGACAGGGTTTCACCATGTTGGCCAGGCTGGTCTCTAACTCCTGACCTCAGGTGATCCACCAGCCTCAGACTCCAAAAGCACTGGGATTATAGGCATGAGCCACTGCGCCTGGCCCAACCATGGGAATTCTTTAGCAAATGGTAAAAGAGTTAATTTTAACCCATTACCATTCTGAAGTAATGTCTTTTTTTATTCATAATATTTAAAACATTTTAATAAAATACGCAAAAAATCTTCTATACATTAGAAACTGAACAATTCTGCCTAACACAAGAGTGTAATGTATAATGAAAAATTCTTACTAAGTACTTACGCCAGTGTCATGTTGTTGCTAGGATCAAGGCCGACTTCTATAACAGTAGTGCCTTCAATGTCCACTTCTTTGCAAGGAGTTGTATTTCGTCCAGTTACTCTGCAGGCCTGATAAAATCCATGTGGTTTCACTCGTCCAGAGTCGTTGCCCACAAACACTTGCAACACTACAGGTTCATTATGGCCTTCCAGCTGAAACCAGAAAACATGCAACAGAAACACTAATTAGTATTTCAAATAATCTAATTATAAAATCAAATATTTAAGACCAAATCCTATACTTGTAACTGAATTACATTTAAAAAAATTTAAATCTTCAAGAAAAATAGAGATAAAACATTTTCATAAAAGAGTTGGCTAAATTCCTGAAGTAAGTCATAGTTTTAATTCTGTAATAACTATACTTAAATTATAAATTTAGATGTTAGATGATAAATTATCATTTATAATTTATTTGTACAAGCAGATGAGAATGAATGCACAGTACTTCAGGCAGCATTTGGGTTGCTCAGGACCTACCACCATAACTAATGGGAAAACTCACAAAACTGTTAGTGGCATCATCATCATCATCAAATGAGAGCACATATACCAAATTTTTATTCTACTAAAGCTACTTGAATAGAAAAGTATGAGTGCAGCTATATGAATAAGAAGGAAATGAAGCTCATTTTCACGGACTAGATACATACATATAACATCATTAAATCCTGAGACAAAACATTATGGTCTGAGAGACTGCTAGTTCAAACGGGGATCTATGGATCATTACAGGTCTCTAGCAAGCCTTCATAAATTAAATTATAATTTGTATGCTGAAAAATAAATAAATATTTAAAACAGCATTTGGGAACAAATGTTTCCAATCCTGATTCTTGATGAGGCTTATAGTTAAACATTGAAGCTCCTAATATAGAATGCAGAAAATCACAAAGTAAATTGTACAATGCATGCCAAACAAAGTACTTAAAAAATTCACACATCTTTTCTATTCCAGTACAGCTACATCTCTATAAAATGGTATCATAATGAGGAAAATAAGCAAACTAGTCAAATTGCTGGTCAGCAGAATCTAGAACAGTGCCTGGCACATGGAGGAGTGTAGTATTTGTTGAATGAATGACTAAACAAACTTTTAAGGTCAATTCATTCCCTATCATAGTTAAGCAATTAATCTAACAATACTTCTAACTAGACAAAACATAACTTAAAGTCAGGGCAATTAGGTTAAACGTAATGACCAAACTACCAAAATATCTAGCTAGACAAATATTTACACAAAGCATAACATAGATTTCTCACTTGCCTGTTACCTGTCCTGGGATTGAAGGACTGGGTGTGGGTTAAGGTAGTATGTAGTGAAGAAGGGTAGACTTGATATTGTACACGTGACTATTAACAACCTTATAAATGGTGGCAGACACGTTTCCTGATTGATCCAGAGTTTCAATCATAATTTCATTCAAGTATAAAATGAAAGGCAGTCCACCTCTACTCCTAACTTAAAATACTGTTCAACTAACATATTTATACAAACTGTATTTAATAAGAATCTACCATATGACTAGCCAAAATTCCTCCCTATTTAGTATTTAGCAAGGGGTAGGGACACTTGTTAAGTCCTCTCCCCATTCCCCCATTTTTTTGAGGTTTGTCTTCAAAGACAAATATTCTTTATACCAAGATATCCTAGGTGCTAAAATTTAAGTCCCTTTTAACTTTTAGTCTCAACTGTAAAAAAAATTAAGACTCAATTGATACCTCATTTCTTTTTTTTTCCTCATTTCCTTCTTTCCTCCTGTACTTGAGTGGATGCAAATGATATCCCATTTCTTAAACCGTAAGCCTTAAGTATTAATCAAGTCTTTTCTCAGTCCAATAGTCTTGATTACTATAACCATCTCAAAAACCTTATTTTCAAAGTTCTTAATAATTTCTACTGTATTTCTCTGAATTCACTTTAATATTTCTTCCTCCAAGGCGGGAGGATCACTTGAGATCAGGAGTTCCAGACCAGTCTCGCCAACATGGTGAAACTGCGACACTACTAAAATACAAAAATTAGCTGGGCCTGGTGGCACACACCTGTAGTCCCAGCTACTCAGGTGGCTGAGGCATGATTACTTGCACCCCGGAGGCAGAGGCTGCAGTGAGCTGAGATCACACCACTGCACTCCAGCCTGGGTGACAGAGTGAGACTCTGTCTCAAAAAAAAAAAAAAAAAATTCTTTCTAAAGTTTGGGATGAATCTAATTCAAATATCAAATATGAGGGAAGAAAATTCATGATTTGAAAATATTTTACTTTTCAGGACATATTCTCATTCCCCTTTACATTTTAACTAAAATTCAAATGATAAATAAAGTAAATACCTTTACTGTAGGAAAGCCTTGCTGTGTTCTATCTTTCACTGAGCCACGGCTGCCCTCAGTCAGGTACCGAGCTCGGTGCTGTGTCTCAGGTTGTACAACTATCTTCAGCTCCTTTCCCTCACTTTTAACAGGATATTGTCCACACAACATAGGGCTCTTCTTTACTCCAGTTCCTTTTTGGTTTTCCAATGTTCTGAGAAATCAAAGCACAACATGGAGAAAGTATCAAAAAGAGTTTTTTGATAAAAAAAAAAAGCCATTAAGACAAAGGAAGAAACAGAACTGGCAATAATAGTAAAAACAACTATTCAGCTTGCTGGCAAAATAAAATATTGCCTAAAGGAAGATACATGAGCAAAGTATCTTTAAAAAGGTTTTGTAAAAAAGTTTACTATATGATGCAAAAATAAAACAAAGTATGTTTGACAGAAAAGAAAATGAACGTATGTGAGTGGTAGGAGGAAGGGAGGAAGATTGAGCGCAATAAACTGAGACTAACAGGAAAGAATAGCTAATGTCACTATAACCTTTAACATTGTACTTCAGTCAAAATAAGATTTAAAAATTCCATGTATGCATTCCACATATAAATTCCAAAATTTATATAAAGCTATAAGATTAACTACTGTTATTTTTTAACTGCACAGTAAAAGAAGTGAGGGTAGCGAAAACAAAAAACAAACCCCCAAAAACCCTACATACCCCCATACAAAATGGCCTACAAACCAAATGAAGGTATATGTAGCTTATTCTTTTGAGTATCCTTCTCAGTAAACCAAACTGAAGAAATTAGATAAAAAATTAGCGATTCAATTTTTATTGGGAAATTAGCTTTACTCTAAACAATCTTTTCTAGGAGTGTGATTTTTCAGATTATTTTTATCTGTGATTAGTTAAGTAATTAAAGCCCTCAATAAAAATTTTTACAATCTGGGCTTTACAGCACCAGCATTCTACCTTTTTTTTTTTTTTTTTCTGAGATGGAGTTTTACTCTGTCATCCAGGCTGGAGTGCAGTGGCACAATCTCAGCTCACTGTAACCTCTGTTTCCTGGGTTCAAGTGATTCTCCTGCCTCAGCCTCCCAAGTAGCTGGGATTACAGGCGTGTGCCACCAAGCCCAGCTAATTTTTATATTTTTGTTAGAGATGGGGTTTCACCATGTTGTCCAGGCTGGTCTCGAACTCCTGACCTCAGGTGATCCTCCCGCCTCAGTCTCCCAAAGTGCTGGGATTACAAGCATGAGCCACTGCACCTGGCCCTTATTTTTTTTAGTTATGCTTTTTAACATTTATTTATAATGCATTTGCTATGTGGAATGCATGTTCAAAGAAAAACAGTATCCCAAATGGTGGTTATGACTTCAGGCAAACACATTTAATCTGTAAAATAGTTGAAGCACTGCAAATACATAATAAAAACAAGTAAAAACAATATTGTTAGTTATCTTTCCTTTTGAGCAATGGTGTGGTGTCCCACACCTGTAATTCCAGCACTTTGGGAGGCCAAGCGGGGTGGATCACCTGAGGTCAGGAGTTTGAGACCATCCTGGCCAACATGGTGAAACCCCGTCTCTACTAAAACTACAAAAAATTAGCCAGGAGTGGTGGCAGGCACCTGTAATCCCATCTACTCGGGAGGCTGAGGCAGGAGAATCACTTGAACCCAGGAGGTGCAGGTTGCAGTGAGCCCAGATCGTGCCATTGCACTCCAGCCTGGTCAACAAGAGCAAAACTCCGTCTCAAAAAAAAAAAAAAAATTCACGTATGTTTTTAAATAAAGTCAGGGTCATAGCTTTCTCTGTGACCCTCCTAGTCCTAAGTTTTGACTCACATCAAAGATCCAGGAGCCAGATGACTGTGAAGAAAAATCTCCTCTAAAAGCAACCAGATTCCAGTAGGAATATTACGACTTCAAACACAGAGAAGCTAAGCAGGCTTAAACCTGGCTCTAATGTTTACCCCTCCAGCTGTAACCAAGTTGTTGCCTTAATCATCAAGAACAAAGTGAGGAAAGGCACTATCTTCAATGGAAATGGGGAGTAGGTTGAATCCTTGGCTAGGAAAGAGGCAAAAGAATGGAGCAAAGAAGGAATGAAACTAGCATAGGAATTCAGTAAGACTGATAGATGAGAGGAAAAGTTCTCAAGGCGCAATACTGTGCTTAATCATCTTTATATTCCCTGAACCTGGCACACTTCCTGAAACATAACAGGTGCTGAAGAAATGTTTGTTGATGAAGGCAAAGAAGAAGAAAGGGACAAAGAAAGGAAAGCAGAGGGATAAAGAAGCTTCTGTAATATTAAGATGAGAAAGATCCTAACTGGACAAGGAATGCCATTCGTGTAAATTTGACATAAGTAAATCAAAGATTACTTGTGCAAGTCATTTAAAAGGCCCTGGAAGAATAAATTCTATGAACATAAGTATCAAGTTGAAGCTGGAACAATGGGCAGTAAACCCTGTTTTTCTTTTCATCATTCTGGGTACAGATTCAAACATTTGGTCTAACTAGTGTGCAGTTCCTCACACATGAAAGTCTATGATATTCTGTTTTATACTAATCTTAAAGTAAAAATATTCATTTATTGAAACTATGTAGAAATATCCCCCAAATATACATACAAAGAGATGAAAGAAAATACTGCAAAATGATAATAGCAGATTTACTGAGTGACTAGATTATGAGGTTTTCTTGTATTTTTCAAATATTTGTAATTCATATGTATCAATTTTATAATAGAAAAGGGAAAATTTTAGTTTGAAATACAAGGAAAATTCATAGAGCATATCGATTAACTTGGCAAGACATGTTTTTATACTCACTTATGCTAGTCAAGCTAATATTTATAAGGGCAAATAAATGAAAGTGAGTTTTACTAGTCTAGCAAAACAAATGATCTCACTTGGGATGAAGTATTGAGTGAGTATACACATTATGGCTTAAAGAAGAATATCATGTAATTAAGCAATTTCTAAAATGGTACTTTAGAAGTTCTTAAAACTATCTTTTTTTTCTAAAATGTAAAAATGGAATACATACATATTGAGATGTATAGACATGTAAAACCATGAAAACATCCACTAATGCTTAGAAACGTAGTCAAGTTACTAATTTTTAAGGCATGATGGCTTAAGAAAAAATAAAGTAGCAGTCAGTTACATGGGATTTTACTTCTAAATGACAACCAAAAAGGAAAATCCACCATCATGGCATATTCTATTCAGAAGTCTTAAAATGACATTCTAATTTATTCGTGCCGCATAATCCTTCTGGTGACCTATGTCAAAAAAATAATTTTCATTACAAAAAGCCTAAAGTAGGTTTCACATCCAGATGACATCCTATCTTAACTTATAGAAATATCTAGAAGAGACATGGGGCAACTGATTCTCAGGACATTTAGTTGAGAAATTTAAGAATGATATGGCTAGGAATATTCAAATACTAAGCTTTTTTTTTTAATGGTTTTATTCTCTTATTAGACTCTAACATCTTAGTCATATAAAAATGCTATTTTCATCTACAAGCTATCAGATTTCTATGTGGTATCTTGAAGATCAATAAACTGCTGTATACATTTTAAAGTACATTTTCTAAATACTTAGTATGATATAAATTGTAGATTTATGGCACATTAGATCTAAGGCTATATCCTTATCTCTCAAAACATTTTAAGATTTTTTTCACTGTTGAAGAATACAGGCTTTTAGCTTGACATGCTCTGAAAAATTATTTTTAAGGCCGATTTTTCTATATATTTAGGTATGGTTTCATCCTTTCCTCAATATAGTTGTTATAAATTCCAATTTTAAAATTCTTCCATCATTTCCATATACTAGTTTCAAATATTTTTTTCATTACCTAAGAAGCTGGACATTTCTTCTGCTTGATGGAATTTCTGCTCCATGAATTATTTCATGAAAGAGTCTGTCTTGACCAATGTCATTATACTTTCCCTGGGTAACCTCAAATCATTTCTAAGATATAGCTATCATACAAAAGTAGAAGCAGAAAAATGAAGGTCAAGATATTTAATTAGCAACTGCAAATCACTGTTTACTAGCCATAAGTAAAAATTCTATTTGCTCTAAATTTGAACCTTCAACATTCATTTTGATATAAAAATGAAAATTTATCTTCTGGAACTTTATATTAAAGACTTTCTCCACTAAAGCACAAATAAACACACATATGTAATTAAATGATATTCATGAGACTTTTAGATCTGTGTTACTATCACAGTTACTTAAGTATTTACCTGCTGTATTCATTACATTTCAGAGCCTTATTTTATAAGT
This sequence comes from Homo sapiens, assembly GCF_000001405.40. Taxonomy (NCBI): domain Eukaryota; kingdom Metazoa; phylum Chordata; class Mammalia; order Primates; family Hominidae; genus Homo; species Homo sapiens. Next base: position 69,649,129 of record NC_000016.10, on the reverse strand, counting down.
AATAGTTCTACAAATATTATGTTCTGAAATTCTTGATTTTATTAAATGGCAACATTTTAGGAAAGAGTATATCTTATTTTCTTTTAGGTAATTTACTAAACTGGACTTTCTAAAACTGAAAAGCATTTAAATATTCATTTTCATTTAACTACATCACCCTTAAGGAGGTAAAGAAGCGGTGTAGAGTAATTATTGCTTAAAGGGTAGATATTACTTTTTAAAATGTACTGAGGGAGTGCTTAAGGGCAAGTTAAATATATATTAAGAATATTCTCTATAATATTCAACTGAATTTTTAACCAAAAAAAGATCAGTGATGTCATCAAGTAGTAAATCAATCTAAAGCTTCTTGACCACTTTTTGTGTAAAACTGAAATTGTAGGAGATCCTGGGTCCTAGAGAGTTAAATTTTAACAAATTATTTTGAATGTACTATACAAAAATCTAATTTAAAAGTCTAGCAATTAAATATTACAATAAAATTACTAAAGGAATTAAAAGTCATACTAGTCTGCATTATAGCAGTGAATATTCTGTAACATAGCTATTGAACTATATTAGTGGGTAGTGTGACTGGCAGAGATGAAAGAAAACTCAAACATGTACCATGATCCTGTTTCATCACCCTCTAAATAAGTAACCCAGAATCACAGAAAAAAAATGAGTGATTTAAAAAAAATATCGACTCTGTACAATCAATGTATTAGTATCAAAGGAAAAAAGCTTATGATACATGAATCTAAATGATGAGAATCAAACTCTCAATTTAGTTTTTTCTTGTTTTCATCAATTAAAGAGAAAAAAATTAAGTCTAAAATCCTCTAAAAAATGTAAACCATATGAGGACACAATTGGAAAGAGAACATAGCTCTTAGTGACTGTTTGAGTTGTTTTGGATGGAGTCATTACATTGCTAGTTCTTTCGGTTTTTTTTTTGGTGTTTTTTTTTTTTTGAGATGGAGTTTCGCTCTTGTCGCCCAGGCTGGAGTACAGTGGCGTGATGTCGGCTCACTGCAACCTCTGCCTCCTGGGTTCAAGCGATTCCCCTGCCTCAGTTCTCCCAAGTAGCTGGGATTACAGGCACATGCCACAATGCCCGGCTAATTTTTTTTGTATTTTTAGTAGAGATGGGGTTTCACCATGTTGGTCAGGCTGGTCTCGAACTCCTGACCTCAGGTGATCCGCCCGCCTCGGCCTCCCAAAGTGCTGGGATTACAGGTGTGAGCCACCGCACCTGGCTGAGTAAAAGTCCTTTTAAAATATAAATTCATTTGAAATTTATTTCAGAACAGATTATTTTCATTTTCTACTACCTAACTATACTGATAATAAGATATCTATTGCTAGAATCTATGATTATTTTATTTTCTATCTAGTAAAAGTTGGTAATTTTAAGTTAAAATTTTCATGTATTTCAATGATAAAATTAGCACTGTTGCTTTATATGCAAACTTGAGCTCAGCAATTAGGAAAAATTGGGAATTTTTTTTGTTTGTTTGTTTTGCATAATGATGATAGAATTTTAAAAAATGTGAATACCAACCCATTTCCCGCTTTTGAGTTGCCTTTGTTGTCCGTGGTAAGCTGAGAAAGCACATAGTGAGGTGCTTTGGCACTGTCGGCATCAAATATATCCATATTAGATTCTTCACAATCTCGTCGTTTGACCCCCGGCCTCTGCTTTGGATTTCGTTTTCGTGATTTACGAGGTACCTCAGTGTTATCATTGTAGGAACTGGTGCTCATGTTACTGAAGTTGGAGGGGGAATCCTCCATCCACATACTGCAGCTCTGCTCAGATTCCAATCCACACCCCTCATCCTGGCAGGACATCCGACTGTTATCCAGCAAGTCCTCAGGTGGTGGTGAGATGTACAAGACTGTGTGCCTCTTCGGTGTTGATGGATGCTGCTGAACTGTGTTACTGGTTAACTGCTTTTCACTTACCCCTCTGTTACTTACCCCCACGGCTGAGGAGCAGCTCTCCACTTGCATAGCCTTGCTGTCGGTGACTGAGGTAGAATAAATGGTAGGGCTGGAAGAGGTGGTAAAGGAGCTGCAAGCACCGCCCATGGAGGAAGAGGAGGGAGCTGAAGAAGCATCTGCAGTGTACAATTCAAGAGTAAATACACTATACATGTTTTCACCTATGCTGGCTAGCAGTCCCATTGAAAATGTGATTTGTGAACTGATTGTTTTTCCCCAAAATGAATAGTCAGAATTTGGTTATGTTTTAGAATATAAATGCTTCAAGCAATATAAGGCCTAAGAAATGGAATTTTTAAAAATGCCCAAATAGCATTATTTTACTTATGTTACAATCCATAGATTTTTAAAATCTCATTTAACGTTTTAAGCTGTAAAGCAAAAATAAAGCTTTTATTGCCTCAGCTGGACATTCTATTGAATTTTAATCATTTAAAGTAATAAAGAAAACCCCAATATGAAATATATGCTGGTGGTCCACATTCAATGCCAATTAAATAATTCATTATAGAATTTGAAAAGTGGGACTGTGCTTAGCCACAAAATATTAAAATAAGTTTCTAACCTATGAAGCAGAGAACTACAGGTCATTTTTAATGCAGACACTCCCTGCTTCAGAGGCAAATCCTGGAATAAAAATATGAGAAAATAAATGAGAAAAGAGCTGCTGATTATTCCAGATATCAATTATAAAATGAGAAATAAATAGAAAAAATATATAATCAACTGAATTGGAGGCAAAATGGAACTGGTATTGTCACTATGATTTGTTGTAAAATCTAGGAGAATCAAGATGAAAAAGGTATGATTTGGAACATTCTGGGTTGTAGAAGCAAGTTAATCATTGGGTCTCCAGAAGCTGGAAGTGGTAGTTCAAAACCATAAGCTCTAAAATAAATCCATCCTTTATGACATAATGAAAAGCAAAGGAAGAACTGATTAATGGATGGATTTCTCTTAATAAAGTACTTGATTACATGCTTGACAATTGGTTAGAGCTGTCCATTTTCTCTTTTTAAAGGACCTGGTTGATTGTGACTAGTAAGGGAATTTTCCAATGTAAGAACAATGGTAAATTTTACTGGCTGAAATCTAACAGAAAATAGTTAAGCATAAAAATCTCTGGAGAGCATCAGAATTAATATTTTTTATAAAACTATTTATCTGTTATGCCTAGCAAGAAAGATTTAAGTAGATCTTTTCAGCATGTGTGGCAACTGGCAGAATAGCGCACTGAAAATACTATTACTTTAGCCCTTAACAGCATAAACTCAGAGGCGCGTTGATCGCTAAGGTTGGAAGTTGTCATGACTAACATTTTAGATATCATTTTATCTTGTTCACAATATGGAAAGGTTGTCATTACATACACACACAAAAATAAAAATAGGTAATGTGACAAAGATATATTTCAATCTAAAATTAATTTGTATCTATGACCAAGTATGCCACTGTTTTAAAGTGTATGATAAAACTGTATGTGCAGTTATTGGAATTGCAACATACACATCAATTATAATATAAAGAGCAAAATGTAAGAATGTCAATGTTTACATAATTAAAAGCCAAGTGCCAAAGATCTGTTTTTTTCAATTGAAAACATGTATTTAAAATACACCTAAATTATTTGAATGAACTATATCCACCCAGAATTCTTCATTACTGTCAAGGCTAAAAAGCACAGTAATTAATATTAGTCATCAAGAATATGATCTATATAATGCCACATGGAAAGATTTTTCCCAACTACCATAAGTGAAGGAGTCTAAAGAAATTAGATGATACCAGTTCCATTTTCCAGTATGTATCCTTCTCAAATGCAGTAGCTGAAATTGGAAAATTCAGTCACTTTAAACTGCATTCCAATTTAAAGGAAAACTTATCAATTTTGTATCATGCATTAATGCAATGTTTTCTTAGTAAATAAATATTTTTAAAAGTTTGTAAAAACTACGAAATCTATATGCTACTGTCAGTGACAGTTTAGGAGCTGATTTGTAGCCACTTTGAGTTTAAATATAATTTTTTTCCTTGTCTTTTGAAAAATACTACAGAATTCATTTTAGAAAAAATAGAAAAGGTATTACATCTAACATTCCTTCATCTGTTCCAACTATTGGCAAAAACGAAACTAATTTTTTGTGTACTTATGAGCCTATGTTCTTCATTTTCAGAGAAATACAAGTATGCAGCATACAAGTATGCAGCATGCAATATTTGCAGTGGAACACACAAAACATGAATGCTGTGAACTTATATTTCTATAAAGCAACTTTCTCCCACTCACCCTTTTTAAATCTAAGGATCATGCACATGAGAATGCAGAGTATGAACATCTCAGGGATCCCTGTTCATGACAGATGGAAAGTACAGGTGAAAAGCAATCATGAACCCAAAAGCAAGTTATATGGTATTATGAATTTAATATGCACGATATAACCTTGTCTTGTTCTCTGAGGTAAAAAATTTTATCTTGCAAATCTTATCAAATATCAAAACCGTAATGATTATAAAACCCAACTGATTTAACAGTCAGACATAAGTGTGTGTTCTAGGGTAAGTATGCCAAACTGTGATATCATATCCTACATAAATTTAAATATTCTATACATTTTCCATGGACAGCTAACACACGATTGTGTGTGCACAACTGCAGGATTGATCCTGGGCATACTTATTAAAGAAAAAGTTAGCACAAAACTATGACACTGAAAATATTAACTCTGTCAGAAAAGAACAGTAACCATCTTTTAATAGAAAAATATTACTTTTTAAAGTCTACCTCAATTGCAAAGATTCTACTCATTTTAAGACAAATGAAATAATTTTTTTTAAACTGTAAAATTCTTTTTTTTTTTTGAGGCAGGGTCTCACTCTGTTGCCCAGGCTACAGTGCAGTGGCACGATCATGGCTCACTGCAGCCTTGATCTCCTGGGCTCAAGCAATCCTCCTGCCTCAGCTTCCCGAGTAACTGAGACTACAGGCACACAACACCATGCCTGGCTACTTTTTAAATTATTTGTAGAGGCAAAGTTTTGTCATGCTGCCCAGGTGGTCTCAAATTCTTGGGCTCAAGCAATCCTCCAGCTTTGGCCTCCCAAAGTACTGGGATTATAAGCGTGAGCCACCACACCCAGCCTAAAATTCTTTACCATGGTACTATTGATCCTCTGATGATGATAATGATGTATAAAATCTTTCACATCAAAACATTACATTCTGGTTAGCAAGAGATCTGAGTGCATTAATTAATAATGCCATGTGAGGTAGTAAAATGGAGGGTAAGAACTGTGAGCACTTCGAAAGCACTGACAATATCTTTCTCATCTTAGATCCTCCCAACACCTATCACAGTGCCTACATTGTAATAAAATTCAAATTATTAAATTGATTTCTGGGAAGCCAAAAATTTGGTATGTATTTGGAGTTACATTAAAGATAAGCTGGCAAATAAATGTAGGTTGAAGAATAAAAGAATTTTTATTCTTTTATATTCAAATATAATTCAAATATAATTCAAAGTACTTAGAATATATATTACTACGATAGCATTATTTGATACAGAGAAAATACTAAGAGTCTAGAGGTAACGATTTGCTATCTCTACCGAGAGTACTCTAGTAATTTTATTTCCTTAAATTATAAGTAAGCCAAATTACCTACTTATATATCCATAAATTTACCATGAAAAAAATCCTTAATATCCTATTAAAATATAAATACATAAAATAATGATATCAGAACATTTTAAATTTCTAATGCTAATTAGTCATTTCCAAGCATTCCCAGAAAAGTGCTGACAAATCCTCCTGGGAATACCACTGTATCACTAAATAAAGTATCAAAAAACAGCTTGATATTCTATAGAACCAAAGTGTGAATGCAGTTCTGACCCGTCTATATATTCTTTTTTTTTTTTTTTTTTGAGAGGGACTCTCGCTCTGTTGCCCAGGCTGGAGTGCAGTGGCGCGATCTCGGCTCACTGGAACCTCTGCCTCCCAGGTTTCAAGTGATTCTCCCGCCTTAGCCTCCTGAGTAGCTGGGATTACAGGTGCCTACCACCACGCCCAGCTAATTTCTGTATTTTAGTAGAGATGGGATTTCATCATGTTGGCCAGGGTGGTCTCGAACTCCTGACTTCAAGTGATCCACCCACCTCGGCCTCCTGACGTGCTGAGATTACAGGCGTGAGCCATGGTGCATGGCCATGTGAATAAATTTTATTGATTTTTTTTCTTTTATGAAGGAATTATCTTTGAACCTATAGTCTAACTTATATAGAATACTTTTTTTTTCCTTTTTCTTTTCTTTTCTTTTCTTTTTTTTGAGACACAGTCTTGCTCTGTTGCCAAGGCTAGAGTACAGTGGCACAATCTTGGCTCTCTGCAACCTCCACCTCCCGGGTTCAAACGATTCTCCTGCCTTAGCCTCCCGAGTAGCTGGGACTACAGGCACCCGCCACCACGTCCGGCTAATTTTTGTATTTTTAGTAGAGATAGTTTCACCATACTGGCCAGGCTGGTCTTGAACTCCTGACCTTGTGTTCTGCCCACCTCAGCCTCCCAAAGTGCTGGGATTACAGGTATGAGCCACTGTGCCTGGGCTAGAATAATTTTATTTTTTCTAAAGCATTTTCTGTGACCACAGAAAGCACAACAAACTAAAGGAAAAATTAATAGACCATTCTATAATTTACTCATAGAAATTTATAATGTCAGATTATTTTAAATAGAATAATTTTAAAATTTAAAAGAGGCAGGTAAAGTGTCATATGTAAAGTATCCTGTATTTAAGTCTGTTTGCCACTATTAACAGTAGCCAGTTATCAGACCAAATGCCAGTAACGATGGTGAACTTGAATTGTACATACAGCTTCTTTTAAGAATTGATGGAAACTATAAATACTCAAAAATAGTTGAGATTCAAAGACTGGCAGATATTAAATAATGTCTACATGGAATATGAATATCCCAGAATCTGCAATTTAATAAAAGATGAAACAGGATTTTATTTACTTTCTTTACTTTCTTTTTTGTTTTCTTTGTTGAGACAGTCTTGCTCTGTTGCCCAGGCTGGAGTGTAGGGGCACGATCACAACCCACTGCAGCCTCGACCTCCTGGGCTCAAGCGATCATCCCACCTCAGCCTCCTGAATAGCTAGGACTACAGGTATGCACCACCATACCTGGCTAATTTTTGTATTTTTTTGTAGAGATAGGGTTTCACCATGTTGCCCAGGCTGGTTTTGAACTCCTAGGCTCAAGGGATTCTCCCACCTCAGCCTCCCAAAGTGCTAGGATTACAGGCATGAGGCACCATGCCCAGACTGAAATAAGATTTTAAACGATACCATTTATAGAAACCCATGTAGATTTTATATACTCCTTGCTTAAACTGTATTTTAAACTTAAGAACTATCAGCTCTAGATTTGTCAACTAGAAATTATTTTAACTACCATAATATATTAGTGCTTAAAATATCATAAAAAAGATATACTTTATATGGAACTAAAAACTTTTAATAGAAAGCTTTGAAATTAGAAATATTTGCTGAAGTCCTCAAAAGAAAGAAATACCTTTCACTGCTTTAAAATATATGACAGAAATGATATTTAATTTCCAAGCTTCCAAGATTAAAATTTGATCCCTAACATTTGAATATGTACATATTTTATAATTTTTCAACATCTGTGCAAAATTGAGTTTTCTAAAAAAGCTAGTTTAAAAAAAGCCATAAAATTTTGCAAGAGTGCTAAGTGAACAAATAGTGGAACAAAGAAGGAATAAATTATTGACTATTCAAAAATAATCATTAAAAAAAAGATATTTGGAAACAATTTCCTTTTTTTTTTTTTTTTTTTTTTTGAGACGGAGTCTCACTCTGTTGCCCAGGCTGGAATGCAGTGGCACAATCTTGGCTCACTGCAACCTCTGCCTCCCAGGTAAAAGCGATTCTCCTGCCTCAGCCTCCCGAGTAGCTGGGACTACAGGTGCCCGCCACCACACCTGGCTAATTTTTGTATTTTTAGTAGAGACGGGGTTTCACCGTATTGGCCAGGCTGGTCTCAAATTCCTGACCTTGTGTTCTGCCCACTTTGGCCTCTCAAAGTGCTGGGATTACAGGTGTGAGCCACCGTGCCCGGCCTTTTTTTTTTTCTTTTGAGATGGAGTTTCGCTCCTGTTGCCCCCGCTGGAGTACAATGGCACGATTTTGGCTCACTGCAACCTCTACCTCCCAGAGTCAAGCGATTCTTCTGCCTCAGCCACCCAAGTAGCTGGGATTACAGGCATGCACCACCACGCCCGGCTAATTCTGTATTTTTAGTAGAGACAGGGTTTCACCATGTTGGTCAGGCTGGTCTCGAACTCCTGACCTCAGCTGATCCGCCTGCCTCAGCCTCCCATAGTGCTGGGATTACAGGCGTGAACCACTGTGCCTGGCCAGAAACTATTTCTGATCTAAAACACATAATGTTCAACCTTCGTTATTTCTTCTTAAGCATTATATTTTTCTTACTGGTAACAATGACCAACTCTGAAGTTCTCATCTGATAAAAGTCACCAGATACAAGGACATATTTTCAGATTAAAGAAGAAAGATATTCAGAGAAAAAAGCTGTAAGGCCAACACTCATGTTGCCAAGAGATTGAAATATCTAGAACACACAAAGTGGCTGCAAACCTGCTTTGTCGACACCTTACATGCCAACCTTCATTTTCTACTTTTCTTCTTTTTCTTATAATATTAATGCAAAGTTTAAAACTTTACAAAAAGTTTTAGTTTCAATCAGTATCAATCCACTATTTAGAAACAAACAAACAAAAAGTAAGAAAGGAAGAGAGAAAGAAAGAAGGACTTATGAAGAAGTCTGAAAACGAGACCGACCTATACCCTGGGTGAGATTGGATGGGTTAAGTGTCTCTGGCACTATTTGTCTTCACTATTGACAGACACTGTCACACAACCCACCACACGATGCCTGTCTCTGAATGGCGAAGCTAGAATGCAAGTTAAGTGTATTAATAGAAAAAACAACTAGCATCCCAGCATATAAAATAAGCATTCCAGATTATTAAAAAAACAAAAATTGTAGGGCTGATCATTTACATGATTAAAACAGTTTCAATCTCCCATTTGTACTTTTCCCACCCAACATACGTTTACATGTTAAAATAAGCAATGTTTTAAAATGAACTTCAAAAAATTTAATTATTAACCTCTGAATGCATGTGGGGAAATTTCTTAGACAAAATTTTTGTGAACTCTTATTCACCAATTTGTTCTGTTTATAGATGCTCTCTAATCCATAAGCCAGAATTCTCTCTTTCAGGTGTTTTTCAGGCTGTTCCCTTACCCAAACTCTTTTGAAGCGTGGAAGAAGATATGTTCTGAGCAATGCACTTACACTGTAAAAAAACCTATATTTTAGCAGCAAAATAACCTTTCCATTTTTCAGACCACACTGACTCCTACATACTTCTTTATACTCCCCTTAAAAAGGATACCAATTTATACTTTTAATGATACATGCTACTTTGTATAATATGTTTGATCCTAGAGGCTCTATTTTTTTAAAAAAAATAATGAGCACTACTGCTGAAGCTGAAGGGTTTGTTTCTGATTTATTGCAGACATCTTTTTCTTCTCCAGTTCATCAAATTGCCATTCAGGGTTCTAATGTTATAAAACAATTACTCTCCAGTTTTTAATCTGAATTCTCCTTAAATAATTATTTCTACCTTATCAGAGTACCATTAATACACTCATATAATATTTACTAAAGAGTGCTCCCTGAAAAATAAAATGCTTATCCTGAAACTTAGAGCAATGTTTTAAATGTATTTTTTGTTCTATCCAAACAAAATTTTTTTCTATTCAAACAAAAATTCAACCCAAAGGATCTAAGCACAGTGTATAAAACATGTACTAGATATACACATTAAATACTTTGATTTTTAAGTCCATGTAAAATTCTTTCCTAATGGAAGAAAAAGATGTTTTCCATCATCCAATGATTTAAGTACCACTGGATACCATCACTTGTCAATACTGAATGAAGAGACTAATATCCAGATGTAATCTTCTATCTCCAATAATTTAAACACAAAAGGGAATAATTATACTAGCTGACAGCTACATTTATTACACTGCCAAATATACCAGGAAGTATAGGCTAAAAAGAGAGAGAGACAGAGACAAACACTGAACTACTGAAAGATAATGTCACTTTAAGATAAAAACAGAGTATCACTAAACTTCAAAATTAGAGAAAAAAAAAGTTCCAAGGGATATTATCTGAAGGACACTTCAATACGCTACAATACATTTTAAATATTTTAGATTAAAAAATAAAGGCATTCCTGCCAATTCTACTTCAATGTTTTTACTTTTTTTTTTTTTTTTTTTGAGACCGAGTCTCTCTCTGTTGCCCAAACTGGAGTGCAGTGGTGCAATCTCAGCTTACTGCAATCTCTGCCTCCTGGGTTCAAGTGATTCTCCTGCCTCAGCCTCCCGAGTCGCTGGGATTACAGGCGCCCACCACCACCTCTGGCTAATTTTTTGTATTTTTTAGTAGAGATGGGGTTTCACCATGTTGGCCAGGCTGGTCTTGAACTCCTGACCTCAGGTGATCCACGCACCACAACCTTCCAAAGTGCTGGGATTACAGGCGTGAGCCACCGTGCCCAGCCCTACGTTTGTTTTTTTTAAGATATGATTAAACAATAATAAAAAATCATTTACAGCATCATTAAAAACTTCTGATTTAATCAATCAGGTTTTAGACCTGGGTCTGGAGTAAAGTGTACGTTAGATCCAATCGTAGACAAAATAAACTGCCTAGACAAAAAACCAGAAGTCATAAATTGCTCTACCAGAAGTTTTTTTGTTTTTTGTTTTTGTTGTTGCTTGTTTGTTTGTTTTTGAGACACAGTCTCACTCTGTCGCCCAGGCTGGAGTGCAATGGCGTGATCTCGGCTCGCTGCAACCTCCGCCTCCCGGGTTCAAACGATTATCCTGCCTCAGACTCCAGAGTAGCTGGAATTATAGGTGCCTGCCACCATGCCCAGATAATTTTTGTATTTTTAGTAGAGCCAGGGTTTCATCATGTTGGCCAGACTAGCCTCAAACTCTTGACCTTGTGATCCGCCAGCCTCAGCCTCCCAAAATGCTGGGATTACAGGCGTGAGCCACCGTGCCCAGCCTCTACCAGAAGTTTTGATCATTAACCATGCAACTTAAATCACTTCATTAAAAAAATACTATTAAGAACTCTTAAACAGCAGACTTTATAGAATTAGTCCTTCAGAAACTGTCGGTCTTTCCTATGATTTCATCATCCTCTATCAATGTTCCTTTTATATACAAAGGTTCTGATATGGTTTAGCTATGTATCCCCACCCAAATCTCAACTTGAATTTTATCTCCCAGAATTCCATGTGTCACAGGATGGACCCAGGAGGTGGTATTTGAGTCATGGCGGCTGGTCTTTCCTGTGCTATTCTTCTGACAGATAATAAGTCTCACAAGATCTGATGAGTTTATCAGGGGTTTCCACTTTTGCTTCTTCCTCATTTTCTCTTGCTGCCACCATGTAAGAAGTGCCTTTTGCCTCCCACCATGATTCTGAGGCCTCCCCAGCCATGTGGAACTGTAAGTCCAAATGAACATTTTTTCTTCCCAATCTGGGGTATGTCTTTATCAGCAGCATGAAAATGGACTAACACAGTAAACTGGTACCAGGAGTGGGGTGTTGCTGAAAAAATACCAGAAAATGTAGAAGTGACTTTGGAACTGGGTAACAGGCAGAGTTTGGAACAGTTTGGAGGGCTCAGAAGAAGACAGGAAAATGTGGGAAAGTGTGGAACTTCCTAGAGACTTGTTGAGTGGCTTTGCCCAAAATGCTGATAGCGATATGGACAATAAGGTCCAGGTCTCTGATGGAGATAAAGAACTTGTTGGAAACTGGAGTAAAGGTGACTCTTGTTATGTTTTAGCAAAGAGACCGGCATTTTACCCCTGCCCTAGAGATCTGTGGAACTTTGAACTTGAGAGGGATGATTTAGGGTATCTAGTGGAAGATATTTCTAAGCAGCAAAGTATTCATTAGGTGACTTGGGTTCTGTTAAAGGCATTCAGTTTTATAAGGGAAGCAAAGCATACAAGTATGGAAAATGTGCAGCCTGACTATGCGACAGAAAAGAAAAACCCATTTTCTAGGGAGAAATTCAAGCTGGCTGCAGAAAACTGCATAAGTAGCAAGAAGCCTAATGTTAATAATCCCCAAGACCATGAGGAAAATGTCTCCAGGCCATGTCAGAGACCTTTGTGGCAGCCCCTCCCATCATAGGCCCAGAGGCCCAGGAGGAAAAAGCGGTTTTGTGTGCTGGGCCCAGGGTCCCCATGCTGTGTGTGGCCTAGGGACTTGGTGCCCTGTGTCCCAGATGCTCCAGCCATAGCTGAAAGGGGCCAATGTACACAGCTCAAGCTGTGGCATCAGAGGGTGGAAGCCCCAAACCTTGGCAGCTTCCATGTAGTGTTGAGCCTGTGGGTGCACAGAAGTCAAGAATTGAGATTTGGGAACCTCCGCCTAGATTTCAGAGGATGTATGGAAACCCCTGGATGCCCTGGCAAGTTTTCTGCAGGGGTGGGGCCCTCACGGAGAACCTCTGCTAGGGCAAAGCAGATGGAAAATGTGGGGTTGGAGACCCCACACAGAGTCCGTACTGGGTACTATGTAATGGAGCTGTGAGGAGAGGGCCAATGTCTTCCAGACCCCAGAATGGTAGATCCACTGACAACCTGCATCATGCACCTAGAAAAGCTGCAGCCACTCAATGCCAGCCCATGAAAGCAGCTGGAAGGGAGGCTATACTCTACAAAGCCACAGGTGCAGAGCTGCCCAAGACCATGGGAACCCACCTCTTGCATCAGCGTGACCTGGTTATGAGACCTGGATTCAAAGGAGATCATTTTGGAGCTTTAAAATTTGACTGTCCCACTGGATTTCGGACTTGCATGGGCCCTGTAACCCCTTTGTTTTGGCCAATTTCTCCCATTTGGAACAGCTGTATTTACCCAATACCTGTACTCTCATTGTATCTAGGAAGTAATCAGCTTGCTTTTTATTTTACAGGCTCATAGGCAAAAGGAGCTTGCCTTGTCTCAGATGAGACTTTGGACTGGTAGACTTTTGGGTTAATGCTGAAATGAGTTAATGAGTTTGGGGGACTGTTGGGAAGGCATGACTGGGTTTGAAATGTGAGGACATGAGATTTGGAGGGGCCAGGGGCAGAATGATGTGGTTTGGCTGTGTCCCCACCCAAATCTCAACTTGAATTGTATCTCCCAGAATTCCCATGTGTTGTGAATCATGGGGGCTGGTCTTTCCCGTGCTATTCTTGTGATAGTTAATATGTCTCAGGAGATCTGATGGGTTTATCAGGGGTTTCTGCTTTTGCTTCTTCCTCATTTTCTCTTGCTGCTGCCATGTAAGAAGTGCCTTTTGCCTCCTGCCATGATTCTGAGGCCTCCCTAGCCATGTGGAACTGTAAGTCCAATTAAACCTTTTTTTCTTTCTAGTCTCGGGTATGTCTTTATCAGCAGTGTGAAAACAGACCAATGCAGATTCCCACTGAGAGAGTGTCAACATGACAGAATAACAAAGTCAGAAAGTATATCCCATGGCCCACATATATATACATCTTGACTGGTGTGCGAAACTTCAAAATAAGACCAAAAATAGACTGGGTGAGAATGCAAAGAAAAAAAGTAAAAATAAAGTTCAAAACTAATTTTTACAAAGAGAACCTATTTTTTAACACCTTACTAATGGCCAGGCATGGTGGCTCACGCCTGTAATACCAGCACTTTGGGAGGCTGAGGTGGGCGGATCACCTGAGGTCCGGAGTTCAAGACCAGCCTGGCCAACGTGGTGAAACCCTGTCTCTACTAAAAATACAAGAATTAGCCAGGCATGGTGACAGGTGCCTGTAATCCCAGCTACTTGGGAGGCTGAGGCAGGAGAATCGCTTGAACCCAGGAGGTGGAGGTTTCAGTGAGCTGAGATCGCACCATTGCACTCCAGCCTGGATGACAAAAAAAAAAAAAAAAAAAAAAACTTTACTAACAAAGGAGGTTAGAAACACATGGGGAAGGAGGTCAATGTTTATTCAATAATTACTACTTGTCAGAAAATGTTCGGCTATTTTACAAATTTATCTTCATAAGAACCTTAAGAAGAAGTTGGTATTATTGTCTAACTACAAGGGTAATATTATTAGAAATTTATTTAACTTTCCCAAGAGTCCATCTATATAGGAGATATGATATGATAGCAATTAGATTCAAATTCAGTCTTTATGACTCCAAAGCCCATGTTAATCTCATCTGTGAGAAAAATAAACAAATAAATAAAACTATGTACATGTTGTGTGTGTGTTTGTAAGTAAGTTTGATCTAGAGAATGGCTGTATAGACCTGGTACTTTGAGGTGCTTTCTCATTCATTTTCTGATTTAATTTAGTTGATGATAATACCCTGTAATTATATGGGAAGAATAAATTCTACCTGAGTGGGCTAAATAAATACTGCCAGTACACACATACTTGATACATATATGCAATGATGGATGAAAAGTGAATATAACCTTACTTATGCCAAATATAAATCCATCAAGTATCTAATATATCCCATATATTTGTTAGTTTTTAAGAGTACAGTTTATTGGACACTTTTATTCATATAGTCATTTGCACCCAGTGATTTTAAAATTATGAAATATTTAAAACACTCATGTAGCTTCCACTCATATTCAAAAAATGCTACCATTTTACTATGTATGATTTTTTTTTTTTTTTTTTTTTTGTGAGTCGGAATCTCACTATCGCCAGGCTGGAGTGCAGTGGCATGATCTCGGCTCACTGTAACCTCTGCCTCCCAGGTTCGAGTGATTCTCCTGCCTCAGCCTCCTGAAGAGCTGGGGATTACAGGCACCCGCCGCCACACCCAGCTAATTTTTGTATTTTTAGTAGAGATGGGGTTTCACCATGATGGCTAGGCTGCTCTCAAACTCCTGACCTCAAGTGATCTGCCCGCCTCGGCCCCCCAAAGTGCTGGGATTACAAACATGAGCCACTATGCCTGGCCCATGTATGATTTTTTTAATTTTATTTTTTTAATTAACAAATAATAATCATACATATTCATGGGGTAGATAATGTTCTGATACATATAATGTACAGAAATCAAATCAAGGTAATTAACATATCCATTATCTAAATATTTATCATTTCTTTGTGTTAGGAATGTTCAGTATCTTCCTTCCAGCTATTTGAAACTATATAGTATTGTTAACTACAGTCATCCTACAGTGGTATAGAACACTAGAACTTATTTCTTCTATCTAGCTGAAATTTTGTATCCTTCAACAAATTTCTCCCTATCCCTTCCTTCCTCCTACCCTTCCCAGCCTCTATTATCTATCCTCTGTCTTACTTTTTACTTCTATGAGACCAACATTTTTTAGCTTTCACATATGAGTGAGAACATGCAGTGTTTAACTTTCTGTTCCTGGCTTATTTCACTTAATGTCCTCCAGTTCCATCCACATTGCCATAAATGACAAGATTACATTCTTTTTTATGGCTGAATTCCAGAGGAAAAAATATCCAGAAACAGGTGAAGTTCCTTTCTTATAAAACAATTAGTTATAAACACTTTTTGCTTATATTTTCAATCTTGTTGGTGATATAAAAAAGTCCACTTCTATGCATTAATTTCTTAGGCAAAATTGTACAGAATGCATAAAATCAGTAACTGTATCTATTTTCTATAAGTATTTAGCTTATGAATGAGAATCTGTGAACAGTTTCAAAATGCTGTTCTGTTGACTCAAGTAATATAAAAATATGCTTATTTATTAGAAACTGAATAAATCACAATATTTATAAAAGTGTTATTAAGAGGACAATAAAAAGAGAAATATTAAAGGAACAAAGCAATAATAGGCCAAGTTTGCTTTTTGGCAATGTCAATTTGTAACTGTCAAACAATTAGCAGTTGTTTCTGAATTAATGGCTATAGGCCCAAGTTTGCTCTCTAATAATGCAGACTTCAGCATAAATCCATACATACATACCATCCATATGTATAAGTGTATGTATTTAAATTTACTATGTAATTTCAGTATAATAAGATAGAAGGAGGAGTAGAGATTTTTAAATCTGCTTGCAACATGTTTGTAACTAGGATCTGACTTCCTTCTAGAAATGGTCTAGTTTTCTTGGAAAAAAGGGAATGGCCATAAAGAATAACCAAGATCAACTCACAACATTTTAGCTCACAGCATCTGTAGGTGAATTACCTTTCTCGTTAGTGGGTTTCTGGTTTAATTTCATGAAGAGTATACTACATTAGGTGGCAAAAATTCTGAAATATGTTAACCCAGGAAAGCAATCAAAGGCAAATTTCTTCCTCAAATTTAGTCAACTCAAGAAAATCCTCATTATATAACTGTAAATACTTTCTAACGTAAGTAAATTAAGTTATAATAAATTCAATGGGATAAAAAATTTTGTTGCTAGAAATCACTTTTATTAAATTATTATTATAGAAATCAAATTCCCATTCGAAGATCCTGACACTTGTAGAGAAGAGGTATGGCTTTTCAACTCAATATTCTATACATTGCCTAGTTAAGGATCTTGCGTTTCCCTAATCGAAGTGATAGCACACAATGCCAAATTCCCTCAAGCACAATGACAAGGAGTAAGAACTAGGTAAAAGAAAAAAGAGAGATACTTTATGGCTAGAAGGATTGTGATATGATGACATGCAAATTACCTAACACAATTCTTGTCACATAGTAGGAACTTAAAAGTGATAATATATTTTCATTTTTTAAAAGCTGTCTCCTACAGGAGGAGTAACATATTTTCTTCACCTCAGTTTTTGTACAGTGTATTATTATAGATGGTTTAGAAATTTCTGTGATTTTAATTCAGGTGATTAGGAGATATGAAATGAATTAGAATATAGCACTTATTTGATTATAGGACATTAATTTGCATCTCTAGTGCCCTCTCTTATAGTATAAATAGCACTCAATGAAATTTTGTAGAAAATACTTGTTACATACTTGAGATTTATTAAGTGACATGGCATAGAACTCAAAGCACTATATATCAAAGCTCTTCCAAAAGAAAAATTTATTATATGGATCACTTCACATCAAGTTATGAACTTAAAAACCGACAGTGGTCCAACAAGTGGAGATATTCAACCAAGATTTCCACTGTACACACTTTATGACTGTGTATTATCTTTATACATGTTAAAAACTGCTATGAAGTTAGCCGGGTGTGGTGGCACACACCTGTAGTCCCAGTTACTCGGGAGGCTGAGGCAGGAGAATCGCTGGAACCCGGGAGGTGGAGGTTGCAGTGAGCCAAGATCACGCCACTGCACTCCAGCCTGGCAAAAGAGCAAGACTCCATCTCAAAAAACAAAAACAAAAACAAAAGCACAATTGCTATGAAGTATTAGTGTACTGTTACTTCTAAAAAGAGTATTAATATATAATTACTGAAACCAAAATATGAATATTATGAAGCTATGCAAAAAAAGAATTATTAATGCATTATTAAGATTCTCTGGCTGAATTATAAAACCTATAGTTTAATTCATTTTTGTTTTGTTTTGTTTTGTTTCTTTGAGATGGAGTCTCACTCTATCGCCCAGGCTGGAGTGCAGTGGCGTGATCTTGGCTCACTGCAACCTCTGCCACCCGAGTTCAAGCAATTCTCCTGCTTCAGCCTCCCAAGTAGCTGGGATTACAGAAGCCTGCCACCATGCCCAGCTAATTTTTGTATTTTTAGTAGAGACGGGGTTTCACCATCTTGGCCAGGCTGGTCTTGAACTCCTGACCTCATGATCCACCCACCTCGGCCTCCCAAAGTGCTGGGATTACAGGCGTGAGCCAGTGTACCCGGCCTAGTTTAATTCATTGTTTAGTTCAAGAATTTGAATTAAAAATTTTAAAGAAACTTCAAACAGTCCACTTAGAAAAATATATTTTGAAATAAACTAATAAACACAATGTTATATTCCCAAATGAAGCCAAACAAAACAAGTGTAGAATAGAACAAGAAAGTAACTTGATTTCTTAAAATGAAGACTAAAGTCCATGACTTTCTATTTTAAATAAATTAAGTAAATTTAATGATTAAAACTGTAAGCACATAGATTAAAAATATTTGATTATACAGCAGGTGAATTATGTCTCAATAAAGCTGTTATTTTAAAAAACCCCAAACCTGCCATACATCTTTTCAAAAGCCCCAAATTCTGATATAACTCATTTAGTTCTCCTAATACCTATGTTTTAATTCTGTATAACTATACTATAGGATTATCCAAAAAATAAACAAAAGAATCTTTTCATGATTTGTACTTCTTCTTAATAAACTCCTTATTTTGCCAAAAAGTGTCATCAATTCATTTGGATAACTTTTATGTTTTAGGAACGTGGCCTCTCTTTTAATTACTGAGAACTTACAAAATGGTTCAGAAAGTTTATATTTTTAAAGCTTTCATTCATTGATATATTGAACATCTAAGGCTTAACTATCTTTCCACTGGGACAAAAACAGAATTCTTAAAAATGAGGAGGAGGGCCCAGTGTGGTGGCTTACACCTGGAATTCCAGTGCTTTGGGAGTCCAAGGTAGGAGAACTGCTTGAGGCCAGGGGTTTGAGACCAGCCTGGGCAACACAGCAAGACAACTCTACAAAAAATTAAAAAAACAATCCAGGGCCGAGCATAGTGGTTCACACCTGTAATCCCAGCACTTTAGGAGGCCAAGCCTCGAGGATCACCTGAGCCCAGGAGTTCGTTCGAGACCATCCCTGGAGAAGCAGCATAGTAAGACCCTGTCTCTACAAAAAACACAAAAATCAGCCAGGTCCATCACCTGAGGTCAGGAGTTTGAGATCAGCCTGGCCAACACAATGAAACCCCGTCTCTACTAAAAATACAAAAATTTGCTGGGCATGGTGGCGTGCACCTGCAATCCCAGCTACTCGGGAGGCTGAGGCAGGAGAACTGCTTGAACCTGGGAGGTGGAGGTTGCAGTGAGCTGAGATCACACTGCTGCACTCCAGCCTGGGCGACAGAGTGAGACTCTGTTTAAAAAAAAAAAAAAATTACCCAGGTCCATGTGGTGGCATATGCCTGTGGTTCCCAGCTACTCAGGAGACTGAAATGGGAGGATCACTTGAGCCCAGGGGGTTTAGGCTGCAGTGAGTCAAGGTCACACCAGTGCATTCAGCCTGGGTGACAGACCCTGTCTCTTAAAAAAAAAAAAAAAAAAAAAAATTAGCCCAGTGTGGTAGTGTGCACTTATTTCCCAGATGAGGTGGGAGGATCACTTGAGCCCAGTAGTTGAAGGTTGCAGTGAGCTATGATCGCACCTCGCACTCCAGCCTAGATGACAGAGCTAGAACATGTCTCTTAAAAAAAAAAATGGGATAACAAAATTGGTGACTCTGAACTCCACCTCCCAGATTCTGACACTTGGCCCCATGAAGAGGGGAGAAATTGTGTCTAAATAAGCCCCTTTCCCCGACACCTTGACCCTGGGATTAGAGGACTAAAATATATTATTGATGGGAGTGCATAAAAGTATGAATTGTGTAGAAGCAGATAAAGGCTTGATAGACGCTCTTTTACCCAATATTCTGGATTGTGGATTAGCAGCATCATATTTACTTATTCCCTTAGTAACAGGAAGAGGAAAAAAATCTAAATTGGTGAATCTGAGAAACACATTTTAAAAAATTAAACAACAAAAAAATGTCCATGAACACTCATATGCCCAGTCTTTAAATTTTAAAATTTAAATTAATTTAAAACTTGTCAAACACAAACCTTTATGGCAGAACTAGAAGTCTGTTCCCACCAGGCCCTCATACCTGAGAGCAGCCAATCCGGCTCCTTCAAAACTCTGAAGAATTAACTATATCAAGAGTCAATATTTTTACACATTTCATATTTTTTCTTTTTTCTTTTTGAGACGGAGTTTCACTCTTGTTGACCAGGCTGGAGTGCAATGGCACGATCTTGGTTCACTGCAGCCTCCGCCTCTCGGGTTCAAGCAATTCTCCTGCCTCAGCCTCCAGAGTAGCTGGGATTACAGGCGCCCGCCACCACGCCCGGCTGATTTTTTATATTTTTAGTAGAGACGCAGTTTCACCATGTTGATCAGGCTGGTCTTGAACTCCTGACCTCAGGTGATCTGCCGGCCTGGGCCTCTCAAAGTGCTGGTGTGAGCCACCATGCCTGGCCCATATTTTTTCAAAAATGCTAAAGATTTTTTAAAAACCCATACAAGTCTAAATTAATATGCCTTTCCCTAGACATCTATCTAGCCTTCTGGCTAGAAAAACATTGAGTAACTTGGTAATATACTCCAAGTAACTCTGACAGTTATATCACCAAGAATATTAGTATGTCAAATAAAAATATAATTCTAATGATATATACTGATTTCCTTAAAATAATTATTCTGTGATTTAAACTCTCTTGTTTATAATGGTAAGGTATGAAGTGCTCTTTCTAAGCTATTAGAATCCTAGAATAATCTACATTGGTTGCTAAATTTATATTTTGAAAAAGATTTTAAATGACTTGTTAATGATCATATAAACTTTCTGTGTGTGACTATAACAAAACTAGAAAGTTTACCTTCTTACTCTCTTTGCCATCTTTACAATGTCAATAATTTCAAGATAATAAGAATGCATTACTTCAAAATACTTCTTTTAATTAGATTTCTTATTTTCATGATTTTTCAACTCACAGCTTTCAATGTAATTTATCTTGAGAGATTTTTCTTAAATATACTGTGGTGGGGAGAAGGTTAATATTTCATTAGGGACCCAAATTCAAGAACTTTTAATATATTTTTATATATATAAGAATTTCTAAAATTCAATTTGGTATTATCTAAAAGGAAGAACTGTTCTTTTTCTAAACCTAACAATTTTTTCAGCTTTTAAAAGGAACTGGATCTACCGTCAACAGATGTTAAAAAGCACAGAAGAAACAGACTTTTAGTTCTATATAGATTCAACGTATCTTTAAAAAACAATCTCAAAAGATACAAAAGAAATCAGTTAGTCAATTTCTACTTGTGGATTTAAAGTGAAGTATCTCATAAAAAATATTTTATCTTTGTCATATTTTATTATTGGATGCAATTTTAAAACCAGATTTAAAACTTAAAATTCCAGAAAAATATCATCAGAGCCATTTTAGAACCCAGTGGATATAAAGCAAACCAGGTCATCTTATCAATTTGATTACTAAAAAGTTCACTAATTCACAATTAAATCCACAGAAACTGTTAGAAAGTGTCTGGCAACACATGAACAGTGAACAGGGCTGATCAGTTTCTTTGCCATATTTAAAGTTTTCCTGCCTTCAACCAGGAAGGCTTCAGCAATGCACTATGCAGCCTGAGAAAGATTGGTACATAAGGTTAATGGTACATAGGTTAATGCATATGAGAAATATATCTGAAGTTATACTATAGTACCAATATCCTCATTTAAACCACAACCTTACACTTTACTGTTCTCATTTTGAAACTAAAATAATTTACTGAAAACAATGCTCTGATAAACTTTAAATATCATTTTTAAAGATGAGAGGTGTCATATTAGGCAAGAAACCTCTAATTAGGACAGATAAAACTTCAAAATATATATATATATATATATATATATATATATATATATATATATATATATATATATATATGTTTCCTTTTTTTAAAACAAACACACTTAGCAGTCTATAAATCCAATATTAGGTGGGTAAACTAACATTACAGGAAGGACTGATACTAATTTGTCACTGATAACACTTTTTTCTATTAGCTTGTCTATCTTTTATTTTTATGTAAAATAAAAATTTGAGCCAATTGTATATCATTAAGTGTATGATTTGAGAGCTGAGTAAAAATAAGTCTAATAAATTTCAAACATTACTTTCTATACCTTTTCATCAATATAAGAAAATGTCTTTATATAAATATTATATTGACGTCCTCCATTACTTTCAATAAATTGAAAACTACGAAGTCACATATATTTTTAAATATAATAAAAAGGTTTCAGTAACATGCTATGAATATAAAAGACACTTGAGTGCTTCAGTCATTTTTCAGATCATATAAAATATTTTCCCTTGGTGCAAGTCTTTAAAATTAATTATTAAACAGAAACTCAAATATAATTTTCTATTCACAGCTTGGTATTTAACCTTTTTAAGCACAGTCAACCAAACAACTTTAAGCTGGTTCCCATATTTGAAGACAAGGTCCATTTTAGGAAATGGCATTTATAGATGAGACAATGTAAAATTTTAAGAAATAAGAATTACATTAAGAAAATAATATTGAAAAAGTTTAAGGTTAAAAGTACATATTTTAATGCCTCTTTTTAAAACCCTCAAATCACACTCTTTTTAGTATGAATTTTGCCAGCACTGTTCATGTTGGCCAGATTTATATTGGCCCTAGTTTTCTTTAATAAAGTAAAATGAAATGCATACCAGCAGCAACAACAGCTGGAGGAGGCGAGCCTGCCTCACCACCGCTTGTCTGACTCATTGATGCTACAGATGTTTCTCTAGATGGAGGTAACTGTAACTCCTTTGGGAGAAGATCATAGACAGATTCTGTGGGGAGGGGAAAGAGAGGAGAAAACAATTTTTAAAAGAGATTCAGTCAACAATCTAATATGCACAAAATGAGTATGTCTTTTCTCTCATGAGGAGAACTGTATTATTCACAAACAATCCCACAAAATTAATGTAAAGAGCTATTAGCAGCTGAGCACAGTGGCTCACACCTGTAATCCATGACTTTGGGAAGCCAAGGTGAGAGGATTGCTTGAGGCCAGGAATTAAAGACGAGTTTGGGCAACACAGTGACCCCCATCTCTACAAAAGGTTTTTTTTTTTTTTTTAATCAGCCAGGCGTGGTGATGCACACCTACAGTCCCAACTATTTGGGAGGCTCAGGTGGGTAAACTGCTTGAGGTCAAGGCTACAGTGAGCCATGATCATGCCACTGCACTCCAGCCTGGGTGAGACCCTGTTTCAAAAAAAAAAAAAAAATTTTTTTATTTTTTATTTTATTATATAATCTTATTGAACTGAAAAATGAATTTCCCATTAGTTCTGTCCCTGTTTTCTTCTTGGCTTTATTCCTTATGTTCAAGATAGTCTCTAGAAAAAGTTATTAACATTGAAAATTGGATAAAACTAGACAGAATGGAAGAAATGCCAAATAACCCAAGATGGTCCAGTATCTTCCTTTGCAATAGTATAAGTAAAACTTACCCTTTACATATGAAATGGCATATACTACTGTGGATCAGCTTTAAATTGGCTTCTCCAGTCAATTAGTATAGTCCTGCTCTTTTACCCAACACCCTTGAGAAAATATTTTAATTCAACACTATCATAATTCATTTTTCCCAATTATTAAAATAAATCAATCTAATCAAAGAAAAACTTTGTGGATTGAAGCTTAAAAAAAAAAAAGGAATGTTATGGCTCAAGCAAATACTTCTTACTCTCTGAGGCATCTCCAACCCTGGAAAGGCAAAGGTAAAGGAAACTCTTAAATCAGACTGCATAATGCATAAATACCTATATTAGATTACGATTACTTTTGTATTCCAAATTAAAGAACCCTGTATCTTTTAAAAATATTTTGTAATACTATAATTGCCCATAAAATTATATATATTAAAATATATTTTAACTTTTTAAAATATCCTTTATTGTATAGGTTTTTAACAGAAATAATTCCCAAAATATCCTCTAAAGGTAGTAGAATCCATGTTAGAAGGAACTTCAAAAAACCAATTAGAGCTAGGCACAATGGTCATGCCTGTAAATTCCAGCACTCCGGGAGACTGAAGGGGGTGGATCACCTGAAGTCAGGAGTTCGAGACCAGCCTGGCCAACATAGTGAAACCCCATCTCTACTAAAAAATACAAAAAATTAGCTGGGCATGGTGACGGGCACCTGTAATCCCAGCTACTCAGAAGGCTGAAGCAGGAGAATCACTTGAACCCAGGAGATGGAGGCTGCAGTGAGCCAAGATCGCGCCATTGCACTCCAGCCTGGGCAACAAGAGCGAAACTCCTTCTTTTTTTTTTTTTTTAAAAAAAAGAACAATTAGAGGCATATCGCGTATACTTATTTTCAAAATAACTGAGGCATGAAATTTAAGGGACTTGCCTAGTATGCCAAGAAATCCAAAATTCCAAAAATTGAAGAAGATTATTAATTATCTGCCTGAGTACTTTAAAATACAAAGGTAGCACCATAAGACATTTTATCCATGGTAAGAGACAATATTTCTAGTTAACTGCTTACTGGATTCATAAATACTTTGAGCTTCCTAGTTAATCACTAAAGTATATATCCTAACTTTGATGTGGATAGGGATAAGGAGGAAGGTCATGAAAGAAAGCTAAAATTAGAAGTTGTACTCTTAAACGATCTTCATTCACAGTAAAGAATAAACTTAAAAGTTTCTTTTGAAAAATGCTGTTACCTGGGCCAGGCGCGGTGGCTCACACCTGTAATCCCAACACTGGGAGGCCGAGGCGGGAGGATCACTTGAGGTCAGGAGTTCGAGACCAGCCTGGCCAAAATGGTGAAACCCTGTCTCTACTAAAAATACAAAAAGTTAGCCAGGCGTGGTGGTGGTCACCTGTAATCCCAGCTACTCGGGAGGCCGAGGCAGGAGAATCACTTCAGCCTAGGAGGCGGAGGTTGCAGTGAGCCGAGATCACGCCATTGCACTCCAGCCTGGGCAATAATAGTGAAACTCCATCTCAAAAACAAAAAAAGAATGAAAGAAATAAAAGAAAGAAGGAAAAATGTTGTTACCTAATGCTTGAAATGTTCATCTTCAAATCATGTGGCAAATTCAGCATCTGTCAGAATATAATATGCCCTGACTAAAAATTTTCAGTTTGTTAAAATGTTGTTAAAAGCCTTAAGTAGACGGCCGGTCACGGTGGTTCATGCCTGTAATCCCAGCACTTTGGGAAGCCGAGGCGGGTGGATCACCTGAGGTCAAGAGTTCGAGACTAGCCTGGCCAACATGGTGAGACCCTGTTTTTTTCCATCACATAAATCATAAATGCATTTCGGTAGATCTTCTTCTCTTTTTATTGAATCTGTTTCTTTTTTTTTTTTTTTTCAAATTTCCTTTTTGTTTGGGCAAAAAAAAGAAAAAAAAAGACTTGAGGCCAGGTGTGGTGGCTCATGCCTGTAATCCCAGCACCTTGGGAGGCCGAGGCAGGCAGATTACCTGAGGTAGGGAGTTCGAGACCAGCCTGACCAACATGGAGAAACCCTGTCTCTACTAAAAATACAAAATTAGCCGGACATGGTGGTGCATGCCTGTAATCACAGCTACTTGGGAGGCTGAGGCAGGAGAACCGCTTAAACCTGGGAGGCGGAGGCTGCAGTGAGCCAAGATCACACCATTGCACTCCAGCCTGGGCAATAAGAGTGAAACTCCATCTCAAAAAAAAATAACAATAATAATAATAATAATTAGCTGGGTGTGGTGACACACACCTGTAATCCCAGCTACTTGGAAGGCTGAGGCAGGAAAACTGCTTGAACCCAGGAGACGGAGGTTGCAGTGAGTCGAGATCGTGCCACTGCACTTCAGCCTGGCCAACAAAGCAAGACTGTTAAAAAAAAAAAAAAAGCCTTTAGCAAATTACTTCCATCTTTCAAACAATATGGAGGGAGTAGAGATAGGGAGAACCTAATTAAAACAGAAATGCCATTATCACCAAATATTCATTGTAATACAATTATCTTTCTCATTCCAGGTTGAAAATAAGAGTTCCTTAGACATAAGAGAGAAACACACTCAAGTCCATTTTTTTTCTTTGAGATGTAGTTTCTCTCTTGTTGCCCAGGCTGGAGTGCAATGGTGCAATCTTGGCTCACCACAACCTCCGCCTCACAGGTCCAAGTGATTCTCCTGCCTCAGCCTCCCAAGTTGCTGAGATTATAGGCATACACCACTATGCCTGGCTAATTTTGTATTCTTAATAGAGACGGGGTTTCTCCATGTTGGTCAGGCTGGTCTTGAACTCCCAGCCTCAGGTGATCCACCCACCTCGGCCTCCCAAAGTGCTGGGATTACAGGCGTGAGCCACCACACCCAGCCTCGAGTCTATTTTTTTCTTTTTTTTTTTTTTCCCAAACAAAAAGGAAATTTGAAAGAAACAGATTCGATAAAAAGAGAAAAAGATCTACCCAAATGCATTTATGATTTATGTGATGGAAAAAAATTTATCCTAGTAATAGCCCAATCACTAATAGCATGTTACTAATCAGGATTTTATCTCCATTTCTCCAATTATTAAAATAAATTAATCAAATCAAAGCAAAACTTTGTGGACTGAAACACTCTAACTTTCCCAAAGAAGGGTATAAAGTTGAGGTATCATACCTCTCCACTAGAGGTATGATAGTAATGTTACTAAAAAGTACATGGAAAGAAATTAAATGCAGAACTTGTTATATTCCACCCCTCTCCAAAGTCTGCCCCTCAAAACAAACAAGTAAAATGCAAGGTCAAGTGGAAGGTATAGGAAGCATGGATTCCTTCACCAAAGATGTTTTCTGATTAACTGACTCAAGTGTTTGGAAATAAAAGAAGTCAGCCTGCCAGAAGTTTATCATGCCTATCCAAGGGAAGCTACAGTTCATATAGTCATTACCAGCACAGGATTTTATTTCAGACATAACTGGTTTGGTTCTGCTACTTTAAATAACTTCTCTAAGACTTAAATCATCATTTAAACTCTTCTTTTACCCCAGTACCCCAAAGATATTCCCTCTAAACTATAACCATACAATCTGAACACAGCCACTGGCCTTTCTCCTAAATCTGCTTCCCATGGGATACCGAAAGATTAAAGGAATATAAATTATGCTATTAATACTGCTATTCAACCCTAAATTCAATCTAAATTAAATGCTTTTACAGTCTCCACTAGCCAATGAAAGAAATCCTGAATAAGAGCATATGCACTTTATTTATTTTATTTTATTTTATTTTATTTGAGTCAGGGTCTCACTGTGTCATCCAGGTTGGAGTATACAGACACAATCAAAGTTCACTGCAGCCTCCAACTCCTGAGCTCAAGAGATCCTCCTGCTGCAGCCTCCCGAGTGGCTGGGACCACAAATGTACACTGGCTAATTTTTTTAAAAAAACTTTTTGTAGAGACAGAGTCTCCCTCTGTTGCCCAGGCTGGTCTCAGACTCTTGGACTCAAGTGATCCTCCTGTCTCAGCCTCCCAAAGTGCCTGGATTACAGACATGAGCTGCACCTGGCCCATATGTACTTTAAATCTATGAAAATGACAGTCCTAAATAAGTGCCGGCTACTTCATGTTATGCCACAGTATCTATTTTTCTTATGTTATCTTTTAAATCAGTTCAGAAATATAAGAGAATAATGAAATTCCAGGTTTATAAACACAAGATACGAAGAAACAGAATGGGAAATCCCTAATGGAAAGGCAGCTTCTGAGGAAAGACTTCCTTAGAAAACAAAAGCAAAATCACTTAGATGAGAGAGAAAAGAGAGTGAGAGAAAGTGAGAGAGAAGGGATATGGGTATTAGATAAGGTTTCTTTTTGGAGTGATAAAAATGGCAATGGTTACACAACTCTGTATTTACATTAATAACCACTGAATTGTACCCTCTAAATGGGTAACCTTTATAGTATGTAAATTATATATCAATAAAGCTGTTTTTTTTTTTTTAAAGGAAGAGAGTAATAGAAGAAGCACAAGAAAGAATTAGACAAGAACAAGCAGGGTATCTAACAGTGCTCTAATAAACTTCATGGACAAAACCATCTCTCTTCACATAGCTTCTATATATAAAGAAGGCCAAGCTGCAAACTAATTTGTCTTTTAAGGCTCTTCTACTAGAGGATCAGGAAAATGCTGCAGGCAGTTATCCTAAATTCAGTAAAATATGTGATAAAAATCTTTATAAGTTATTGTAAACAAGAAGAAGAAATATAGACTTAATAAAATAGATGACTTCTAAACAACAGTACCCAAAAAATGTATAGGTTCAATCTGGAAGAAGGTGGTTATATCACAACTTGAACAAAGATATGACTTTTCAAATGACATAGGCTTAAAAGGGATTAAATCTTATGTCATAATTCATCACAGATCATGAAAGACTGGAATATCTGCCCAAAGGAAGGAGATGAAACTTAACAAGGATTAATGTAAGAGCTGGTAAAATCTGCTCTTGTGCAATAAACTTACATGTACTCACTCTATTTCTCTCTCTCTCTCTTTTTTAATCTAGAAGTGATTTTACTTTTGTGTTCTAAGGAACTCTTTCTTCAGTCGGCCAAGACTAGGGTGATTATTTTCTTTTTATTTATTTTTTCTCAGACATGCTCAGTTACCTTTTCAATTTTTTTGTAGAGACGCGGTCTTGCTATGTTGGCCAGGCTGGTCCTGAACTCCTGGGCTCAAGCAAGCCTCCTGCCTTGGCCTTCCAAAGTGCTAGAATTACAGGCGTGAGCCACCATGCCTGACCTGATTATTTTCTGATATATTTTTTCTATTAATGCTGCTAATAATTTGTGCGATAATGTGTAATCAACTCACCTAAATTTCATTAAAAATTTTAGTTGACCAAAATGCCACGGTAAGTGCACTGCTTAAGTATCCATGTAGTAGAATTAGGGCAAGTGCGATATAATAACTCCATTAACATAAATTATTAATATGTGTATAAGAAAAGTAGATAGGCAGAAAGGGAAGCAAGTTCAGAAGATCAAGAATCTGTCCCATGCTGGTGCATTCTCATAGAGCCCAGGGCAACTGGAAAAAGGAAATAGAAGAATGAAATCAACATTTTCAGATATTGAAAATAAATTAATGCTTCCCAATGTTGGGTGGAAAGGAAAACAATGTAAAAATGCACTGACTGGTTGGCTTGTTTAGTCATTCTGTAAACTATAATAGATCCATTTATGTCACTGATTATTTCTGGGTTAATTCAATCCTTTATTATTCAACACTGTCTACAAGAGGGTGGAAGAATTTCACTACAGTGGGTCAAATTTAAAGTAGGCAGAAATCCTATTCTGAGGCACAGGACAGTGAGAGAGAAGAAAAAAATTGGTAATTTAATAGGGCAACTTAATTTTTTATTTGTTTGTTTCTTCTCAGTTGGGCACTCTATGTCCAAAGAGCTGATCACCCAAATCCCCTTCTCTACTGCTTTACTGTTACTGGTCATTCCAGGAAGAGATGAAAAGACCTCAAGAGTGCAGGGAGATAAGCCACAGGAAACAGCTGGGAAAAGACATGCTTTTCATGCTGTACTCACTCAGCAAAATAACAACATTAATAACATAATTACAGCTACTATTTTTTGAGCACTTTGCAGGGCCAGGCTCAGTATATGTATTTTTCTCATTTAACCTCAAAACAATCAATCCTATGAGGTAGGTTTTATCAATAAAGAATGTGATATCTGTATTATAGTAAAAAAAGAAAAACACATGTGATAAGAGAAAGATGATAAAGTTTAGGACAGCGGCTTCCTTTGATGGGAGACAGGAGGAGTAGAAATAAGCTGAGCTACACAATGGGTTCACAGGTGTTCTTTTTACTGAAGTATATAATCAAATAAAATATATACAACAAAATTAGGGCTATACACGGATAGAGCACAGCCTCACAGAGATGCTACAAGGCTTAAATAAGTTGATCTCTTGAAAAGAAGTCTAAGTTCTTATTCTTTCTTAGAATTTTCATCCCTACCTCCCTACCTCACCCTTGTTGACCTAAGAGCTGGCATTTGGTGTTCAACTGCTTTCGGGTCAGAGAGTAAAAATCAAAATAGTCAGAGAGAGCCCATCTACTTTATGACTTTTCTCAAGACTGTCTTATTTACTTTCAAATAGTAAAATAAAGTTGTACAACTAATACTATGGACTTGCATCTATACAGAGGTGGATAATAAAAACGGGGAAAAAAGCTCCGTAAATAAGATGTTTCTGTTTCGTTGTCAAGTAAGCAGCTAAAGAGAAATAAATATCTGTGGTAAAAAAGAATGTTCCTTTGTGTTGGGAATGCTTTAAAAATCTAACAAGAAGTAAACTAATGCTCACAACAGATATTAGTTACTCAAACAATGAATGCTCTCTGATATGAAATGCAAACATTATAATCCTGAAAAATCCATTTCTAAACATTTTAATCTTTTTTTAAATATTAGATTTTACTTTAAAAAAAACCTCTAAATGTGAAGCTACTCTTGGAATCTGAAAGAGTTAGAAAAAACCTTCAGAAAATGGTTTGGGAATGAAATGCCTTACTCTTCCACCTCTCCATTAACTATCTCAATCAGCTGGTAAATTCCAAGGTTATAATTTCACATTAAATATTCTAAAACAAAATGCCTGGCATCTACAATGTGCCAACATCGTTCTGCATTGAAGAGAGACAGCATTCATTTTGTTAAAAACACTTCAAGCTTGACAGTCATCATACTTGGCATCTCTACTGGAAAAAATGTACTGGCTGCAGGTCCACTGGATATTCAGTTTCTAAAAGAGTATGCAGTCCAAGAATAACTGGTAGGTAATGCTCTGTCTTAACAAATTTTTCTCAATTTCTAAGTTTAAGCCAATTTACTAGTCTGCTGCCACATATTTACTTATTCATAGCACTTCTGCCAGGCTGTATTTAATTACTGTTTTCCTAAAACAATCTAGTGTTTTAAAGTAATTTTAAATAATATACAGCAGTATAAATTATATCAATTTGGGGAAGAAGAAAACTAACTTGAGTTCTACAGAGTTTTTTTTTTTTTTTTTGAGATGGAGTTTCGCTGTTGTTGCCCAGGCTGGAGTGCAATGGCACGATCTCAGCTCACCGCAACCTCCACCTCCCCGGTCCAAGCAATTCTCTTGCCTCAGCCTCCCAAATAGCTGGGATTACAGGCATTCGCCACCACGCCCAGCTAATTTTGTATTTTTAGTAGAGACAGGTTTTCTCCATGTGTTGGTCAGGGTGGTCTCGAACTCCCGACCTCAGGTGATCCGCCCACCTTGGCCTCCCAAAGTGCTGGGATTATAGGCATGAGCCACCGTGCCCGGCCTTCCACAGACAATTTAATATAGTATAACATATCTTTTTTCTACTAGGTATTATTTTTCACTCAAAAACTTTAAAATTATGTTCAGCCAGGCAAAGTGGCTCATGCCTGTAATCCAGGCATTTGGGAGGCCAAGTTGGGAGGATCACTTTAGCCCAGGAGTTTTGAGACCAGCCTAGGCAACACAGCAAGACCCTGTCTTTACAAAAAAATACAAAAATTAGCCAGGTGAGGTGGTGCAAGCCTGTAGTTCCAGCTACTCGGGAGGCTGAGGTAGGAGGACTGCTTGAGCCCAGGAGGTCAAGGCTGCAGTGAGCCATGATTGTGCCACTGCGTTCCAGCCTGGGTGACAGAGCAAGGCCCTGTCTCAAAAAAAAAAAAAGAAAAGAAAATTGTTCTCTAAATAACCTCTTAGCATGAAAGACAGAATGGAATATACCAGTCACCTAACTATTCTGATTATATTTTAAATTTCTTTGTTATTTTCTGAAGAAATTTCTTGAGTCTATCCTAGAAGGAACAAAACTCTCTAGTTATCAAGAATCCATACACCACTGAGTAAAACATTTATGGTTTATTTATAATTTTTAGATATCTTACAAGAGTACCTTTTCAATAGAGCTTTAAGAACTTTGAGGCTGGGCACGGTGGCTCACGCCTGTAATCCCAGCACTTTGGGAGGCCGAGGCGGGCGGATCACAAGGTCAGGAGATCGAGACCATCCTGGCTAACACGGTGAAACTCCATCTCTACTAAAAATAGAAAAATTAGCCGGGCGTGATGGTGGGCGCCTGTTGTCCCAGCTACTCGGGAGGCTGAGGCAGGAGAATGGCGTGAACCCGGGAGGCGGAGCTTGCAGTGAGCCGAGATCGCGCCACTTACTCCAGCCTGGGTGACAGAGCCAGACTCCATCTCAAAGAAAAAAAAAAAAAAAAAAGAACTTTGGACTCAGATGGAGTCCAAGAGGAATAAGAGGGCTCAAAGGAGGGTATCAGAAGCCTAGAGGGGAGGGGGAAGGATACCTATAGAGAATAGGGGGAGGCCTGGGAAGGGATTTCAGAGCTTAAGCAGGGTGAGGAGGACATAAATGAGTGGATGAGAGGGGCAAGAGATATTCTAGATGCAGAGTCTGAGCAACATGAAGAAAGTATCTATATAGGACAGCCTAGTGTGTGGTGTCAGAGCCTAAGCAGGGTGAAGAATATATGAATATCTGTGCAGGGGAGGATGGCTCAGGTTGGGATGTTAGTGCCCAAGAGGTGGGATGAGGACAGCATCCACGCAAGAAAGAAGGCTGATGCACAGGGGGTCTGCCTAGGGTGGGAGGTGGGAACCCAAACAGAACGCAAATCTCCATATGGATGGACAGCCTAGCCCAAGGAGTAAAAGCATGAATAGAATGAGAAGGATCTCTGTGGAGTGAGCAGGGAGAGCCCAGGATAAAATGCCAGAGCCAGAGAAGGGTGAGGAGGGTATCCATGCAAGGGGCAACCAACAGAGGGTATCATAACCTAAGTAGTAATGAGGATGTCCACATAGAAGGATTGCCTAAGGTTGGTTATCAGAGGTTACCCGGCAGGTATAAATAGTGTGTTCACTGGGCAAGAGAGGGGGAGCCCAGCACGGGGAGTTACAATCCAAGCAGGGTGAGGAGGGCATGTGAGGCCTTGGAGCCTGAGCTGAATAAGGAGGGCATCTGTGTAGAAGGGTTGCCTACGGTGGGAAAGTAGAAGACTGACTAAAGAGGGCATTTCCGTAGATAGGCAGCCTGGCATGGGGTGTTGGAGTTCAAATGGGGTAGGGAAGACATCTATCGGGGTTGAGGGAGCAGAAGCAAAGGGCAGTTTTAGGTAGGATTCAAAATCCTAGCAGGATGAGCAAGATAGGAGGCTATCTACCTAGTAGGGCTGCCCAAAGTGGGGAGTAAGAAACCAAGTAGACTGGAGGGTATTCACAGGAGAGCAGGAGGACAGCCCCAGGTGTCAAGAGCATCCATGTAGGAGGCAAGCTATGAGAGGCCAAGTTGGGTAATTAGGGTATTAATGTGTCAGAAAGCAGGAGGCAGTAGCAATGGGAGATTGGTTACAACAGGAGATTGATCAAATAAGTAAACATAGTAAGATGAAAGGAAATCAAGTTTCTCAATAAGATGAAAGGAAATCAAGTTTGTCAAACAGTGAGTTACAAACAGAGAGAGAAAAGAAGAAGGAACCCTACGGTATTGCATTGCAACGGGAGGTACTGATGTGAACTCATCAGTCAATATGTACAGATAGAAAAATATAGGTATAAATGTGTATATATACCTGTGTGTGTGTGTACAGACATATAAATATACATATATTCCCTAGCTTCTGTCCTCTGAAAGGTCCTAGGAGAAGCAGCACCCCAAAAGTAACCAGGGCTTTTCAGAGAAATAGTATCAGGGCTGGGACAGGCAAAATACAAGATGAACCTGGAATGTCTTGTTTTGCTAAAGGTAAGAAAGTACTCAAAGAATTACGGGGGCATATCAAAAGGACACAAAAGACAGCATGGGTTGGGTGCGGTGGCTCATGCCTGTAATTCCAGCACTTTGGAAGGCCAAGGCAGGCAGATCACCTGAGGTCACAAGTTCGAGAGCAGCCTGGCCAACATGGCAAAACGTCGTCTCTAGTAAAATACAAAAATTAGCCAGGCATGGTGGCACGTGCCTGTAATCCCAGCTACTTGGGAGGCTGAGGCAGAAGAATCTCTTGAACCCAGGAGGAGGAGGTTGCAGTGAGCCGAGGTCGCGCCACTGCACTCCAGCCTGAGCAACAGTGAGACTCCATCTCAAAAAAAAAAAAAAAAATTTAGCTGGGAGTGGTGGTGGGTGCCTATAGCCCTAGCTGCTCAGGAGGCTGAGGCACAAGAATTGCTTGAACCCAGGAGGAGGAGGCTGCAGTGAGCCAAGATCGTACCACTGTACTCCAGCCTGGGTAACAGAGCAAGATTCTGTCTCAAAAAAAAAAAAAAAAGGAAAAAGAAAACCATAAAAGTCCAGGAAACACCAAGGAATGATTTCAGATTCAAAGAAACTAAAGAGATATGACAACTAAATGGACATATAATTCTAAACTGGATCCTTTTGCTATACAGGAAATTACTGGGACAATTTGCAAAACCCAAATAGGATCTAAGGACAAGGTGAAAAAAATGTATTGATGTTAATTTTTATTTTGATAGCTATATTGTGGTTACATAAGGGAATATTCTTATTTGTTGGAAATACCAAAGTATTGGGAGGCAATGAGGAAACATGTCAGCAACTTATTCTCAAATGATTCAGAAAAAAAGCAATAAATTATTTGCACTATATTCACAACTCTTTTGTAGGTTCAAGATTGTTCCAAAAAGTGCATTCAGGCATACATTTCATTAGGAATTTATTAATTACTACGGATTCAAAAAATTCAGCTATGTAACTGTAGCTTCATATTATAAGATCTCAATTTGCAAAGAAATGAATCTATCAGAGTAAACAAACTTATTTCATGTCTTCATTTTTAGGTATCTGGCAATCAAAAACCAATCTAGGGCCGAGCGTGGTGGCTCGTGCCTGTAATCGCAGCATTTTGGGAGGCAGAGCTGAAGGACTGCTTGATCCCAGGATGTCAAGGCTGTAGTGAGCTGTGATTGTGCCACTACATCCTAGGCTAGGTGACAGAGCAAGACCTTGTCTCAAAAGAAAAAAAAAAAAGAGAGAAAGAGAAGAAAAGAAAGAAAAGAGAGAAAAGACCAATCTACCTTGTTCTCCCTCTCACTTTTGCTACACTTTCTGTTTAAAATCAAACAAAACCAAATATTTTAGTTGAAAAAGGCAACAGAATCTTGGTTACAACACATACCATGAGTCTTCTCTTGGTCATATAATTACTTGTTTGACATCTTATTTGCCACAGTCACAGGGGCTAAGTATTTTTGTCTATGCCAGCTCCTCTTCACTATCACCTTCAACCTGACAAAGCAGTAATTAAACATTCATTCAACATTTATTTAGCACCTGCACTGATCTAGGGACACAATACAAAAGAAAGTCACCCTTATTAAGCAGTTCACAGTCTAGAGATAATAAAATGAGTCAAGTTTAAAATAATGCAGTATGTGCTTTAATAAAGTATGAAGTGTTACACAACTGGAGAAGAGGGAACCTTTAATGTTATCTGTGGAGGATCTGAGAAGGCAGCACAGAGGATGTAACACCAGAAGTCAACCTTGAATATTGAAATGGCTATTTAGCAGACAGACTGGGGAAAAGGAAGGAGAAACTATAAAAGCAAACCTGAACAAAAAGAGTATTTTCATCTCAGGTTATTAGGTAACTCAGTTACTCAGAACACGGAAGTTACAAGCAGTAACATGAGATGAAACTACTAAAGGCAGGGTGAGGCCAGATTATGACAGGGCTTGTGTATCATGCTAAGCAGTAAGGGTTTTATCCCTCAGCACACAGGGAGCCTTTGAGGGTTTTAAGCAAAGAAATGATAAACTCAAACATATATTTGAGGAAGATCATCCTACCAGGAATACAGAGAATAGATTAGGTCCTAGAGATGGCGATGAGTAAGAAGGTTTTTACAATAATAGCCTAAGCAAGAAATAATGAAATCCTGAACCAAGGCAGTGGCAGTGAAATAGTCAATAGGCTACGAATTTAAAGCTGTTTAAATGGATGAACTAAATTGGATCACTGGCTACGGTGGGGAAGGGAGAGGGAAAAAAAGGAGAGTTCCAAGTAGCACATAGAACTCTGGCTTGGGAAAATTGATAAAAAGTGGTGCCATTTCCTGTGATAGAGAATATAGGAGTTAAGAATAAACCTGGAAAGAGAATTCAGTTTTAAATGATGAATTTGGATGCCTATGGGACTTCCAAGTGAATACATAAACAGGAGAGAGGTCTAGCAATTGATGTTACTAAACAAATAGCCTGCTTTACTTTTGTTTTTTATATCAAATCTGTCCTAGAACTACAGTTTTGCCTTTTTTTTTTTTGAGACAGGATTTCGCCCTGTCACCCAGTGACACGATCACAGCTCACTGCAGCCTCAAGCTCCCGGGCCTAAACTGATCCTCCTACCTCAGCCTCCCGAGTAGCTGGGACCACAGGTGTGTGCCACTATGCCTAGCTAGGTTTTTGGTGTGTGTGTGTGTGTGTCTCTGTGTATGTGCTTTATAGAGACAGGGTCTCCTTTTGTTGTCCAGTCTGGTCTCCAATTCTTGGGCTCAAGTGGTCCTCCTGCCTCAATCTCCCAAAGTGCTGGGATTATAGGCATGAACCACTGCACCTGGCCTAGATTAATTTATTTAGAGTTATTGCTTGCTTTTAAAAATACACGTAAGAAATAAAAATTCAACTTGCCCATGATCTCATCAAAGATAACCATTAAAACAATGGTATACTTATGCTTCCTTTCCATACTTTAATGCAAAGTTTTTAAAAGTTGAATAATATACATAAACAATATCAAATTTTCACTTGAATATAACATTAATTTCCTACATGTACCATCTTTTTGACACCCCTCAGGTTGTTACAAATCATCTTTGTATCTATTTCCTACTTCTCCAAATGGGTTGAAAACCCTTCATGGACCAAAACTATGTCATGTCTTCTCTGACTAAGGTTCGGCAGTACGCTACTTACAAGAGACACTCACTGTTTGTTGATGAGGTTATAAAAATATTAAGGAAAGCTACTGGATAATAATTCTAAGTTGTAAAACAAGCTTCAAGAAAACTTCTAATTTTAATATTATTTCAGAAACACTGCTAATAAATAAGAGGTAATAAATGAATATATCAGTGGTGAAGAAACAACATTGTACCTGCTATAAAATGAACGACAGCTCAGTAAATATTCTCATTCATTTATTCATGTACTCATTCACTCAATAAATATTTATGGACTGCCTGATGTACACCAGGCTGGGGATACATCAACAACAAAACAGACAAAAATATGTCTTTATGGACCTTCCATTCTAATGGGCTTAAATTACAGTGACTGCTTGCTTGTCTGGTGCTATAGTCTGAGTGTTAGTGTCCTGCCAAAATTCATGTTGGAACCTAACATCCAATGTAATAGTGTTAAGAGGTGGGGCCTTTTAGGAAGTAAGTCATGAGGGCTCTGCCCTCCCAAAATGGAATGAGTGCCCTTATAAAAGAGATTGAAGGACACTGCCTTGGCCCTTTCACCACATGGGTACACAATAAGAAAGCATCATCTTCAAAGCAGAGAGCAAACCCTCAGCAGACATATAATCTGTTGGTGCCTTTATCCTGGACTCCCCAGACTCCATACTGCAGACTATCAGCAATACATTTCTATTGTTTATAAATTACCTTGCCTAAGGCATTTTGTTATAGCTGACAAACAGACTAAGACATCTGCTAAAGAGAAAAGGAGACTCCAGTTTCCTCCAATTTTCTACCCTTACTAAACTCACATTTAATTGTTACCAGTAAAATAAGCTCATTTCTGGAATGTAAGCAATGAAAAATGTCAACATACATTCATTTTAAAATTTAGAACACATACTTAAAACAGAATTTTGCTGAGTGCTTATAAAACCAATACTGAATAGAGATCTGTTCCATGGCTATTAACAGCTAACCATATTATATAACCATATATTTAATAATCATTCCTTTCTAAACTAATCATGTCCTTGTAAACATACATAATAATCTATCAATGAAAAGAAACAAGCAGAATTACAATTTATATTATTTTACATATATTATTTTGTTGTTGATCTTGAAAGACAGTCTAATATTAAATTCACAAGATCAACAGCATTTTCAAAAATAAGAAAAAACTAATTTTGTCACCATTTGTTCATTTCGTGTGCATAGGTACACACACAGTAAATCACATGTTCACAGAAACCCGAGTCTGCTCCCAAAAAGCTTTCAGTCCAGTGAGGTTGACTGAAAGCACATAAATAGCCAATCAAAACTGTATCAAGACACCAGAGCTATGAGGGAAAAAAGGTAGTAGGAGAGAAGAAATATATAGAGGGCCATGCAAGAATGGTATGAATGTAATGAATGTAGTTTTAAGGGATTAATCTAATCTAAATTAATCTAAAATTCACATTAAAAGCAAGAATTTTAGAGGTAGAAGTGGTGAAAGTATTTGGTGTAACCCTCAGTTTTTACGGAGAAGAAATTATGTTCCAATTAGGTTACAACTTCCTTTGTAGAGCCAAGACTAGCTAAAGCTGGGTCCCAGGCAGGAGAATAGCTGGCTGAAAGATAAATTCTTTCCCCAGCATTCCTGTCTATGCAATTAGAGTAACACTGAGGTTAGGAATGCCATCTATTTTACTTACTATATTATTATGCCTGGCACATAATGGGCATTTCAATAATGTGCTTAATAAATAAACAAATGAATGAATAAGCAAATCATCTACCTTAAGTGATTCTACCCAAACAATTCTAAAACATAAATTCCTGTTTTTATACCATAATCTTAGAGATGAAAAACAAAAATATTAGACAAACAAAAACCAAAAAAAACCCATCTTGTTTTCCTTTCTGTCATTACCAGAATATCCTACTACCTGAACTAAAAATGTTATCTTTCTATGTTATATTTAATCCAAATACCCTGTCCCCTCACGTCCTATCTTCCAACTTCCACCCCATTATCACCTAAATCACCAATTTTCTGATTAACAAAAATCACTTTTCATATCTCAGGGTCTTCACTTTCAGTTATTTTTAAAGCCTTAAAAAGTTAGTTTTCTTTTTTTCTATTTATACGCACAATTTTTTTCCCTTCTTTGACCCAACACTGAAGAACTCAACAAGACACTCGCTCTATCTGTCTCTCTCTCTCTCTCTCTTCTTGTCTCACTCTGTTGTCCAGATTGGAGTGCGGTGGCACAATCATTGCTCATTGCAGCCTCAACCTCCCAGGCTCAAGTGATCCTCACACTTCAATGTCCCAAGTATGCTGGGCCTACAGGCTCATGCCACCATGTCCAGCTAATATTTTCTTTTTTCTTTTTTTTTTTTTTTTTTTTTTCAGTAGAGACAGGGTCTCACCATGTTGTCCAGGCTGGTCTTGAATTCCTGGGCTCAAGCAATTCTACCACCTTGGCCTCTCGAAGTGCCGGTATTACAGGTGTGAGCTACTGCACCTGGTCCTACTTTGTCTTTTCTATTCTACACAAAGATGATCACCCACAAGCAAGTATTCAGACCTCATACTTTGAGATATAAGCTGATGTTTACAGAGATCAAAAATAAGTGTCTACAATGAGTGGCAATGAACAAATGATCAAATTCATTACTTCTGCCTCTTAATTCAATTTTTTCCATTTTAACTTTGTTTCCCTTACTTTCCGTACAACTGCAGAATGCCTCTAACTTAAGACTGGTTTTCAACAGGGAATACCAGAATTTCATGTAGACATATGTATATTTTTTTTAACCTGAATGAAGATGCCTGGGATTTCATCACAGACCGACTACTGAATAGGGGTTTACAGGGAATAAGATCACAGAATGTATATGTGTATAAAGCTTCACAAGTGATTCTGGCTAACAGCCATTACTCTGAAGCATGAAATGCAGCTGGAATGAAAATGGATTGGCTTGTATTTACTACCTCTTTAAGCATTGCTAGTTAATTCATTTTTTTCTGAAGAGTCTAGGAAAGAACAGCAACCAAAGACCTGAACCACCTTCTTCTGCAGATTACCTAAATACTTTTTTTTTTTTTGAGGCGGAGTCTCACTCTGTTGCCCAGGCTGGAGTGCAGTGGCATGATCTTAGCTCACTGCAAGCTCTGCCTCCTGGGTTCACACTATTCTCCTGCCTCAGCCTCCCGAGTAGCTGCGACTACAGATGCCTGCCACCACGCCTGGCTAATTTTTTGTATTTTTAGTACAGACGGGTTTTCACCGTGTTAGCCAGGATGGTCTCGATCTCCTGACCTCGTGATCCGCCCGCCTTGGCCTCCTAAAGTGCTGGAATTACAGGCGTGAGCCACCACACCTGGCCAGATTACCTAAATTCTTCAACCTAGAGGAAAAAACAATTATATTTACATAACAAAAAATTAGCCGGGCGTGGTGGCAGGCACCTGTAGTCCCAGCTACTTGGGAGGCTGAGGCAGGAGAATGGCGTGAACCCAGGAGGCAGAGCTTGCAGTGAGCAGAAATTGTGCCATTGCACTGTACCACAGCCTGACTAAAATGACAACTACTATTTCACATGGTGGTAGATAATTTTCAATATACTTATTTTTAGTAGAGACAGGATTTCACCGTGTTAGCCAGGATGGACTCGATCTCCTGACCTCGTGATCCGCCCGCCTCGGCCTCCCAAAGTGCTGGGATTACAGGCGTGAGCCACCGCGCCTGGCCACCCAGCAGTCTTCTTAAGCTTCTTAAGTTGAAGTGGTAGAGCTAGGAGTCTGGGGAAGCCCAGATGGCCGGGGTTCTCAATGCAGAGTACTGGAAAGGAGAGACACACTCAGAGAGAACGCTGGAGATCTATAGAGGATCTCCTTAGAGTATCTAGTTGAGTAGTGATCATTGTATGTATGCATGTGGGGAACTACTCAAGGGATTCTCCTGCCTCAGCCTCTCTCGAGGAGTTGAGATTACAGGCACGCCACAACACCCGGCTAATTTTTTATATTTTTGGTAGAGACCGGGGTTTTGCCATCTTGGCCAGCCTGGTCTCGAACTCCTGACCTGAAGTGATCTGCCCACTTTGGCCTCCCAAAGTGCTGGGATTACAGGCGTGAGCCACCGTGACCGGCCAATAAAGTAGTTTTTCTAGTACACTGTTACATGATTATACTACCATAAGCATTTAGTTTTCTAATTTCTTTTTAAGCACCATGGCCCTTTTGAAATTATATCAAATGCAGAAGTACCTTTTCAGAAATCATAGTTAACAGCAGTTTGACTACTACTGGTGTGAGGAAAACAAACACATGAAAGGGAGTAATGAAAAGAGAGAGTGGAAAATAGAAAAAGTATGTCACAGAATCAAGTCAGGAAATTGAAAGTACCTTAGAAAAGAAATTGAGAATCTCTTCCACTGACATGAGAGAAAAAGAAAATAGAAAATGAGAAGACCAAAATAAATTTTTCAGAAGAAGTCACAAGTTGAGAAGCTTTAGTGAGATGGATTCAAATGTGCTCTAGAAGAGAATTCAGTTGTTTCCATTTGCCAGTGGCTATGCTCTAGAAGCAGATGCTTAAGAGGTATGTAAGAAATCCTTCTACACCTATTTATCTTTAAAGGGCCAATTACAAAATATGGAAGAATTAAGGGGTTAAGACTCAGGGGATAAAGGTTCTAGTATTAGAGGTTGTCAATATCATTGTTAAAAGCACATAAATTTTCATTTGGCTTGATCAGAAACTCACAATCATGACTATACGTAACAGATAATTAGGACGCATTTCAAGTATTTATTGTAATCTCTCTTTTTTTGCATTAAGGGGGATAAAGTAAAAAGAAGAAAGTCACAAGATTCCTTGGAAAAGTCTACAACCATTATACAAAGCATCTGATCCTTGTGTCAGTATACCAATATTGTTTATAATAAATAAGAGGTAGGCAGCATGTCATAATGAAAGAACAAAGGTAGTCAGAACTGAGGTTTCATCATAAATGTATCACTTATTTTTTGTGTGACCTTGGACAAGTTACTTATCACAGCAAGCCTTGGCTGTCTCATTTATAATACAGTGGTAATACCTATCTACCTTGTAGAGTTGTAAGCACTAGCAATAATGTGTAGAACACACCTAGAACTATTATTAATATATTAATTGGAGCTACTAACATAAATAAAAACTATAATTTCTGCCCTCAAAAGGGTTAGCAATGAGGAGGTGTTACTGAGATATTCCACGGACATTATTTCTTTTATTCCAAAGGCAATCTGATGAATACCTCATGCCCATTTCAAGGTGACTCTGATTTCACTTCACAATACACAGCTTTCCTTTTGTTGTTGTTGTTGTTCTGAGACAGTCTCCCTCTATCACCCAAGCTGGAGTGCAATGGCGCCATCTCAGCTCACTGCAACCTCTGCCTCCCCAGTTCAAGCAATTCTCATGCCTCAGCCTCCTGAGTAACTGGAATTACAGGCGTACCACCACGCCCAGCTAATTTTGTGTATTTTTAGTGGAGAT
Organism: Homo sapiens; assembly: GCF_000001405.40. Lineage (NCBI taxonomy): Eukaryota > Metazoa > Chordata > Mammalia > Primates > Hominidae > Homo > Homo sapiens. Next base: position 69,606,683 of record NC_000016.10, on the reverse strand, counting down.
GACGTTTCATTATGTTGGCCAGGCTGGTTTTGAACTCCTAGCATCAGGCGACCCACCTGCCTCGGCCTCCCAAAGTGCTGGGATTACACCCGTGAGCCACCATACCCAGCCACAGTTTTCCTTTCTACAGGTCTTGTACTTCCTATAGTAAGTACTTGGACTGCAGAAGTGTTCTGTTTCGCCTGCACAGTTTAAAAAAACATTTAAAATTAATTGCCAACATTTAAAAATCAGATTTTACATAAAAATCTCAGACCTTTGGCTTCTCTTGAATCACAGGATCCAGCAATACTAAATCCACAAGGAAAACTGGAGCTGCCTCCTTTAGTGTACTCTCAAGTTACCTAAAGTACCGTTCAGCCAATTTCTTTAATTGATATTATGCTGTCTGTGCCCTATAGGCACTTGAGTTCTTCAGTCTCTACACTAGGGTTTGCAAGATATGGAAGGGGAAGATGGGAGGATGGAAAATGAGTCTTTCCTGAAGAAACCTTGCAAGAGGTTAAAGACGAGAACAGTGAGTGGTCCCAACTTTCTTGATCATATAGCCCTTTCCAGAGGCAAATTTAATGAGAAAGAACTGCCTACAATAGCCAAGGGCTGGTAAGTACCTATCTTCCAGAGGGTAAAAGGATACAGTACCAAAACATTCCTATTAAAAGAAAAAAGGGGGCCGGGCGCGGTGGCTCATGCCTGTAATCCCAGCACTTTGGGAGGCCGAGGCGGGTGGATCATGAGGTCAGGAGATCGAGACCATCCTGGCTAACAAGGTGAAACCCCGTCTCTACTAAAAATACAAAAAATTAGCCAGGTGCAGTGGCGGGCGCCTGTAGTCCCAGCTACTTGGGAGGCTGAGGCAGGAGAATGGCGTGAACCCGGGAAGCGGAGCTTGCAGTGAGCCGAGATTGCGCCACTGCAGTCCGCAGTCCTGCCTGGGCGACAGAACGAGACTCCGTCTCAAAAAAAAAAAAGAAAAAAGGGAACAGACTTTCACAGAACTTAAAAGACTCTTAAAGAGTTTAGTCTATTTCTTTACAGAAATAAAAACTAGGGCACAGAAACTGAGGATTTCTCCAAAATCAGATAGTTGATAGCAAAATCAGAATTAGAAAGAAGTTTCTCAAAAACCAAAAGTTCAATTTAACAAACATTTGCCCAGCGCCAAGCCATGCTCCCTGTAAGATGCTATGATACAAATGTATACAGTAGTACTCTTTACTGTATACTACTTTTCTATTTTCTTTTTGAGACACTGTCGCTCTGTTGCCCTGGCTAGGGTGCAGTGGTACAATCTTGGCTCACTGCAACCTCCGCCTCCTGGGTTCAAGCGATTCTCCTACCTCAGCCTCCCAAGTAGCTAGAATTACAGGCGCCCACCACCATGCCTGGCTAATTTTTGTATTTTTAGTAGAGATGGGGTTTCACCATGTTGGCCAGGCAGATCTCGAACTCCTGAACTCAAGTGATCCACCTGCCTTGGCCTCCCAAAGTGCTGGGATTACAGGCGTGAGCCACCACACCCGGCCTCCACTTTCTTTTTTAATTAATATTTTTATAGAATTTTTAAACATCCAATAAAGGCCATTTTCCTTTAAAAAAGAAAACTTCTTATACTTAAAAGAATTAAAAATTGGTAGTCAAACAAATACATGTACACATATGCTATTATAGGATGTGAACAGCAACACTATTCACAATGGCCAGAAGGTGGAAATAACCTGAATGTCCATCAGTGGATGAATAGGTAACACAAATTGTGGTATCCATAGAATGGAACAGTATTCCCCCACAAGAATAAATGAAGTACATGCTACAAGGTGGATAAACCTCAAAAATATTATACTGAGGGAAAGAAGCCAAACATAAGAGGTCACATGTAAATCCAGAATAGGCAAATCCATAGCAATAGAACACAGATTGGTGGATGCCATAAGTTGGGCTCATGGCGGGCAGGGGAGATTGAAGATGGACACAGGATTTTCCTTCTGGGAATGATAAAAATGGCTTTGAACCAGACAGATAGATAGAGGTAGTGGTTGCACAACAGGGTTTTCTTTAAAATGATTGATTTATTGTGCAGTTCACCGCAATAAAAAATTTTTAAAAAAGAACTCCTACTCATGGACACAAAGAGAGGAACAGACACTGGGGCCTACTTGGAGGTCAAGGGTAGGAGGGAGAGGGTCAGGAAAAAATAACTATTGAATACTAGGTCTAGTACCTTGGTGATGAAATAATCTATCTGTACAACAAACCTCAAATCCGAGTTTACCTATATAAAAATTCCTTATTTGACTACCAGGTGGAATATGCCACCTAATTCAATGAGATCACTCTGCCCATTATAAAAGAAAATTCAATTGAGCACCTACAAGGTACCAAGAGCAGTGCTAGATCCTTTAAATATACATTATTTCAGCAAATCTCACCCAACCAAGAGAGAAATTTATCACAGTAGGAAGTACGGAGTGTGTGTGTGCACGTTGTCCTGGTACCAAATTGCCTCCATTTAAATCCCAGCTCTGCTGCTTGCTTCTATGTGCCCCTGGACAAGTTACTTTTAGTCTGTTTTCCTCTCTGTAAAATAGGAGTAATGATACTATCTAGACTTTATATGGTTGTTCTGAGGATTAAATGCAATAATCCAAGAATCCACTGACCTAGGCTATTAGAAAGAATTAAAACAAATATTAGCTACTAAAATTAATTATATAATTAAGTATAATATAGCTAAAAATTAATGTTGTTGGAAATTTTTAACTGTTAAGTCTCTCCACCATCAAAAGCTGCTGCATGTGATAATACTGGCAAGGAAATTGTTCAAATCTCAAGTTTTTCTATTTAGTATATCTACAAAGGAAATGATAATCCTAGAATTATACACACATCACAGAATCAGACCTTAATACAGAAATATGTTCTGTGTTTGTTTTGAGATAGGGTCTGACTTGTCACCCAGGCTAGAGTGCAGTGGTGTAATCTCAGCTCACTGCAACCTCTGCCTCCCAGGCTCAAGCCATCCTCCCACCTCAGCCTCCTGAGTAGCTGGGATCATAGGTACACATCACCATGCCCGGCTAATTTTTGTATTTTTTTTAGAGATGAGGTCTTACTTTATTGCCCAGGCTGGTCTCAAACTCTTGAGTTTAAGTGATCTGCCCACCTCCCAAAGTGCTGGGATTACAGGCATGAGCCACCGTGCCTGGCTGATATGTTCTATTTTAACTCCAACAATGCATCATATAAATGAAAAACTTGAAGAAGATTTAGAGGGCTGCCATAAATATAAACACTGCAAATTAAAATCCATGAGAAAAAATTAAGATAATCATAAAAGTTTCAGTTATAATGTTCTACTACATGAAGATTCCTATTTTAATATTTGCACACTTTAGGTTATAAAAGTGATAGACAAAAAGGATGTATAAAGGATTTAAGGGAGATATAAAGGTGATATATCATAAAAATTCAGAAATTTTTTAAAAGTGTAAGACGGAAAATAAAAAGTCACTTCAAATCCCAAGTCCCACAGATCACCATTCTAACATTTTAGTCTATTTTCTATAGGCCTGTTTTTTTAAAAAATAAAACTAGGATCATAATTTGATATGTTTCTTTAAAAAATGTAACATACAATCATGAATATTTTCTATCATTAAATATTCTTTGAATACATGTAACATGATTTATAATCATACATATTTAATACATAAACATGATTTATAATAGGAACATAGGATTTCATTTATGAAGGTTAAAAAAAAGATAACCAAGGCCAGGAGCAGTGGTGCATGCCTGTAATCCCAGCACTTTGTGAGGCTGAGGTGGGTGGATTGCTTGAGCTCAGGAGTTCGAGACTAACCTGGGCAATGTGGCAAAACCTTATCTCTACCAAAAAAAAAAACAAAAAAATTAGCTGAGCATGGTGTTGCACGCCTGTAGTCCCAACTACTTGGGAGGCTGAAGTAGGAGGATTGCTTGAGCCCAGAAGGTTGAGGCTGCAGTGAGCCAAGATTGTGCCACTGCACTCCAGCCTAGGCTGGAAAATCTTTTCTTATAGATTTTGAGAGTGAGAGTCTGTCTCAAAAAAAAAAAAAAAGAAAGAAAGAAAGAAAAAGTCTGGGCACGGTGGCTCATACCTGTAATCCCAGCACTTTGGGAGGCTGAGGTGGCGGATCACCTGAGGTCAGGAGTTCAAGACCAGCCTGAGCAATATGGAGAAACCTCATTTCTACTAAAAATACAAAAAATTAGCCAGGCGTGGTGGCACATGCCTGTAATCGCAGCTACTAGGGAGGCTGAGGCAGGAGAATCATTTGAACCCAGGAGGCAGTTGCAGTGAGCCGAGATCGCACCCTTGCACTCCAGCCTGGGCAACAAGAGTGAAACTCCATTTCAAAAAAAAAAAAAAAAGATAATAACCAAGATTTATCTACTTTCCCTTAATCTAGAAAAGGAAAATAACATTAAACTGTACCACAAAGGATTTTAATTAGCTAGAAAATTTTTAAATAATGATTATTTCATCTCAGTTATAGAGTTCTCCCAATGAAAAAAAAAGCCTTATGCTTTCAACGTTCTTTATTTAATAGACTGGAAAACTGAAGTTTAAAGCTATACAACTAAATGAAGAAGCAGAGCAAAGATGTGAATCCAAATCTGTTCTGACTTCAAAGCCTATGCACTTAACCTCAACACTGTAGATTACAAGATGGTTTGGGGGTGGTCTTATCTAATAATATGCAGGTAGCCTTATTCATTTGGATCCATTCTCAAGAGAAAGCTAAAAGAATGCAAGTCTGAAGGATTCACCTTGAAACATGACAGCAGAAGAAATTTAGAAATAAAAGACAAATTTAAGTACTTAGAACAGTACTCATACCAGTACAGGGGGAAATCATTTGTACTATGTTCATTACAATGACTTATAACAGTTAAAAAATAAAATGAAATAATAGTCCATCACCAAAGGATTGGCTAATTAACTAAATTTTGTTATTTAAACCACATTGATTGGCATGGTAGCTCATACTTGTAATCCTAGAACTTTGAGAGGCCAAGGCAGGAGGATCACTTGAACTCAGGAGTTTGAAACTGGCCTTGGCAACATAGCGAGATCCTGTCTCTACAAAAAAATTTTTAAAAAATATTAGCCGAGCATGGTGGTGCACACCTATAGTCCTAGCCACTTGAAAGGCCTAGGCTGGAGAATCACTTGAGCCCAGGAGGTCGAGGCTACAGTGAGCCGTGATTGCGCCACTGCACTCCAGCCTGGGCAACAGAGAGAGACTCTGTCTCAAAAATAAATAAATAAATTACCACGTAATACTTTGCAGCTATCACAAATTGTATCTATATTTAATAACATCAGTAGGCAAATAAAACAGATGTATAATCCCTCTTATGCAGAAATGTATAAATAAGTAGATATGTATACATATATAGAGACGCCTGAAAGAATAAGCACCAACATATTAACAGTGGTCATATCTAGATATGGCAGGACTGCATGTGATTTGTTCTTGTTTTGTCGTTTTCCATATTTAAAAAAAAATGTTTAAGTGCTTAAGGGTGTGTGTGTATGTGTGTGTGCGTAAATTCTAATGGACTAAACATAAGGCAGCAATAGCAGAGAAAAGTACAAAATTAAAAGAGAAAAGACCAATGGGGGCCATTTCAAGGAAAAGACGAAGCCTGAGCTTGTGTCTTGAAGAATTCCTTTACCCCATCCCCATTATTTTTTGATCATATTCATCCTGTTAATCATACCCAATCCTGAATGATCCTAAGCACTCATCTTCAACATTCCTGAACCACAGCTTCTAAGTTTTGATAGAGAAAAATCAAAATTGTGGACCAGTACCACTATGAATTCAAGATCTTCCTCAAAGTAGCTCAGGAGCCTTTTTTTTTTTTTTTTTTTCAAAGTATTCCTTATCAGCTTTACTCCCCAGTTCCTCATGATGATTCTCTTAAGGCTACTATCCTGTATCTATCATTCTTGGCAAATGACTGTTTATTTCTCCACAGCAAATGTATAGGACATAAATTTCCCATACTTCCTTTCCCAGGTAAAAATTATCCTTACCTCTTTGGGCTCAAGAAAAGAAGCAACCATGTGCACTAGATCCCTTTTTCTTCACTGCTCCTCCAAAACTTTCCTCTATTAATAATTCCTGTCCTTTCAACTCCCTCATTCCACAAGATTCCTATTCTTATATATGCCTTTCTAGTTTCCACTCTCTCCTTCCCCTCACAACCATCCTTACTTAGTACTACAGTTGTCTTCCTAGCTGCCTCCACTTCCTCTATTCACATTTATTACTCAACCAACTACTACTTGGCTTCTGTTCCAACCACTCCCCATTCAAATTGCTTGGTTATCAATAAACTCCTAATTGATTTATTTCCAATTTCTGACACAATTGAATACTCCTGCTTTCAGGAATTCCTGTTTATTTTCTTCCTTTGTTGCCTTCTCTTTAGTCTACTCCTCTCTTCATGTCCCTGAAATATCTTGTTTTTTTTTTTTTCCCAGAGAAATGAATCCTGTCTTTTTCTTTCTCACTTTTCTAATCGAGAATTCCACCACTTCTTAACAACCTCCAATACTACAATCCTGATCTAATCATCTCACCTGAACTACTTCAATTACCTCCTAATTGATTTTCTCTTTTACTCTTACACTTTATTATCTACACTGTAGCCAGAATAATTCATTAAAAACCTAATTCAGATGACATCACTCCTCAGCACCCATCTCAGCATAAAACCCAAAGTCCTTACATGATCTAGCACCTTAATATCTCTCTCCCTTTCTCTCCTACAATTCTCCTGCTTTTCCACTCTGCTCCAGGTATACTGCCTTTATTGCTACTTCTTGAACATGCCAAGCACTTTCACAGCCTTGATGTCTTTGTACTTGCCTTTCCTCCACCTGGAAAACTCCACATTTATCTCCATTGCTTACTCCTTCGATTCCTTTAGATGTCTGTTCAAATGAGGCTCAAAAATCACTATGATCATGCTCTACAAAATAGTGCCCCCACCATTTTCTTATCCCTCCTAACCCTGCTTTATTTTTTTCACTCCCAACATTATTTTATTCTTTTTGAGACTGACTCTCGCTCTGTCACCCAGGCTGGAGTGCAGTGGCACAATCTTGGCTCACTGCAACATTCGCCTCCTGGGTTCAAGCAATTCTCCTGCCTCCCGAGCAGCTGGGATTACAGGCACGCGCCACCATGCCCAGCTAATTATTGTATTTTTAGGAGAGACAGGGTTTCACCATATTGGCCAGGCTGGTCTCAAACTCCTGACCTCAGGTGATCCTCCCTCCTCAGCCTCCCGAAGTGCTGGGATTGCAGGTGTGAGCCACTGAGCCTGGCCAACTCCCAACATTTTTTGAGATATAATTCACACAACATAAAGTTCCACCCTTTTAAAGTGCATGATTCAGTGTTTTTAGTATAGGCCCAAAGTTATGTAGTCATTACTACTACCTAATTCCAGAACATTTTCATCACCTCAAAAAAGAAAAGCCATCCCCATTAGCAGTCATTCTCCAACCTCCATTCCTTGAATCCCTGGCAACCACTAATTTACTTTCTGTTTCTATGGACTTGTCAATCCCATACCCTGACTTTTTTTTTTTTTTTTTTTTGAGACAGAGTCTCACTCTGTCGCCCAGAGCCCAGACTGGAGTACAGTGGCGCCATTTCAGCTCACTGCAACCTCCACCTCCCAGGTTCAAGTGATTTTCCTGCCTCACCCTCCTGAGTAGCTGGAATTACAGGCACGCACCATCGCGCCCGGCTAATTTTTGTATTTTTAGTTTCATCATGTTGGCCAGGCTGATCTCGAAATCCTGACTTCAGGTGACCCACCCACCTCAGCCTCCCAAAGTGCTGGGATTACAGGCGTGAGCCATCGTGCCCGGCCTACGCTGACATTTTTATAATCATTTCTTTAATGTCTGTTTCCAACCACCAGAATATGAACTGGTGAGGAAAAGGACTTTATTTTCTTTACTTTTTGTAGCCCCAGCATATAGCTTAGTGCTTGTTGCATAGCAGGTGTTCAATATCCCATAAGCATCTCAATTTCAACATATCCCAAACTGAACTTATTATCTTCTACTGTTTATTTTTATCATGAAACAATTATTTTACTATGTTGATATTGTGTGCCCGTCTTCCCTATTAACAATGGTGAGTCTTTTTATACTTCAAGCACTGGGCACAAAATGTATATTGAATAAATGGCCACTTTCCCAAATATCTTTTTTTTTTTTTTTTTTTTTTAAAGAGACAGGGTCTCGCTCTGTCACCCAGGCTGGCGTGCAGTGGTGCAATCATGGCTCACTGCAGCCTCAACCTCCTGGCCTCAAGTGATCCACCTACTTCAGGCTCCTGAGTAGCTGTGACTGCAGGCACACACCACCATGCCAGGCTAATTTTTTATTTATAGACAGGGTCTCGTTATGTTGCATAAGGCTGTTCTCAATCTCCTGGGCTCAAGCTATCCTCCCGCCTCGGGCTTCCAAAGTGCTGGAATTACAGGTGTGAGCCACCACACCCAAATATTTTAATATTCAGTATATCAATGACAAGCTTACATGTAAAAATTAAACCAATAACTAAATATCATAGCAACAAGTCATAATTTACACTCCTTCATACCCACTTTATCCCTTGCTTTTCCCTAACATCTTCTTCTCTAGACAACAGTTACTAAGGCCTAGCAAGGGTAATCCTCACTTAGTTATCTACCCTCTATTCACACTAGGTCCGGCTGGGCGTGGTGGCTCACGCCTGTAATCCCAGCACTTTGGGAGGCTGAGGCAGGTGGATCACGAGGTCAGGAGACCGAGACCATCCTGGCTAACATGGTGAAACCCTGTCTCTACTAAAAAAATACAAAAAATTAGTCAGGCGCGGTGGTGGGCGCCTGTAGTCCCAGCTACTCAGGAGGCTGAGGAAGGAGAATGGTGTGAACCCAGGAGGCAGAGCTTGCGGTGAGCTGAGATCGCGCCACTGCACTCCAGCCTGGGTGACAGAACGAGACTCTGTCTCAAAAAAAAAAAAAAAGAAAACATTAGGTCCAAGACCCACCTTAGAATTCTTTAGAGCAAAATTAACCTCAACAAGCGAGAGTAAAGAAATCATGCTAGGAATGATAGCAAAAGAATCTGATAGCCAAAACTGATCTCCAGAGTTCACCATGATGAACAGTGCACTGTTAACCTATTTTCAACTTTTAGGATAATGTGCCCTTTACCGTGCAAGGAAATCGCAAGAGATATATATATATGTAAAATAACTGTATAAAATATCACTTGTTGGCTAAAATATTTCTAACACATTTATTTAGCCTGTGATACCTGCAGTACTCTTTTTCTCTTCCTAGTTGTCACTAATTTAGGACCTTATCATATCCAGCTTTTGGTTTACCGAATCTTTCATAGCTACCTCCTTTCCCTCTCCTTCCCTCTTCTCTAGCTCTATAATCCAGCCATACTGAATTTCTTTCAATTCTTCAATACACCAAGCTCTCATTTACCTCCAAAACTTCTAACATGGTATTCTCCCCTCTGCCTGGAACATTCTTCCTCCAACATAGCCCTTTAATCTTTACATGACTAATTTTTATGACTTCAGGACTGATTTTGATAGCAAGTTCACCTCCCATCAAAAGCCCTTCCTGATCCCCTGGCACACAGGGACTCCTCTTTGTTTCCCACCTCATCAAACTATACTTTCCCTTTCAGAGCACCTAACATACTCTTTTTAATTAATTATTTACTAGTCTGACTCTCAAACTATGAAGTAAGCTCAATTAGGGAAGAAATCACATTTATGTCTTTTATCATAATAGCTGAAAATACTCAGTAAATAAATTATCTTGGTTGCAGTTAGAGAAAAAAAATGGATTGAAGTCAGAATACTTTTTTTTTTTTTTTTTTTTAAGATAGAGTCTTGCTCTGTCGCCCAGGCTAGAGTGCAATGGCGCGATCTCGGCTCACTGCAACCTCTGCCTCCCGGGTTCAAGCGATTCTCCTGCGTCAGCCTCCTGAGTAGCTGCAATTACAGGCACGTGCCACCACGCCCGGCTAATTTTTGTATTTTTAGTAGAGATGGGGTTTCACCATGTTGGCCAGCATAGTCTTGAACTCCTGACCTCGTGATCTGCCCGCCTCAGCCTCCCAAAGTGCTGGGATTACAGGCGTGAGCCACTGCACCCGGCCTTCTTTTCTTTTTTTAAGACTAGCTCTTCTAATGACTAACAGTGTCAAATTGAGCAAGTCTCTTAATCATCTGGGACGTTTGGGTTTTATTATCTATGAGAATATATACCTCTCAGATGTCAAAAACATTAAATGAAATAAATATACATCAAAGTGCTCTATAAAATTATGAGCAAAGTACAAGACTAGTGTAATATCTGCCTGCCCAGTCTCTTATAATCTAAATAATCCTGTTATCATAACATGTTAAGTCAGCCTACTAAAGTTACAAGTAACTTTTCTCAAAATGAAATCAACTCATCTGGTAAATACAGTAGTCCTCCCTTATCCATGGTTTTGCTTTCCATGGTTTCAGTTACCCATGGTCAACCAAGTTCAGAAAATATTAAATGAAAAATTCCAATTTAAATAACTTATATATTTTAAATACAACACCATTCTAAGTAGCATGATGAAATTTTCTGTTGACCTGCGAGTCCAGCTCCATCCCATCCAGGACATGAATCATCCCTTTACCCAGTGTATCCATGCTATACACACTATCTACCCTTTAGTCACTTAGTAACCATATGGATTATCAGATTAACTGTCAAAGTATCACAGTGTTTGTGTTCAAGTAACCCTTATTTTACTTAACAATGGCCCCAAAGTGGAAGAGTAGTGACATTTGGCAATTTGGATATGCCAAAGTGAAGTTTTAATGTGCTTCATTTAAGTGAAAAAGTGAAACTTCTTAATAAGGAAAGAAAAAATCGTATGCTGAGGCTGCTAAGATCTACGGTAAGAATGAGTCTTCTATCTGTAAAACTGCGAAAGAATGAAAAAGAAATTATTCATGCTAGTTTTGCTGCCACACCTCAAACAGCAAAAGTTACAGCCAGAGCAAGATAAGTGCTTAGTTAAGATTTAAAAGGCATTAAATTTGTAGGTGAAAGACATGAACAGAAAACATGGTTTACCGAATCTTTCATAGCTACCCCCTTTCCCTCCACTGACAGCAATATGTTGCACCAGAAACCCATGAGCAACAAGGGATCCCCTAAAATGACTGACACAGATTCGGGAATACAGAAGGTCAACAGTAGCCTAATGCTGTGTCACAATGCCTACGTGATGCACCTCACTTAATATCATCACATCGGCACTGTATCATCTTACATCATTATAAGAAGGGTGAATACAGAACAGTAAGCTATTTTGAGAGACCACATTCACATAACTTTTATTATAGTATGTTGCTGTATTGTTCTATTTATTAATAGTTGTGATGGTTAATACTGAGTGTCAACTTGATTGAAGGATGCAAAGTATTGTTCCTGGGTGTATCTGTGAGGATGTTGCCAAAGGAGATTAACATTTGAGTCAGTGGACTGGGAAAGGCAGACCTACCCTCAATCTGAGTGGGTACAATCTAATCAGCTGCCAGCACAACCATAATAAAAGCAGGCAGAAGAACGTGAAAAGACTAAACTGGCTTAGTCTCTCAGCCTACATCTCTCTCCCTTGCTCGATGTTTCCTGCCCTCGAATGTCAGACTCCAAGTTCTTCAGCTTTGGGACTTGGACTGGCTTCCCTGCTCCTCAGCTTGCAGATGACCTATTGTGGGACCTCACCTTGTGATTGTGTGAGTCAATACTCCTTAATAAGCTCCCCTGTAGATATATACATCTATCCTATTAGTTCTGTCCCTCTAGAGAACCCTGACAATACAATAGTTATTATTATTAATCTCCTACTGTGCCTTATTTATAAATTAAACTTTATCACAGGTATGTATGTATAGGAAAAAACATAGTACAGTCATGTGCCACATATGTTTCAGTCAAGGATGGATCACATATATGACAGTGGTGCCATAAGATCATAATACAGAATATACAGAAACCTGCTATATGCCACTTAATACTGACATTGTAGATCAAGTAGGGAAAATGGATAATATTCAGCAATGGTGCTGGGACATTTGGGTTTCCATATAAAAGATACATAAAGACTTATAAATTATAATTAATATACAACACTGGTCCCATAAAATTATAATGCAGACTAAAAATTCCTATCTCCTAGTGATGTCATGCCACGTGTTACCTCGTCTGTTCAGATACACAAATACTTACTATTGTGTTACAATTGTCTACAGTATTTAGTTCAGTAACATGTCGTACAGATTTGTAGCCTAGGAGCAACAGGCTAAATCATACAGCCTAGATATGTAGCAGGCTATACCACATAGGTTTGTGTAAGTACACCCTATGATGTATGCATGATCGAACTACCTAATGACGCATTTCTCAGAACATACCCCATCATAAAGTTACACACGACTGTATATATAGTGTTTGGTACTATGCTCAGTTTTGGGCATCCACTAGAGGGTCTTAGGACATATTCCCCACAGACAAGGAAGGACTGCAGAAAAGTTCCAATTCCAGCTATGAGCAGTTTCAACTAACAAGCACATTTTCCTGAACCTATTAAAGTAGTCAAGCCCTACTAGGTTAATGAACAACCAGGGAGCCTGGAGTAAATTCACCCCATTAATAGATACAGCTGAAAACAGGATCTGGAAAAAAATGGCTCTAATATGAAAATGGGTTAAAATACAAACCTTAATATTTAAAAATTCTGATAAGCTTATATTCTTATACTGCACAAAATGGCGTGTTTTCTTCCAATAATAAACTCAAAAATTAAATTTACCATATTTCCTCCTTCAATTTAATTTGCTTCCTTTTTTCTCTCCCCATTCTACACACCAAACAGTTTTCAGATCACATCCCTTTTACCTGTGTTCTCAAAATTACTTTGTTAGAAATGTAACTAGGCCGGGCATGGTGGCTCCTGCCTATAATCCCAGCATTTTGGGAGGCTGAGGCAGGAGGATCACTTGAGCCCAGAAGTTTGAGACACGCCTGGGCAACCTAGGGAGACACTGTCTCTAGTTAAAAAAAAAAAAAAAATTAGCTGGGCCTGGTGGTGCACACCTGTGGTCCCAGCAACTTGGAAGGCTGAGGTGGGAGCACTGCTTGAGCCCAGGAGGTGGAGGCTACAGCCTGGGTGACAGAGTGAGACCCTGTCTTAAAATTAAAAAAATTTTTTTTTAAAAAAGAAGTAACTGTGCTGCAATACCACAAGTAAAGTTATTCATTTGGCAGACACCACTTCATTTCAGTTTCCCTCCTTAGACATTTCACTATAACATCTAGAAAGATAAAGACAGAAACTCAGTAAAAGTCACAGTTTTAAAAGTTGACCAATCAAAATAAAATTCTGACTAACATTTGTTGGCTAATTTATGTATTCATAGTTAGTAAGAGTATGTATATACATAAAATATTCAAAACACGTAGGAAACCTAAAACTAGTTTATTCATTTTTGACACTAACGCAACTAATCTAATTAGAAAAATATGTACTTAAACATGGGATTTTCATGATTCCTCACACAAAAAAAATAAAATTCCCAATAGTTCCAGTTTTAAAAAGGATTAAATTCCTAAAGCACCCAGACAGGAAATAGATGTGAATCCATTCTTATATCCATGCCTCTGTGCTCAACTTCAAACTCCCAAGAATAAACCCTACTCTACTCTGAAAGCAATTTATTCCATTTAATGATCAAATGTATTATTTGCCTTTAAAGGATATATCTAAATCCCTTAGTTCTACACTAAACAAGTACCAATATATTTTATGATTAATAAGCATTCTTATATTTTTAGCTAGAATGCATTTTTCAGAAGCATGAATTGAGGGGAGTAATCAAAAGATGAGAAAACTATCAATTTCATAAGTATTAATGCCCCTTAAAAATTTAAGTTAGAAACATTATGAGGGAAAAAAACAGCTTCACTTTAATCTTAATCCCTGTAAAGCACACATTTTAGTCAAGACTTGAGATCATAAGAATTTGAAATAATCACAAGCTTTTATTTATTTTTCTCCTCACAATCTGTTCCCATGTTCACAAGATTTTAGATACTATAATAATTTTTGAACAACAACAAAAAAAAATCAGTGACAACTAAGTACCATGTATCATCCCTAAAAAGTAGTTACCATTGAGCATGGTGCTCACGCCTGTAATCCCAGCACTCTGGGAGGCCAAGGTGGGTGGATCACTTGAGGTCATGAGTTCGAGACCAGCCTGGCCAACATGGTGAAACCCCGTCTCTACTAAAAATACAAAAATTATCCAGGCGTGGTGGTGGGTGCCCGTAATCTCAGCTACTTGGGAGGTTGAGGCAGGAAAATTGCTTGAACTCAGGAGGCAGAGGTTGCAGTGAGCCGAGATCACACCACTGCACTCCAGCCTGGGTGACAGAGTGAGATTCCTTCTCAAAAAAAAAAAAAAAAAGAAAAAGTAATTATCATTTTCCTTTTAAGAATTATTGGTAGGAGTTACCACTAAACCTAAAAGAGCCAATAAGTATCATGGAAAAAGAGAAAGAATAAAGCTTAAAGTTTTTATAGCTTTGGAAAGACTTTTTGTAATTTTTTTTTAAATCAAGACAGGGTCTCATTCTGTCACCCAGGCTGAAATGCAGTGGCACAATCACAGGTCACTGCAGCCTCAAACTCCTGGGCTGTGTAGGAAGGGGTCTTGCTATGTTGCCCATGCTGGTCTTGAACTCCTGGCCTTAAGTCATCTGCCTTGGCCCCATGAAGTGCTGAAATTACAGGTGTGAGCTACTGTGCCAAGCCAACTTTCAATTTCTGAAAAATTTTTTGTTAAAAATATCTTGAACACCCAAAAAGAATTACTTATCCTGAAAAATCAACTTTTTTTCTCAACATATTCAGAGCAAGTTAGAGATTCATATTCAAACACTGTTTAAAGGCACTAGCATAATGTAGAAAATTATTCATAGAAGCTTCACGATAATCTTGCTAGATAAAAAGGAAATGAGGATAAAAAGAGGAAAAGAAATAAAACTAGCAAAGTTTAAAACAGATACTTGATTATGTTTCCTAACTAGAAATCCTGTCCTTTTCCCCTTACTAAACAGCTTCCTCCAAATTAACTGAATTGCATGTTTCATAAAACAGTAAATAATTTTTCCATGGTGGCCAGGCTGAAAAACCAACTATCTAAAGCTTTCCACTTCATCTTCATCCTCGGAGTAAGAAAACTGGGGCGGGGTGGGGAGGGGACTCTTTAATACTTTTTTCATACCAACTAGAAGTTAGAGAAAATACAATTTGTGGCCAGGCACAGTGGCTCATGCCTGTAATCCCAGCACTTTGGGAGGCCAAAGCAGGCATATCACCTGAGGTCAGGCGTTTGAGACCAGCCTGGTCAACATGGCAAAACCCCATCTCTACTAAAAATAGAAAAATTAGCCAGGCATGGTGGCATGTACCTGTAATCTCAGCTACTAGGGAGGCTGAGGCAGGAGAATTGCTTGAACCCAGGAGACGAAGGTTGCAGTGAGCCGAGATTACGCCACTGCACTCCAACCTGGGCGACAGAGTGAGACTCAGTCTCAAGAAAAAAGAAAATACAATTTGGGAAATAAAATGATACAGCCTCTCACACATTAAGGTCCAGATCGTGCCTAAATTTCTAGTGATTTGAGTTAGAAGACCTGAAAGATTCTCCTTTGTCTCTTATCTCACTCTAATCCCACAACACTCTACCCCAGATGGGGCGGGGAATCCCATGACACTGTACCCAAGAAAGGTAGCCATTTTAAAAATATGTTCAGCAAAACTGAAAAATAATTACATGGGACAAATCTCCCTATCCTGAACAACTAAACTGTTAGGCTGAGGGAGGGGAAAGCCAAAAAAAGATATAGAACACAACCTGAAATTTATATAACACTAAATTTAAAACATGATTTGGTTTAAACCACTTTAGAATTAATTTTCTCCTTATAATCATCTAGCCTGAGACAAAGTAGCTATGAATAACAATTTTCCAGTATTTTCAAACTGAAATTCAACTGAGTCTTATTTTAACAATACAAATACAAAGAAAGAACTAGAACTGCCTTATACTTTAAATCACATTTACGCAAAAAATCCTGAACTTTGACTAATACAGTTTTTTAAATAGCACTTTAAATATCCAAACCTAAAAGTATTTGGAAATAACTTTGTTGCATACCATAGCAAAATTGTCTAAAACAAGATTTGTCAATTTACAAATCTATTTACAATACTAGAGTTTTTAGTCACCTGATACTCAGGACTCAACGTCTGTACTCAGACGACCCACAACTGCCAAAATGCAGAGCTTTATTTATTTTTTTATTATTTGAGACAGGGTCTCATTCTGTCGCCCAAGCTGGAGTGCAGTCGTGCGATCATAGTTCACTGTAACCTTGAACTCCTGGGGTCATGCAATTCTCCTTTATCAGTCTCCTAAGTAGCTAAGACTACAGGCATGTGCCACCAGACTTGGCTAGTTTTTTTAAAGTTTTTGTAGAGACAGTTGGGGAGGGGGGTTGGTCTTGCTATGTTGCCCAAACTGGTCTCAAACTCCTGGACTCAAGCAATCCTCCCACCCTGGCCTCCCAAAGTGCTGGGATCACAGATGTCAGCCACTGTGGCCAGCTTAAGAACTTTTTAGATGCGTGGGGTGTCAATGAGTCATCTATGATGGAAGAAAAAAGATACAGAGAAGAAATAATGAGAAACAAAATTATAAATAACTTATATTTCAAGAAAAATAACTTCCTGTTTCTTAGCAAAAAAATGAGGATTTCTCTTTTTTTAAAATTCTTGGGTTGAGAATTCAAGAGCCATATCTTAAAGACTCAAAGTGATTTGAATCATCCTGAGGTAGACACTGCAACCTGAAGTTTCTATTCAACCTTAGTCAAATATAAAACTTAGGGCTACTGCTTTCTACTCTGTCTATTCCCAGCTGTTTTAACTGCTAAAATTTTTTTTGCCCTCTTATTTTTATCAAATTTTATCCTTTGAGTTTCTGAGTTGAGGTTTTATTGTCATTTAAAGATTATCTGTCTTATTATATAGCACATCCACATTTCGATTGCTAAAACGGTATTTTTCTCATAGGACACACCATCCAGTTCTGTTACAAAGAGCTATGTTTACTGAAATCCATGATCTCTGAAACATCCAACTGATAGACAAGTTAGACAAACAACGGGCTACTAAAAAAGAAGTAGGAGGCTGGGCGTGGTGGCTCACGCCTGTAATCCCAGCACTTTGGGAGGCTGCAGTGGGTGGATCACCTGAGGTTGGGAGTTCAAGACCAGCCTGACCAACATGGAGAAACCCTGTCTCTACTAAAAATACAAAATTAGCCGGGCGTGGTGGCACATGCCTGTAATCCCAGCTACTCGGGAGGCTGAGGCAGGAGAATCACTTGTACCCAGGACGTGGAGGTTGTGGTGAGCCAAGATTGTGCCATTGCACTCCAGCCTGGGCAACAAAAGCAAAACTCCATCTCAAAAAAAAAAAAAAAAAAAAAAAAAAAAAAAGAAGTAGGAAAAGAGGAGGGAGGGTCCAACACCAAGAAGGACCCTGCATGTAATGCCCTGGTCTTTCTTTCCAAAACTAGACAGTGGTAAACATTCAAATCATTCTACATGGTCTTTTCTTCATAAACTTCCCTCTAATCTGGCATTTCAACATGGATGGGTTCTCTCTTCTAGGCAATATTATAGGTTCCAACCTAAAATGATTTTTCCAAAGGAGTCTACCCCTCATAGTTCACTTTTTCTGTTTCATTTTACTCATAAAATAAATGATTGCTAAATTTCACTTCTAAATATATTTGATATGGGAGATCCCAAAACACAGTTTGTTTCTTTACTAGTTAGTAGTTGATGATTCTGGTAAGTAGCCTAGCAATCTGAAGAAGTACTTTCTAGTACAGAAAAATAGCAGAACAAGACATATCTAAATTTGAGAGGAAATGCACTTTTAAATTTACACACAAATAAGTGTGGTGAGAACACAATTACTCAGTAGCTATCTTTCTGGCTCTAGGTTACCTTTATATTTTAGGATTAGCAATCATCTCTCTTTTGAAGCTTGGCACCCCAAACAGCCCATTAATTTCACCAAATACAGGCAACCCTGATTACAGACCTTGTCTTAAGTATTCTCAGGAGTTAGTTGGTTTTTATAATTAGAAAAGATATTAAGCTAATATGCTAGTCAGGTTATCTATCAGGAAATTATTACTTGGTGAAAGCACTAATCATGCGGCCAGGTGCAGAGGCTCAGGCCTGTAATTCCAGCACTTTGGGAGGCCGAGGCAGGTGGATCACGAGGTCAGCAACTGGAGACCAGCCTGGCCAACATGGTGAAACCTGTGTCTACTAAAAACACAAAAACGGGCCAGGCATAGTGGTGTGCACCTGTAATTCCAGCTACCCAGGGGGCTGAGGCAGGAGAATCGCTTGAACCTGGGAGGCAGAGGTTGCAGTAAGCCGGAATCATACCACTGCACTCCAGCCTGGGCAATAGAGTGAGACTCTGTCCCAAAAAAAAAAAAAAAAAAAAAAAAAAGAAAGCACTATAAATTACCAAAGTGCCTAATTTATACCTAAAATAATTTATTCATAAAATCTACTTGTGCACAGCTAATATGCATTTTACCAGTAAACAAATGTACTGGTTAAGATTAATTTAACTTTAATAAACAGAGTCATATTCCTATTCTCTCATTTATTCTCAAATAAATTGTCAGCTGTGGCAATAATCTAATATTATTCTTTCAAATAGAAAATGCTTTAGTAGTTGAGGACCATAAGAAGTGAAATTAGGCTGGGCACAGTGGCTCATGCCTATAATCCCAACACTTTAGGAGCCGGAGGTGGGCAGATCACTTAAGGTCAGGAGTTCAAGACCAGCCTGGCCAACATGACAAAACCCTATCTCTACTAAAAATATAAAAATTAGCCCGGCATAGTGGCGGCGCCTGTAGTCCCAGCTACTTAGGAGGCTAAGGTAGGAGAACTGATTGAACACAGGGGGGCGGAGGTTACAGTAAGCCGAGATCACACCACTGCACTACAGCCTGGGCGACAGAGCCAGACTCCATCTCAAAAAAAAAGAAGAGAAATTGAAGAAAAATAGGCCGGGCATGGTGGCTCACACCTGTAATCCTAGCACCTTGGGAGGCCGAAGTGGGTGGATTACCTGAGGGTTGGGAGTTCAAGACCAGCCTGGCCAACATGGTGAAACTCCGTCTCTACTAAAAAAAAAAAATACAAAAAATTAGCCAGGCGGTAATTCCAGCTACTCAGGAGGCTGAGGCAGAAGAATCAATTGAACCTGGAGGCAGAGGTTGCAGTGAGCCGAGATCGCGCCACTGCACTCTAGCCTGGGCTACAGAGCGAGACTTTGTCTCAAAAAAAAAGAAAAAAAAGCACTTTAATATTCACACAAAACAAATACTAAACTACCTAACAGTGCCTTTTAACCAGGCCTTTTGATGAATACAATCATACCTAGATTTAATATAGCAGTTATCTTGGGTTTTCATGAACCCCTACCAATGTCTAATAATACAAATACAAAGAGAATACCTTTATCAGACTTAGTAGGGTTTACAGTTTCCATAGCTATAGAAGTATGTCTTATTTCACTAATACAGCTTTTCTTCTTCTTGGCTCACTGCCATAATTCTGTGATATTTATTAGAAAACTGCAATCCTATTGCTACTATTAAATACAAACATTTGCTTTCCAGAAATCAACAAAATGAATCAACCAAGCATATTAAAAGTCAAAAAATTTTCCAGTCGAGGCCGGGCATGGTGGCTCATGCCTGTAATCTCAGCACTTCGGGAGGCTGAGGTGGGCAGATCACCTGAGGTCAGGAGTTCAAGACCAGCCTGGCAAACACAGCAAAACCTCGTCTCTACTAAAACTACAAAAATTAGCCAGGCATGGTGGTGGGCACCTGTAATCCCAGCTACTCGGGAGGCTGAGGCAGGAGAATTGCTTGAACCTGGGAGGTGGAGGTTACAGTGAGCCAAGATTGCACCACTGCATTCCAGCCTGGGTGACAGAGTGAGATTCCGTCTAAAAAGAAAAAAAAAAATTCCAATCTAAACAAGGTTAATATGTCTACGCCTCATGAATTTTTCACAAAGTCATCTGTAGTCTAGTCTGGCTTATCAAAATTTAGTTTTTGATTATCAAAGATGTAACATAGTCAGTGGTATTTAGGTCATCTCACTTACATCTAAAGCTAAAGATTTTGGGTCCCACATAGAAAGTCAGAAATTCACACTCTCTGAAAACAGAAGGAAGAAAACCATAAATGACAGACAACTAAAACACTATATTCTTTTAAATGCAAAAATGAAAATATTCTCCTTTCCACATACCACACAATTATGTCTCACAAACTTTACAAAAAAAAGTAGTGCATCTTACTCTTAAAAATTTCTTGTTTTTTGAAAGCATTTTTAATTGCAGTAAATTATACATAAAATTTACCATTTTAACTATTTTTAAGTGCACAATTCAGTGGCATTAAATCTATGCACGACATTGTGCAACCATTACCATTATTCATTTCCAGAACTTTTTCATTACTCCAAACAAACTCTGTACCCATTTAACTATAGTTTCCCATTCCTCCCCAACCCCCAGCTCCTGGTAACCAATATTCTACTTTCTAGACAATATTCTACTTTCTTTCTCTGCCTATTTTAAGTATCTCATGTGTCTGGTTACCTGATGTAAATGGAATCATACAATATTTGTCCTTTTCTGTCTGGCTTATTTCACTTTGCGTATGTTTTCAAGGGTCATTCATACTGTGGCATGTAACAGAACTTCATTCCTTCTTAAGGGTGAATAATATTCCCTTGTACTTATATACCACATTTTGGAATTTATCCATTCATCTGTTGAAAGACACCTGGGTTGTCTCCATCTTCTTTTGGCTATTGTAAATAATGCTGCTAGGAACATTAGTGCATTAGTATCTGTTTGAGTCCCTGCTTTCAATTATTGGGGGTATATACCTATAAGTGAAATTGCTGGATCATATAATTCTATGTTTAACTTTTTTGGGGGAACCACCTGTTTTTCACAACAGCTGCACCATTTTACATTACCACCAGCAATGCATGAAGAAAACTACTTTTATGAGAGACAGCCCCACACAATTAAAAAAAAAAAAATTGGGCTGGGCGCCGTGGCTCACACCAGTAATCCCAGCACTTTGGGAGGCCGAGGCAGGTGGATCATGAGGTCAGGGGATCAAGACCATCCTGGCCAACATGGTGAAACCCCATCTCTACTAAAAATACAAAAAAAAATAATAATAATTAGCTGGGCGTGGTGGCATCTGCCTGTAGTCCCAGCTACTAGGGAGGCTGAGGCAGGAGAATCGCTTCAACCCGGGAGGCAGAGGTTGCAGTGAACTGAGATCATGCCACTGCACTCCAGCATGGCGACAGAGCGAGACTCCACCTCAAAAAATAAAAAATAAAAACATAAATTCTACTCTGTTTTGACAGCACTTGCCATCTGTTTAAACCCTTCCAATACATTTATATTTGTGAATATATATACATGTATATATATACATATTTTATTGAGATATAATTCACATATCATACAATTTACCTACTTAAAGCACACAATTCAGTGGCTTTCAGCAGAGTCACAGCTGTGCATCCACCACCAAAATAAATTTTATTTTTGAGACAGGGTCTTACTCTGTCACCCAGACTGGAGTGCAGTGGTACAATCATAGCTCACTCAGCCTCGACATCCTGGCCTCAGGGGATCCTCCGCCTGAGGCTCCTGAGTAATTGGGACAACAGGCACATGCCACCATGCCCAGCTAATTTTTTTATTTTTTGTAGAGATGGTGTCTTGCTATATATAGCAAGACCGAGGGAGGCCGAGGCAGGTGGATTACTTAAGGTCAGGAATTCGAGACCAGCCTGGCCAACATGGTGAAACCCTGTCTCTACTAAAAAATCAAAAAATTAGCCAGGTGTGGTGCCATGCACCTGTAGTCCCAGCTGCTCAGGAGGCTGAGGCATGAAAATCATTTGAACCTGGGAGGCGGAGGCTGCAGTGAGCCGAGATGGCACCACTGCACCCTACTCACTGCATTGCAGTCCAGATGACAGAGTAACACTCTGTCAAAAAAAAAAAAAAGAGACACAGAACAAATACACCTCAATTTTCATCTTATTTATCTAAATTCTTATCTTTACAGATTAAATAGTTCCAATTATTATTATTTTGTTTTTGAGACAGAGTCTTGCTGTATCTCCCAGGCTGGAGTGCAGTGGCACGATCTCAGCTCCCTGCAACTTCCACCTCCAGGGTTCAAACGATTCCCCTGCCTCAACCTCCCGAGTAGCTGGCATTAAAGGTGCGCACCACCATGCCCAGCTAATTTTTTGTATTTTTAGTAGAGATGAGGTTTCATCATGTTGGCCAGGCTGGTCTTAAGCTCCTGACCTCAAGTGATCTGCCCACCTCAGCCTTCCAAAGTGCTAGGATTACAGGTGTGAGCCACCGCAACTGGCCCCAACTCTTTAAAGGCCTAGTTCCCCATTTGCAGTTATTTTAATGCAATTATTATTATTCCAACTGAAACTTGCTACTTGTAGGTTACATATAACTAGAGCACAATCCTCAAACTTCCAAAACCCTTCCTTCCTTCTTTTCTGGATGTAGGATTCATTCATTTACTCTTTCATTCAATAAATATCAAGAACCTTTCAAATACAAAGCATTTGTGCCAGGTGTTACAAAAATGCAAGGTATAGTCAATGCCCTTAAGAAGCTTACCATCCAGTATAACTATTTAAGCAAAACTGGACTTCACTAGATGTTCTTTATTGTTTACTGCAGCTTTAGATCTATGACTGATTCTAATATTTTACAGATTTTATCATATGCTAGGTTTCTTTCCCTTAACACATGCATAATCTTGTGTTTAAATACAAAAGCTCAGCTAGGCCTTGAGGCTCATACCTGTATTCCCAGCATTTTGGAAGAATGAGATGGGAGGATCACTTGAGGCCAAGAGTTCAAGATCAGCCTGGGCAACAGAGAAGAATCCATCCCTACAATTTTTTTTTTTTTTTAATTAGCTGGGCATGGTGTTATACACCTGTAAACACTGAGTAGTCCCAGCTACTCAGGAGGCTGAGGCAGGAGGATTGCTTTAGCCCAGGAGTTCAAGACTACAGTGATTCATGCTCATGCCACTGCACTCCAGCAGCCAGGGTGACAGAATGAGACCCCATCCCTTAAAAACAGAAATTTAATAAATAAATTTAAATAAATAAAACAGAAATTTAATAAATAAGAGCTTTCCTAAATTTTGACAAACCTTTCTTCAAATTATTTCCATAATTTTATTAACACTTAAAAAACAATGATTAAAAAAGAATGGAATACTTATAAATAAATTTTTAAAATAATTGTTGAAATAAAGATCTAAAAAAAATAAAAAGACATCCCATGTTCATGGACAAAAATATTTAATATTATTAAGATGGTAATACTCCTCAGATTAGCCTACAGATTCAACATAATTCTTACTAAAATCACAGCTGACTTCTTTGTAGAAATTGAGAAGCTGTTCCTAAAATTTATATAAAAATTCAAGAGACATTAAATAGCCGAAACAATCCTACAAAAGAAGAAAAAAAGTTGGAAGGCTCACGCTTCCTAATTTCAAAACTTCTACAAAGCTACAGTAATAACACAATATGGTATTGACACAGGATAGACATACAGATAAATGGAATAGAACTGAGAGTCCAGAAGAAAAAAAAAAAAAGCCATACATCTATGCCCAATTAATTTTTGACAAGAGTGCCAAGACCATTCAATGGGGGAAACAAGTCTTTTCAACAAATAGTGCTCAGGCAACTAGATATGCACATGCAAAACAATGAAGCTGTTAGGCTCTTACCTCACACAATATACAAATTTAGCTCAAAATGGATCAAATACCTAAATGTAAGAGCTAAGATTATAAAGTTCTTAGAAAAAAACATAGGTATACCTCTGTGACCCTGGGCTAGGCAATAGTTTTTAAAATATGACACCAAAGCATGAGCAACAAAGAAAAAATAAATTGGCTTTTACCAAAATTAAAATATTTGTGCATCAAATGACACTACCCCCTTACAATTCAAGAATAAGACGACAACCCAATTTTATTTTATTTTATTTATTTACTTATTTATTTGAGACAGAGTCTCACTCTGTTGCTCAGGCTGGAGTACAGATGCACAATCTCGACTCACTGCAACATCCCCCTCCTAGGTTCAAACAATTCTCCTGCCTCAGCCTCCTGAGCAGCTGGGATTACAAGCATGCACCACCACACCTGGCTAATTTTTATATTTTTAGCAGAGACGGGGTTTCACCATGTTGCCCAGCCTGGTCCTGAACTCCTGACCTCAAATGATCCGCCCTCCTCGGCCTCACAAAGTGCTGGGATTACAGGCATGAGCCACTGCGCCCACCCGGCCTAATAACCCAATTTTAAAGTGAGAAAAATTAATAACAATGTATTACATTCTTGAAAATCACTAAGAAAATAGATTTTAAGCGTTCTCACCAAAAAAAGTTAATGCATATATTAATAAGCTCAAATTAGCCAATGTATACATATTTCAAAACAACATGTTGTACATGATAAATATATAATTTTTAAGATTTTTTCATCATAAAAAGTTCACAAAAGCCTTGAATAGGCATTTCTCCAAAGATATATTAATACTACTGTCTAGTAATCACATGAAAGGATGCTCAATGTCATTAGTCATCAGAGACATTTACTCAAAATCACAAGAAATACCAATTCATACCCACTAGGATGGCTTTATTAAAAAGACAGATAGGTACTGGCAAAAAAATTTGAAAAAATCTGAACCTTCATACACTGCTGGTAAAAATGAAAAAATGGTGCAGCCATCATGGAAAGCAGTTTGGCAGTTTCTTAGAAAGTTAAATATAGAGTTACCATATGACCCAATAATTCCACTCCTATGTATAGACAGACCCAAGAGAAATGAAAACATCTGTCTATACAAAAACTTGTACATGAATGTTCACAGCAGCATTGTTCATGACAGTCAAAATGTGGAAATGACACAAATATCCATCAACTAATGAATAGATAAACAAAATGTGATATATCCATAAAATGGAATACTATTCTGCAATAAAAAGGAACTCGGGAGTTCGAGACCACCCTGGCCAACATAACAAAACCCCACCTCTACTAAAAATACAAAAAATTAGCCTGGCGTGGTGGCACACTCCTGTAGTCCCAGCTACTCATGTGGTGAGGCATGAGAATCACTTGAACCCAGAAGGCGGAGGTTGCAGTGAGCCAGGATCGCACCACTGCATTCCAGCCTAGGTGATAGAGTGAGACCCTGTCTCAAAAACAAAACAAACAAACAAACAAAATGAACTTTGTTAACCGAATTTTTTCTCAATTTTTTTAAGAAATATAATGAGGACCCAGGTTTTAAGAATTTGGATTTCGGCCGGGTGCGGCAGCTCACGCCTGTAATCCCAGCTCTCCGGGAGGCCGAGGTGGGCGGATCAAGAGTTCAGGAGATCGAGACCATCCTGGCTAACATGGTGAAACCCTGTCTCTACTAAAAACACAGAAAATTAGCCAGGCGTGGTGGCGGGCACCTGTAGTCCCAGCTACTCGGGAGGCTGAGGCCGGAGAATGGCGTGAACCTGGGAGGCAGAGCTTGCAGCGAGCCGAGATCATGCCACTGCACACCAGCCTGGGTGACAGAGCGAGACACCATCTCAAAAATAAAAAGAATTTGGATTTCATCCTAAAACCCATGGATACTACTAAAGGATTATTTAAGCAAGTGATAAGTTTGGATTTGTATTTTAGGAAGATAAACCCTGCGCAACACAGTGCTATAAATGCCTAAACTTTTTTTTTTTTTTTAGTTTCGCTCTTGTCGCCCAGGCTAGAGTGCACTGGCAAGAGCCTGGCTCACCACAACCTCCACCTCCTGGGTTCAAGCATTTCTCCTTCCTCAGCCTCCTGAGTAGCTGGGACTACAGGCACACGCCACCAAGCCTGGCTAATTTTTTTGTATTTTTTAGTAGAGATGCAGTTTCACTGTATTGCCCAGGCTGGTCTTGAACTCCTGACCTCAGGTGATCCACCCACCTTGGCCTCCCAAAGTGCTGGGAATACAGGCAGGAGCCACCATGCCCAGCCCTAAACTTTTAATATGTAATGTAGTTACATTACATTACATATTAAAAGTAATTATATACATATTTAATATGTAATTACATTACATATTAAAATACATATTACATTAAAATAGTTATTACATTAATATGTAATGTAATGTAAATTTAGCAACACTTGAGTTGTTCTGAAGCTTATGCTAATAAAATCCTGGTTTCTTGCTACATTCTAAGTATGTTTGCCAAGTAATTTTCCTCTGGGTACATACTTTTATTTTGCTTATTTAAGAAGCACTCATATAGCACTTACTATGTGTCAAGCACTATTCCAAATGCTTTAGAAATATTAACTCATCCATTCCTCGTTACAGTTCTATAAGTCTATTATTCCTATTTTACAAGAACAAACAGTCACAGAAAGGTTAAGTAACTTGCCTAAAAATCACACAGCCAGTTAGTAATGCATGTTTTTGAACTGGGTTTTTATTTACAACCCTGATAAATATGTGGGACTTCTGATCTGCCTATTATCATCTTTACCATTTTTTAATTTCTAAAAATAGCACTTCTGTGCATCTGTTCTCAATTTAGTATGCACTATTTTTTTTCTGTGCAGAATTTATAGTGTTAATTCTATCCATCCTTGTGAAGTTTGGTTAAAAAATACTTTCAAGGAAGTGTTTTTTTAGTTTTTATTTACCATAGTTTACACTGTAAGTATGTTGTTTGTATTTACTGTAATACAGTGGTAATTTAGTTAACTTAATGACATTCTGTCTTTCAACTACCTAATTACCTAGTTTTAAAAAAAAGCAATAATTAGTTTTTTAAGGAATTAAGAAGTCATTTTATCCAAAGTATCTATAATTCAAATATTACATATAAATTCTCATCCTGTACCCAATATTATAGGCAAAAATTCACTAAGAAAATGAAAAGTTCTTTAAAAATAATTATAAAATTACATCTGTGTTTATTTTCCCATCCATTCACCCTACGTTAGCCCAATATTCCAGAGAATATAATTTAATAACAGACACAAAAAAGAATACAGAAAAATGTCTTGGAGTTCACAATATAATTTTATTAAAACTTATGGCCAGGCGCAGTGGCCGGCGCCTGTAATCCCAGTACTTTGGGAGGCTGAGACAGGCGGATCACAAGGTCAGGAGTTCCAGACCAGCCCGGCCAATATGGTGAAACCCCGTCTCTACTAAAAATATAAAAAGTTAGCCAGGTGTAGTGGTGCAGGCCTGTAGTCCCAGCTACTTGGGAGGCTGAAGCAGGAGAATCACTTGAGCCTGGGAGGAGGAGCTTGCAGTGAGCCGAGATTACGCCACTGCACTCCAGCCTGGGTGACAGAGCCAGACTCCGTCTCAAAAAAAAAAAAAAACTTATTCAGATGCAACTTTTATAGTGTTTCTAAAGTTCTTACAAATGTCAATTATCAAGGTGTTTATAAGTTGAATATTGACATTTGGGAAAATTAATTTATTATTCATTCCATTTTACCATAGTATTTTTTTTCAAGTAAAATCTTTGTTTCAGTGTTTCAGAATGACAATCCAACAAGTTGCTACTTATAAACTGGAGAAAAGAAAAACATTAACAAATTCACAACTCCATTGTAAAGGATAGCTATTTGTTGGCTTAAGTCTGTGTTTGGCTTATGGTCACTGTCATAAGACACACTTAAACACGAGTTTTATTGACTTAGATGACTGTAATGAAAACTTTAATTCAAACAAATAATTTGAGTTATGTAATCAGTCTTCTACCAACAAATTTTAAGTGTTCTATTGAATTGCTAATAAAAGCATTTTAATGCCTAATATCTCAAACTAGCTATCAGAATACAGTATATATATGACTATGGGCACATCTGAATTTTACTCAAAATTAGTATTTATGATACATAGTTAAGCACAAGATAGTACTCACTTGTAAGGGACCAAAAACTCATATTCTGTTTTCACCTTTATGCTTAACTATAGAAACTATATATCGGAGTACAGTCGTCCCTTGGTATCTGTTGGAGATGGGTTGCAGGACTTCCCGCAAAATTTCCAGATGCTCAAGTCCCTAATATAAAATGGTTTTGTATTTGCATATAACCTATGCACATCCTCCTATATACTTTAAATCATCTCTAGATTACTTATACCTAATACAATGTAAGTGCTACATAAATAGCTGTTACACTGCATCACTTAGGGAATAACAACAAGAAAAAGAAGTCTGTACATGTTCAGTACAGGTAAAAAAAAAAATTTTTTTTTTGACACAGGGTCTCACTGTCACCCAGGCTGGAGGGCAGTGGCACGATCTCTGCTCACTGCATCCTCTACCTCCTGGGTTCAAGTGATCCTCCCACCTCAGCTTCCCAAAATAGCAAAATATCACTATTCATATAGCTTACATTAATACTGTTTCTTCTGTTGCCCAGGCTGGAGTGCAGTGGCAGAATATATATAACCCGTGTCCTTTATAGAAGTATAGAAATGCACCCATTTTAAATGTTCTATGAGTTTTTTTAAAAAGTATGTATGTTTGTGTAATCACATGGTCAAGACAGAGAACATTTCAATCATTCCGTAAAGCTACTTTTGGTCCTTTGTAGTTAATCCTGCCCACTCCAGCCCCAGGCAACTACTGATCTGCTTTTTCTTACCATAGGTTTGTCTTTTAAAGAACTTCACATAAATGGGTCTATACAGTGCGTACTCTTTACCTTTTTGTTGTCGTTCAAGCACCACAACCTTCTAAAAGGGAACACAGTATTTTTAAAACTGGGTATAAAGGTAATAAATTTTTTGTTCTTTTATAGATTCCTATATTATTCCATAATATAGCCAACCATATATTTTTCATGTATATGTGCAAGTATAGGTTACTTAGCCATAATAGTGTTATTTATTCATTCACTCAAGATGAATTTACACATAGGTTCTGGCCCATGTTGCTTATAGCTTATTAGAAGAGACTAAACCACAGGGGGAGGGTTAACTTCTAAACTACAATTTACAATAGCAAACCTCCTTTATAGACGTTTGTTTTCAGAAGAAGGGAAATAGAGAAAGGATACAAGATGCCATAGCAGAACAACAAAATGTATAGACTACCGTGAGAAAACGGATACACGGGGTGAAAGGGGCAGATTAAAAAAGACAAAGCAGAAAGAACCAAAGTAAATTAATAAAGGCTCTATGCAAAATACCACTATTCACATAGCTCACATTAGTACTATTTCTTCTGTTGCTCATCTCTTCTTGAATTTACTTTGTCTCTGAAACATACTAGCAGAAATAGGGAACAATGGCATCCATGCTTCCATAAAACTACTGCCAAAGAAATCAAGAGCCCCACGGCACCTTCATTTCTAAAGTAATTCCCCTTAGGTGGTGGCTTCTGCTTAGCCTTCTCCTACTTTTCACTTCTGAGTCCCATCATCAGCCAGGAGAGAGGTATTTCTTGACCTCCTGGGCTCATGTGATCCTCTCACCTCAGCCTGCCTCCCAAGTAGCTGGGACTACAGGTGCGTAACACCATCCCTGGCTAATTTTGGTAGAGAGGGGGTTTTGCTACGTTGCCCAGGCTGATCTCGAACTCCTGAGTTCAAGCGATCCGCCCACCTCAGCCTCCCAAAGTGCTGGGATTACAGGCGTGAGCCACTGAGCTAGGCCAACATAGGTGTTTTGATCAGCCATCACTTCCTCTAAATGTTAAAGACACTCACCAAAGCCAGGCAATGATTTGCTAATTTTGAGTATTAAAATCTTCCCCAAAAGAGTCATAATCATATTCTTTATGAATTTTTGTATGTAGTTTATAAAATTTGTCTCATTACTTTATGGAAGCTGCTTAGTAAAGAATCCTACACAAACTATTCTTTTTATACCATCTGAACAATGGTGTAATCTTATTAGGGCCCAAAGTATAAATGCCAATTTCAAACGTTCTTTTTTTTTTTTTTTTTTTTGAGACCGAGTCTCACTCTGTCGCCCAGGCTGGAGTGCAGAGGCGCCATCTCCGCTCCCTGAAAGCTCCACCTTCCGGGTTCAAGCCATTCTCCTGCCTCAGGGGACTACAGGTGCCCGCCCACCACGCCCAGCTAATTTTTTTGTATTTTTTTAGTAGAGACGGGGTTTCACCATGTTGGCCAGGATGATCTTGATCTCCTGACCTCGTGATCCGCCCACCTCGGCCTCCCAAAGTGCTGGGATTACAGGCGTGAGCCACCGAGCCCGGCCTCAAATGTTCTTACTGACTGTTAAGACAGTCAATATAATCTCACAGCTCTGGGGTAAAACTGGTGAAGTTCAAATTCCAGCCTCATCCACGAGATATGTGCCCTTGGGAAAATTAGTAGATCCCTCTGTACCTCAGTTTGTTCATTTACGAAATAGGGATACTGGTACTACATCGCAGGATTTTTCTAAGAGTTAAATGTGAAAAATATATGTAAAATGGTGTTAAACATAAACTGCTTGACATATAAATTGCTCAAAAAAGGTTTTCAATTATTACTAACACTGAATTTATTCTTTTGACTAGCATGTCCTACAAAGATTGCCTCAGGTACAGTTTTTTTTATTAAAACTAAATTTTTTTCTTCTCTTGCTTTATTTATTTATTTTATTATTATTATTTTTTAAGACAGGGTCTTGCTCTGTTGCCCAGGCTGGAGTGCAGTGGCATGATCCCATGATCATGCAGGCTCAATGCAGCCTTGACGTCCTGGGCTCAGATGATCCTCCCACCTCAGCCTCCTGTAAAACTAATTTTATAAAGATAAGCATAATCAGCCAGGCCCAATGGCTCACACCTGTAATCCCAGCACTTTGGGAGGCTGAGGCGGGCGGATCACCTGAGGTCAGGAATTCAAGACCAGCCTGACCAATAAGGTGAAACCCTGTCTCTACTAAAAACACAAAAATTAGCTGGGCATGGTGGTGTGCACCTGTAGTCCCAGCTACTCATGAGGCTGAGGCAGGAGAATTGCTTGAACCCAAGAGACGGAGGTTGCACTGAGCCCAGATCGCACCACTGCACTCTAGCCTAAGCAACAGAGAGACTCCGTCTCTAAATAAATAAATAAATAAATAAGCATAATCAACAACTTAGCTCACTATTAGAAACTTTTCTGTTCTTCTCTCATCTTCAAAACTAAATACCAAATTCAGTAAAAGACTAATCACAGTGTTTCCTGAATGAAAAAGAAGTGATAAACATTCATGGGTGGGAAGCAATAATGATCATTACCTATTTACCACATAAATGTTAAAAATAAAAGAGAATGGGCTGGGCACGGTGGCTCATGCCTGTAATCCCAGCAGTTTGGGAGGCTGAGGGAGGCAGATCACCCGAGGTCAGGAGTTCGAGACCATCCTGGCCAACATGGTGAAACCCCATCTCTACTAAAAAAATACAAAAAATTAGCTGGACATGGTGGTGCGTGCCTGTAATCCCAGCTACTTGGGAGGCTCTGGTGGGAGAATTGCTTGAACCTGGGTGACAGAGGTTGCAATAAGCCAAGATTGTGCCACTGCACTCCAGCCTGGGTGACAGAGCACGACTCCGTTTCAAAAACCAAAAAAAAAAAAGAGAAAAGTATATATTTTTCAAAAGCTATTAAGAACAAATAAAAGTAACTGAACTCTCATGTAACAAATGTTTAGTTCAAATGATTAAATATATATATCCTTTATTACATCAAGTTTATTTATTCTGAAAGCTAGATCCATTATCTGTAGTTAACTCATAGAGGAAATCTCTACCTTTTCACTCAAGTACATAATTATCATTGGTCTTATACTCTGTTAGTTTATTTAAACTTGACTTTTATTAACACAAAAGCAAACAGAAGACACAGCAACCTTCTTTGCGTAACTTGAAATAAAATCTTAGCAACAGCAAGAAAAGACAATAATACAAATTAATAAGCAACATTTCTATTGAAAAATGTCTTTTACCTCTCTAAAGTTAAAAGGTCTATATCCTATGCCACTGAATAATCTTTATTTTTTTCTAGTTACCTGTTACTCTTAATATAAAATATACTCTGAGGAGTCAACTTTTTCATATAAAAAGTGTCTGTTTTGGCCGGGCGCAGTGGCTCACGCCTGTAATCCCAGCACTTTGGGGGGCCGAGGTGGGTGGATCACCTGAGGTCACGAGTTCGAGACCAACCTGACCAACATGGAGAAACCCTATCTCTAATAAAAATACAGTATTAGCCAGGTGTGGTGGTGCGCCCTTGTAATCCCAGCTACTTGGGAGGCTGAGGCAGGGAAATCGCTTGAACCTGGAGGTGAAGTTGCGGTGAGCTGAGATTGCACCATTGCACTCCAGCCTGGGCAACAAGAGCGAAACTCTATCTCAAAAAAAAAAAAAAAAAAAAAGTGGCTGTTTTTTATATATAATACTAATCACACTGGGAAATGTTTTTCTGTACTACCACTTTGAAATTTTAGGGGACTCCTGGAATAATCAGAGTCAAGAGTAAATTAAAATCAGGCCAAGAACCACTGGATTAGAATATGAATTTATATCCTTTTATTTTAAATAAGCAATAGAATTCCAGTATTGAGTGAAAATAATGAAAGCAGAGTTTAGGAAGGGACACAAAAACAGGTGGTAAGCAATCAGAAAGAGATGGATCTAAAGACAAGAAGCTGGGATGAACTAGGTATGACTTTTGACATGTTTGAACTTCATTATTTCCATAATACTTTTAGTTTACTAGACATGGATCCACAGAGATTATTAGATACTAAACAAGAAAAGAATTCAATAGATTATTTTTCATGTTAAATGTTTTCAAAAAATCCTTTCCAAAAAGGTATCTTTGTACATAAAATATTATAGGCATTTATGATCTATGATATAACAAGGGCCCTAGGAAGAAATATAAATCAGAAATATTCTATAAAGTCAATAAAACATTGCTACTATGTTTAGGATTTTCCATTTTTGCACTATGAAGTATAATTCTGGATGGTACCATATCAAATAGATTAGCAGTAGTAAAAAAAAAATCATAGTTTATTTTCTCTTAACTCATTGTCATATTTCACATTTTCTTTTAAAAATCTTCCGGTCTTAAATGTTTAATTTAAACAAAGATTGTGGCCGGATGCGGTGGCACATGCCCGTAATCCTAGCACTTTTGGGAAGCCATGGAGGGTGGATCATGAGGTCAAGGGATCGAGGCCACCCTGGCCAACATGGTGAAACCCTGTCTCTACTAAAAATACAAAAATTAGCTGGGTGTGGTGGCACGCGCCTGTAGTCCCAGCTACTCAGGAGGCTGAGGCAGGACAATCACTTAAACCCAGGAGGCAGAGGTTGCAGTGAGCTGAGATCATGCCACTGCACTCCAGCCTGGCAACAGAGTGAGACTCTGTATCAAAAATAAATAAATAAATAAATAAATAACAAAGATTATATCAGATCAGCATTTAGCTCTTATTTAACCAGTTCTTTCATTTGATATATAATCTCTTAACTCATGCTTTTAAAATCATTAAAATTGTTAAATCTATTGTTTATATTTATCTATTTTTCCAATTTGTTTATACTCTTATTTTTCCTGTTTTATCTATGATTTTTCTATAATCTTATATTTCTCTATTTCTAGAATGATTCATTCAGTTTCATTTCTATCTTAGTTTTTCATTTGCCAAAATGAATAGTTTTCATTATAGAATGTACAACAAATGGTGCCTTTTCTCTGCAGCTGAATTTTTTTCCCAGGCACTTCAAAAAGGAATCCTAGCCTTCGAATTTGAACTTACTAATGGCAAACAATTTTATTTAAAAAAAATATATAAACCATGTTCTTTAAAGATGGAAAATACAAAAATAGAATTGAAAAATAGAAAATCAGTGATGTATACTTTTGTTCAGGATTTTTGTAACACAAGTTACTTTGAATATAATTGTAACAGCATAATTTTTATTTACTTATTTTATTAAGAGTGTCACATGTTAATTATGGGGTTACCAGAAACATCATTTAATGGCCATGTATTATAACATTAATTAATTAGCCAGGACCCTTTTCCCATTGTCAGGCAATCATCGTATTAAATTTAAAAAGAGGTTGCAAGAAAGACTAGCACTGTTTTGATAGGAAGGTTAAATGCAAACTCAGTTGAATAGTAGACATTTTGAATCTACTTCTAAAGTTTAATAATACCCAAGCGCAGGCCAGGTGCGGTGGCTCACGCCTGTAATCCCAGCACTTTGGGAGGCTGACGCAGGCGGATCACGAGATCAGGAGATCGAGACCATCCTGGCTAATATGGTGAAACCCTGTTTCTACTAAAAAATCCAAAAAAAATTAGCCGGGCGTGGTGGCAGTCGCCTGTAGTCCCAGCTACTCAGGAGGCTGAGGCAGGAGAATGGCGTGAACCCAGGAGGTGGAGCTTGCAGTGAGCCGAGATCGTGCCACTGCACTCCAACCTGGGCGACAGAGCAAAGACTCCATCTCAAAAAAATAATAATAATAAATAATAATAATAATACCCAAGTGCAGGTTTTCCAACCTTGTTTCCCCCCAAAAAAAAAATTTAAATTTGGAAAACGTACGTTCTATAAAAAAATTAAATTATATCACACCAATTACTTAAATTCCCCTCACTCTGGGCCAAGTTTTTAAATACTATTTATAGATGAAAATCTAGACTACTGATGTAAAACATGCATACATAAATATTACTAGACAGAACTTGATAGTATATACCATTGGGAGTTAGTACAGCACAGTAGTCAAGAGGCTAGGCTAAAGTGAGACTACCTGGGTTGGAATTCTGGTTCTACAATTTACTAGCTTGTGACTCTGGGTGAGTTATGCCTTCAATTGCTCATCTCTAAAGTAGGATAATAATAACCATCTCAAAGGGTAGTCAGGAGAATTCGCTGAGTTCTTATTTTGTTTGTTTGTTTGTTTGTTGTTGTTTTTTTGAGACAGAGTCTCACTCTGTCACCCAGGCTGGAGTTCAGTAGAGTGATCTTGGCTCACCACAACCTCTGTCTCCCAGATTCAAGGGATTCTCCTGCCTCAGCATCGCGAGTAGTTGGTATTACAGGTGTATGCCACCATGCCTGGCTTTTTTTTTTTTTTTTTTTTTTTTTTTTAGTAGAGATGGGGTTTCACCATGTTAGCCAGGCTGGTCTCAAACTCCTGACCTCAAGTGATATGCCCACCTCAGGAGTTCTTATTTGTAAAGTTCTTGGCACACAGTAAACACTCTACAGCTAGCATTTAGTTTTTAAAAATTTTTTAACTTTAGCTAACATTTACTGAGCACTTAGCATGTGCTAAATTAAATGCTTTACACGAATTTGCCTCAAATAATCTTCACAAAAACCTAGGATGAGGCACTATTATTGCTCCCGTTTAAAGATGAGAAAATTGAAGCAAAAAAGATTAAATTATTAGGCTAAGGCCATACAAGTAAATGTCAGAGCAACAATATGAACTCCAATCTAGCAGCATGGCCTACAATTTCAACATAGGTTATAGGATATACTATATACTAGAAGCGGTAGCCTCCTGCAGCACTCTGTCTTGAAAAGAGGGCAGGAGAGTCACAAGAGACTTTGCTGAAATAAACTAGAATATTCCAAGAAATAGTTTATAAACTATACAGAGTAATTAAAAATTAATACAATAATTATATTAACAATTAAATTATATCAATAATAATTAATATAAGAAAGTCACTGTAATACAGAAATACTTATGTATGAAGTGATCTGATGTTTGATATTTGTTTTAAAATAATCCAGCTTGAGAGAGAAGAAGGGATAAAAGAAGCAAGATTAGATACTGGTTAAACTGTGGTGATGGGTATATGGGGCTTATTTTATTCTCTCTACTTTTATGTATTCTTTAAAATGTCAATAATAAAAAAGAAATAGCAATGAGGTGGCACAGATTAGACACTTCATTACAGAAGCAAACAACTTTTTTAAGACACCCTGTCTCAAAACATTTTAAAGGGCATGACAGAATTGATACTTATACATGTTATATTTTATATATAATTTCTAAAAGGGTAGCCTTACTTTAAATGAGAATCCCCTTAACTAAAATGAAAAATTAACGAAAGTATTTAGGCATAAACATGTAAATAAACATGCTAAATGGTTGTCTGTATTTCCATCAGCTCACTAAAAATATTTGCTTAAATAATTAACACTCATTTTTTTCTTCATGTCTTTCTCCTCCCTGATCATCTCTATGATTATGACACTCTATGGTTTGTTGTCCAGGAAATGAGATGGGTTTGTACAGACAAATATGTCTCTACAACATGGTCACAAATTGAATATGAATAAAAACCAGAAATCTGCTTCACTAAGAAACACTGCTAAAAATTTCTCACTTCAAATTGTAGTTTTAAAAATATTTGATTTTCATACTAATGTATATCTATGGGCTTCTTACACGTACAAAACAAATTTAACCAATTATTTATTTGAGAACATTTTATATGCTCTAAATTATACTGTTAAAAAAATTTAGCTGATACTAAAGGAAAAAACTAACATTTATTAAGCTAGACGCTATGCTAGGCAATTTAATACACATTAGCTCACTAAATTTAAGAGACAGCTACATTTTAACAGGAAGAATATTAAAGTTTAGAGAGGTAAAATCACTTGCCCGAAGTCACAGAACTAATAAGGAGCTAAGTTGGTATTCAAATTTAAGCTCAACTACAAAACCCACTTGCCCCCCACTATCCCGGACTACCTCCAAGGGAGGCAAAAATCTTCTCAAGTCAAACTTAAATATTTAGGGCCTTTTTAAAGTAGACCATAAAATGTTTGTTACTGGTTACATGTGTATTTCACGGTGGCCGCTTTGCATAAAGAGCACTAACTGAAACGCAGAAAGTATTATTTCTTCTACTGTGGGACTTTTTTTTTTTTTTGGTTTCTTAATTTCAGCCTTAGTTTCTCTTCTCTACAATGGGGAAATTAGTACCTTTGCTGTCCAATTCCAAAATTATAAAGATTTAAAGATGATATATGTGAAATCACTTCAAAATCTACAAAAACACAAGACTATTTTATGTCTTAAAATGTTAAAACACACACACACACAAAGCCAAAAGTTTTCTAAAGTAAGTGTAAGCTGTTTAAACTAATCTACAGACTCTATTAACATTTCCAGAACTTTCTAAACCCCTTTCTTCTAAGCATAGCTCAATCATCATCGCTATTACTTGGCTTTCCTTACCCTTAAGTATAATGCAATAACAATGGCATCAATGCTTTTGCAATAAATAATTAACATATTTTGAAATGCTCAGCATATAAATGTTCTAAATTCTGAATTTTCAAACTAATTATGTGTTTGGTGTCACTCTTTTATATTCATGTTAATGTTTGGGCCTTTTCACATTCTATTTTGTGTATAAAAAGCTAAAATGAAGGTCTGGAATTCTAAAGTAGAACACTCAACACATAATTTAAAATGATTTTTTTTTCAATGTTTCTCAAAGCAGATAGAACAGCCAACAAGCACATCAAACGCAGCAACAAAACCCATTGAAACATTCAGCTGCTCTAAAAGAAGGATCAGACTCTTTAGGAGAAAACTACATTGTGTGAGTTTGCAAAGTTTCATACTTTCCCATTTAAACTCCATTTCAGAGAAAGCCTTTGCATACTAACACAATATGCTTTAAAATGGTACTTTGCTGACCTTCCAATAGTCCAGCTCTATGAAAATTCTGTGATGGGTGTAACTTCAGAGAATCTGAAAAACACAAAAAGCATTAGGTACTTTTTATGCTGAATGAGGAAAAAAATGCCAAGGATAGCATACATCTCTTATATAACTGCAATGTGTGTGTGTGTATATATATATATATATACACACACACACACACACACACACACACACATATATATATATACACACATACATTTTGAAACGGAGTTTCGTTCTTTTTGCCCAGGCTGGAGTGCAATGGTGCGATCTCGGCTCACCGCAACCTCCGCCTCCCGGATTCAAGTGGTTCTCGTGCCTCAGCCTCCCGAGTAGCTGGGATTACAGGCATGCACCACCACGCCCGGCTAATTTTGTATTTTTAGTAGTGACGGGGTGACGGGGTTTCTCCAAATTGGTCAGGCTGGTCTCAAACTCCCGACCTCAGGTGATCCAACTGCCTCGGCCTCCCACAGTACTGGGAATACAGGCGTGAGCCACTGCGCCCGGCCAACTGCAGTGTATTTTTAAGCGCTAAAGCCCATATTTGTGAATATATTCCCCGCAAAAGAGGCTGAATTGTCTCTACATTGGTCTCGAAGCTAAACTTAGATTTTCATAAAGTATATGTTTCATGGAAAATTATCTGATGATTACTCCCCAAATGGTGTTAATGTCTTGGCTATTTTTAGCACTCAATTCTAACACATTAGCCCTGCTCTAAGAATCATCTCTTGATATGTCTCTTTTTTTTTTGACATTCAAAACTACAATATTTCTAAAGTACCTCAGGTAATGTTGCCCGAAAAACATCCTACAGGATGGTGGCTGCCAACTAAAGTCATTGGAGCAACAGACAGTGGCTACAATTACTAAGTAGGACTCTGTGTACAAAATCAATGGTCAGTCTGTAAAGTCCAGCACCTTTCAGAGTAAACCATCTCACTCTGATTCACTTAAACAATTTAGATACACTAGTAGGAAGGTGAAGTCCCTTTTTTGGAGGGGGTGGAATAAGCAAATGGATGGATACATCAAACCAAAAGCAGAAGAAACACCTACATTTTTTTTTACACGGTGAAATGAATAGTTAACAACCCAGTTATGTCTTTTGCCCCCTCCCGGTGGTTTAAAAAGCGTAAAGAGCGCAGTGGGAATATTTTGGTTTTGAAGCCCCTTGCACAGGGAACCTGTTCTGACACATTCTTGTGGTGTCCAGTAAAGGAATTTCACCTGAGTAGGGATCAGCTCCAGTGCTAATATTTCAGATGCTGGGAATCCCCTGCAGGCCTTAGCCAAAAGAGTTCTTAAATGAAAAGTCTCTGCCTGAGCTCCCTCCCTGCAACCAGCCCTTGAACGGAAAAGCAGAGAAAATTCTCAAAGGACAGCGTCTGTGCCTGGGCTGGTCCTCCTGGGAGAGGAGAGGAATAAAACCAATCCAGAGAGGGCACCCCCATCTTTGTAAAGGAGAAGGGAGAAGTAATTAGAATGCCACGGAGGTGGGAAGAGAAAAAAAAAGAAAAGAAAATTCGGGCCCTTTCCATCGGGCCCTTTCCAGCAAGAAGATGACGAGGAAAGGAAGAACGCCTGGTCGAGGGGGGCTGTCCCAACATGGGGAGGGAGTGGACTAGGCCGGAGGGAGAGGGGGTGGAACGACGGCGCAAAAACAAGCTGGAAAGGGAGGAAAATGGTGACCCTGCACTCAGAACCGGCTCCAGGCCACGCCGCCCGCTTGGGGGCAACTTTGCTGGGGAGGAGGGTCCCGGTAAGAGAAGACGCGGCGCCCCGATCGCGGTGGCCCCAGCGCGGGGCCCAGTCTGGGGCCATCCCCGAGCCCGGGAGGCCGGGGCCGGCGGCTCGCGGAGCCTGGCGGGGCCGGACGGGCTGAGAGCGGCTAGAAGCGACCGGTGCCGCAGAGCCCCGGGGGCCGACGGAATCTGGGCCCCGAGCGGCCGGCGGCTCCGCGGGGGAGGGGCCGCCACTGCTCCGCCCGCCCCCTCCACCGTCACCCCGATCCCTTCGGCCTCTGCCCGCTCCGGCCAAAGAAGCCATGGGGGTCGCGGCTCAGCCGCCCCCGGCGGGACGGGGACCCCTCGCCTCCCCTGGCCCTGTCTCCCTGTCTCCCTGTCTCCCCGCCCCCACGCCCCACCCCCCACAGCCTGACTCACCTCGCGAGTAGAGGGACTTGGGCGATTCCAGGTCTAGGTCCGCGCTGAGCAATGAGATGAAGTCCGAGGGCATCGCAGCTCGACCCAGCCCGGCCCGAGGGCAGCGGGAGGGGGGGAGCGGCGGTGGCGGCGGCACCTCCTCTCCGGGACCGCGGGCACCGAACCGGGGGCGGCGACGCGAGGGCGGCTGCCGCTGCCTCCTCCTCGAGGGTAGTGACTTCCACTGGGCCGAGGACCGAGGAAACGATGGCGAGGTGGAGGGGGAACTCCACGGGGACTGATTCTCGGTGACCAGGAGAGGGGTTCAGGACGGGGAAGGGGAAGGGGGAGAGCCAAAGGGTCCGTTTCGTGTTTCTCCTCAGCGAAAACTGACGGTCGCCGCCACCGCCGCCGCCGCTGACAGGAATCTGAGCCCCGCCCCCGTGGGGCACAGCGCAGGCGCGGAGGGGGGTGCCCGGGAGCGCGGAAGAGCCGTGGCGGCCCCCGGAGGGCGGGGAGGCGCGCCAGGGAACAGCAGCAACATGGGCCTCGCTTCCTGCCGGCGCGGCCCGGGCTGCTGCTGTTCCTGAGCCGGGAAAGGGCCCCGCTGCCAGGGTGGGAGGGGGGGAGGCTGGGAGGTGGCCGCGCGCTGGGGCCCCGGGGAGGGAAAAGGTATTTGCAACGACCTGGTGGCGGCGAGCCTGAGGCGGCCGGCCCCGAGCAGAGCTGAGCGCAGGAGACAGAGCCGAGAGAAGCGAGAGGTCTGCGCGAGCCGGGGACGGACCCCAGAGGCCGGCGGCGGACGGGCCTGGCTGGCCCGGGGTCTCGCAGGGGACCGGAGTGTCATCGCCCGGACAGCCGCCAACCCTTTGGGGTTTGCATAGCAGTGTGTACAAAGGGACTGTCAAACCCATTTCTTAATTAGGAAATGGCAAACCGTATCCCAAAAACCTCGAGTTATTGATTTTTAATTAAAGTACTTTCTCCCCTAACACTCCCCTCCTACCTTTGGAGGCTGAAATTTTTTTTAAAAAAAACGATCTCTCTGATTGTGCTGGGGCATCCGGGTTATTCGGAGTGGGACATAGAAGACAATTAAAAAATTGGATCATGTGAATCCACCTGGCTGTTCTAGAGGAAAAACAGGTAAAAAGCAAACCTCAACGCTACTCTTCCAAACAGTTTTTCTTTTTTCTGTTTCTTTTTTTTTCCTTTTGGACTAGGCAAAGATGGAGGAAGAACGCATTTAACTGAGTTTTTGCTCTTGCTTTTCTGTTCGTGGAGCCAAAAGTTTCCGTTGCAAAAATTTAAAATCCTCACCCACACCGCAGAGCGTTTTCTGATTCTAATAGACTTCTGAGAAATTTTTAATCAAGTTATTGAAATATTACCTGGAGTGCAGGGTGTGCATCTTGGGAAGTAATTTTAATCTTGTGTGGAATATTGATGCCAGTAGCCACGTGGGCATGGTTTTTAAGCTATTCGAATGGTTTCGTTTTTTATCTACAAGGATAGTTACAACTCATGAAAATCAGTCTGTTGTAATATGTGTATGTGTATATATATGCACACATATATATACATACATATATACACACATATATACATATATATATAATTATAGAGACTTTTTC
This sequence comes from Homo sapiens, assembly GCF_000001405.40. Classification (NCBI taxonomy): domain Eukaryota; kingdom Metazoa; phylum Chordata; class Mammalia; order Primates; family Hominidae; genus Homo; species Homo sapiens. Next base: position 69,564,761 of record NC_000016.10, on the reverse strand, counting down.
CCATGAAATTGAGCAGTTCTCGGGACTTGGAGTGCTAGGGTTGGGGTAAGAAGCTCTCAGCAAAGGAGGGCCCAGTACAGATGTCGCTGAGGCAAGGCCCTTTACAAAGTTTTACCTGTAGACCTAGAATTTAAACGTGTGTCATCAGAGCTCACCTATCTTTCATCTCAACATTTGATTCAGGTTGCCCAGTTGTCTTCACTGAATTGTGTGTAGTAATCAATCCTGTGAACATTTTTCTTTTGTCGGAGGTTCAGAAAGCTTTTCAGAGCCACCCCAAGATGGCAAAGCAGAACAAGAAACTGCCCTCAAATTGCCATCTCTGCTGTATGGTGTCGTGACAAGTCCCAAGGGAAGTCCCTTCATAACTGATAAGAGCCCCACTCATTTGAGAGAGAAAGATTGAAACCTCACATTGCCCAACAGGCCAAGGCCTACTGAAATCCTATAGCTTCTGAATTGGAGTAAACACACCTCTTGGAGACCCCCCATACGCCACCCATTAGTCAGTATACAGGGTAGCAGAGAGGAAATGCGATTCACCACCCGATACTAAGAAAGTTGACTGAATCACTCTGAGCAGATCCCTTTTCCCCAGACCGATGTAATCACTTAACAAACTTAGGGTATAGGAAATCCCCAGTACGGTTCTGACCCTAATTAACTAGTCAAGAACTGGCAAGGCCTCTTCCTTTTTCTGTGAATCCTTCTCTGCCCTTTTGTGACCTTTTTATTCCCCGTTGAGGCTTTGTTGTATATGTTAATCAGATTTCCCCTGATTAGGTAAGAGCAAAGTGAAGAGAGGCCCACCAAAGTGTGGCTTGACCTAAACTGCGAATTCCCTGAGAGGGATTCTGTGGGCTCAGGCCTCACTTACCTCATTAGGTCCTGCATTAAGCACGGATTATATCTAAATAGGTATTTGAAAAATCAGTGTCCACTCCCACCCCCTGCACCTGTCTTCTTACAGAGATATATTCTCTTTTTTGTTTGTTTTTTTAAGATGGAATTTCACTCTTGTTGTCCAGGCTGGAGTGCAGCAGTGCAATCTCGGCTCACTGCAACCTCTGCCTCCCTGGTTCAAGTGATTCTTCTGCTTCAGCCTCCTGAGTAGCTGGGGTTACAGGCGCCCACCACCATGCCCGGCTAATTTTTTGTATTTTTAGTAGAGATGGGGTTTCACCATGTTGGCCAGGCTGGTGTCGAACTCCTGACCTCAGGTGATCCACCCGCCTTGGCCTCCCAAAGTGCTGGGATTACAGGCATGAGCCACGGCACCTGGCCTATATTCTTTTCTTTTCTTTTTTTTCTTTTCTATTCTTTCGGGTTTTTTTGTTTGTTTATTTTTTTGAGACAGGGTCTTGTTCTGTTGCCCAGGCTGGAGTGTAGTGGCAGCTTCATAGCTCAGTGCAGCTGCAGACTGAAACTCCTCCCGGGCTCAAAGTGATCCTTCACCTCAGCCTCCCAAGTAGCTGGGACTACAGGCACATGCCACCACACTCGGCTAATTCATTTTATTATTTATTTTTATTTTTTATTTTTTTGTAGAGACATGGTCTTACTATATTACCCAGGCTAGTCTTGAACTCCTTTTTTGCAGAGACATGATTTTGCTATATTGCCTAGGCTGGTCTTGGACTCCTGGCTTCAAGTGATCCTCCTTCCTCGACCTCCCAAAATGCGGAGATTAGAGGCATGAGCCATTGAGCCTGGCCCAAGACACCTTCTTTGAAAAACTGCTTAGTTGGCTAGTTTTCTTGGCCATACTTTGCAACAGCATAGAGACCTAGATTTTCATTTTGTCTTTCAAATTTCAGTGACGGAAAACACAAATAAATTCATTAGTAAATAGTGTTTGCTCTGCTCTAATCACAAAATAAAATGTGACCTGCATGATATTCAAGGTTATCAGAAATAAGTACCTGATCACTGTGTCATTAGTAAATTATATGCCATTCTTAGTTCCAATGATATTTCCCTCTGTGATCATTTACATCTCAGTTGCATCCCCTTTTCTTTGATGTTTGAAATAGTCTAATGATATATTTTTAAAACTACCCCTTCAACTGTATACCTTTATGAAACTTCCTCTGGCCGGCCGCAGTGGCTCGCACCTGTAATCCCAGCACTTTGGGAGGCTGAGGCAGGCGGATCACTTGAGGTCAGGAGTTCGAGACCAGCCTGGCCAACAAGGTGAAACCCTGTATCTACTAAAAATACAAAAAAAAGAAAAAAAATTAGCTGGGCATGTTGGCACGCACCTGTAGTGTACTTGGGAGGCTGAGGCAGGAGAATTGCTGGAACCCAGGAGGCAGAGGTTGAGTGAGCCAAGATCACACCACTGACTCCAGCCTGGGCAGCAAGGGTGAGACCCTGTCTCAAAAAATATATATATAAATAAAATAAAACTTCCTCTGTACACAACAAAAGGTAAAATTTGGAAATTTCCTCTTATTGAAAATTATAATGGGACCATGGAGCAAAACATACAGCAGATTTAGTAGTTTATAGAATTCCTTTATATTACTTCCCAATCATATATTACCTTCCCTAGTCACTTGATTAAAATTTCACAAGAACCCAGATTCAACTACAAGACTGTAGATTATGCAATAGAATGGCACTTTTTATATTGGTGGTGTGTACTTTAACCCCTCCTGGACTTGTTTAGGCACTTTGTGAATTGTGTAGCTGGATTGACTCTAAATGAAAGAGGTTCAAATATCAGCCACTGAAAAGGAATTAAATAAACTCATACAGAACAGAGTTTATTTAATCTTGCTGTCACAAGATCTACAAATCTTTGTCATTGTAATACAATTAAGGCTGTTAAAATAATTTTAGTCACACATATATTGTAAGGAACCTACTAAACAAACACAAAATCTGAAAGGAAAATTTCCAGAGTAATTCAAGTCAAAGACCAAAAAAAAGTTTAGACCACAATTATTTTTGCCCCACCATGGGAGCACTCCTTAATAATAATGGAGAATTGATAGTGGTGGGATATAGTAGTGACAGCATTTGTGCTGGAATTGTAATCAAATTCCTATTTGAATATGTTTAAGTGTCAATTTCCACCCGTATAACATGTTCTAGCAAATATTTCCTTTTTTTTTTCTCTTTGAGACAGGGTCTCACTCTGTTGCCCAGGCTGCAGTGCTGTGGTGTGAACACAGCTCACTACAGCCTCAACCTCCTAGGCTCAAGTGATCCTCCTGCCTCAGCCTCCTGAGTAGCTGTGACCACAGGTGTGTGCTACCATGCCTGCCTAATTTTTTTTTTTTTTTTTGTAGAGACAGGGTCTCACCATGTTGCCCAGGCTGGTCTCAAACTCCTAGATTCAAGCAGTCCTCCCTCCTCGGCCTCCCAAAATGTTGGAATTACAAGTATGAGCCACGGTGCCTAGCCTCACAAATATTTGTGAAGGCAAAATTAGTTTATATGCTATTTAGCATCAGGTTTCAAACATTCTCACCCCTGGCATCTTCTAAAGTGCCCAAATCTTAGCATCAGACATCCAATTCACTTTGTTCACTTTGATGGCATACTTCTTTAGTTTATGAGTTGGTCTCAGAGTTTGCATCTAAAGTCTTATAGAGACCAATTAAGTCTCTCAAGATCTAGAGTAATTGCAAGTCCTGAGAAACAGCACAATCATTTTGAATCTGAAGGACTCAGTGAGCAGGGAGAAAGGAGGTAAATACCAGAGCTTTTTTTTTTTTTTTTTTTTTTTTTTTTTTTTTTTTTTTTTTTAAGTAGAGACAGAGTTTTGCCATGTTAGTGGCCAGGCTGGTCTCAAACTCCTGACATCAAGTGATCCGCCCTCCTCAGCCTCCCAAAGTGCTGGGATTACAGGTGTGAACCAGCCAGTGCCAGAGCAGTATGAAGGATAAATTAAGGAGGAGAAATTTTAATGGGAAAATAGAAATAGTTGATCCCATTTAACCCAAGAAAGGAAGGAAGATAATGTCTCCAGATCATCACTAGGCAGGTTACACATGAAAACTGCAAGCAAGTCCTTATTCACACTGGCCTACCACCATTGTGTAGACCACCACATTGCATTTGCTACAATGCTCTTTCCTCCATGTAATCATGGTATCTATTATGTATAGTAACCCCACCTCAGCTGTGATATTAGTTTGACCAAGAGTATGAATTAGTAAAGATTGTACAATTTCTCATTACCCTCTCTCTTAATTCAGGGAGTTTTAACTCTGAGGTCCATGGGTTTGCTTCAAGGCATCTGTAATCTTCCTAAACTTATATGGAAATTTTGACAAACATCTAGTTTCTTGGGACAAAGGTTAAAATTTTGGACTTCTTAAGCTTTCTGAAAGAAAGACTCATCACCCAAAAAAGATGAAAAAACTATTCCTCTATATGTAGCAGAATCATTCTTCTCTTGTTCCACAGTGGGTGCCGGGAGTTGTGCTAGGTATAAGATATACAAACATTTTACACGGCCAGGGGCTGTGGCTCATGCCTGTAATCCCAGCACTTTGAGAGGCCAAGGTTGGTGGATCACTTGAGGCCAGGAATTCGAGACCAGCCTGGCTAACATGGCAAAACCCCGTCTCTACTAAAAATACAAAAAAAAAAATTAGCCGGGCGTGGTGGTGCGCACCTGTCCCAGCTACTTGGGAGGTTGAGGCATGAAAATCGCTTGAACTGGGGAGGTGGAGGTTGCAGTGAGCCAAGATGGAGCCACTGCACTCCAGCCTGGGCGACAGAGGGAGACTCTGTCTCAAATAAATTTTAAAAAGGATATAAAGATGTTTAAAAGATGAATATAAGAAGTACACTTAGCATTGTGATAGGTGCTATGCTAGAATTCTGTACAGATATCTAGAAATAAATGATCAGCTTGCTTTCTTAGTGACCTGCGAGCAGGGAAGGCGAAGGAACGTCATCTCACACACCACACTCTTTTCTCCTCCCGCTACCACAGCTGGTATCTCTTCACTTCAACCGCAGTTTCTTACAGGGGTCAAAAGAGGCTAGACAGCCCGGGCACGGTGGTTCATGCCTGTAATCCCAGCAATTTGAGAGGCCGAGGCAGGCAGATCACGAGGTCAGGAGTTTGAGACCAGCCTGGCCAACATGGTAAAACCCTGTCTCTACTAAAAATACAAAAATTAGCCGGTTGTGATGGTGGGCACCTGTAATCCCAGCTACTCGGGAGGCTGACGCAGGAGAATTGCTTGAACCCGGGAGGCAGAGGGAGAGGCTGCAGTGAGCCGAGATTGCACCACTGCACTATAGCCAGGGCAACAGAGCAATAATCCATCTCAAAAAAAAAAAAAAAAAGAAAAAAAAGGCTAAACAGTTGCAGGAAAAAGTCCTGACATACAAATGTTTACAGTGTGATGCATCACAGGTATTACTTGTTGATGCAAAGAGTCCATGAAATACCTGGGCTTCACTGGACTTTGTCAGTGGATGGTCAAAGAAACATTGAGTGTCTTTTTTTCAGCTTTGTGGAGGATTATGGTTCAACACTTAAGTTAAGGATGCAATGATAAAATAATTGAATTGATCATCCACAACTAAGCACCAGAATTAAAGGGCTGAGCTGAAGTTACTGGATAAACTAGACTGATTTTAGAAATAACATGTTTCACCTGAGAAGCATTTGTTTTAGCTGCATAAGGAAATGTGGACTGCCCCAAACATGGGAAGAGACATACAAGGGATTGATCTGCCTGCAGGTGTTAGAATCTAATTACAAAATATGAACTTACAGAGAATATTTATTTATTCGTTCAGTTTCTCCACCTGCAAAAATCTTACTTTATTTTCAAAGTCCAGCTCAGATATTACTTCCTCTGTGAATTCATCCCAAACCTTTCCAAGCAATATTAATCATTCTCTCTTCTGTGTTCCTATAGCATTTTGTTCAAATTGCTGGCATAGCAATCATCACAGTGAATTAAAGTTTCTTGGTCCCCTCTCTGATATATTGTGAACACACTTGGTCATATAGTATCAGAGAAAGTAAAAATAAATAAAACACAATTCTTGCCTTAAATAGCTTATAATTGATTGCCAGCACACAGCTTTAGCACCCAGACAGAATGAAACAAATGTTACAATAGCCATCTGTTGACATTTTAATAAGAATTTGACATTGGGTGCAGAGATGAACAGAATGGAGGAAGAAGTAAGAAACTTGAAAGGTAAGAAAAGGGCAGAGGTGAAAGATCTTAAACATTATGCCAAGGATTTTGTTCTTTATCCTGAAGGCACTGAGGACCATTGAAGATTTTTTAAGAAGAAATGACCTGACCAGAGCTAGCATAAACTGGCGGCTGAGAGCCTAGAAAGAGAAACCAGCCAGGAGCCAATGAGGCCTGAAAGAGTAGAGCAGGAAACAAAATGTAAAGAAGGAATCGTATTTGTAAAACATAGAAGTAGAATCAGAAGAACTCAGTACTGCTCAAATGTTGAGAGTATGGAAGAGAGAAAAGTCTGAAAAAGGAGATGATGAGTCAAAGGTTTGAAACTTCTACCAACAGGTTCTTCATCGTTGGAGTCTGATATCGTTTGAATGTTTGTTCCCTCCAAATCTTAGGTTGAAATATAATCCTCAGACCAGGCATGGCGGCTCACACCTGTAATCCCAGCACTTTGGGAGACCGAGGCAGGAGGATTGCTTGAAGCCAAAAGAGTTCAAGACCAGCCTGGGCAACATAGCAAGACCCACCTCTATTAAAAAAAAAAATTAAAATATTAGCCAGGTGCGGTGGCCTGTGCCTGTAGTCTCAGCTTCTTGGGAGGCTGAGGAGGGAGAATCACTTAAGCCCAGGAGTTCAAGGCTGCAGTTGAGGTATGATCCCACCACTGCACTCCAGCCTGGGCAACAGAGTGAGACACTTGTCTCAAAAAAGTAAGAGAAATTGAATCTCCAAAGTTGGAAGTGAGGCCTGGTGGGAGGTGTTTGGGTCATGGGGGTGGATCCCTCATGAACGGCTAGGCTCCTTCTTCCTGGTAATGAGTGAGTCCTCGCTCTGAATTCATGCAAGCTCTGGTTGTTTAAAGAGCCTGGCACCTCCTCCTTCTCTCTCTTGCTCCCTCTTGCTATGTGACATGCCTGCTCCCACTTTACCTTCCTCCATGAGTAAAAGCTCCCTGAGGCCTCACCAGAAGCCGAGCAGATGCTAGCACCATGCTACTTGTACATCCTGCAGAATCGGAGCCAATTAAACCTCTTTTTCTTTATAAATCACTCGGTTTCAGATACTTCTTTATAGCAATGCAAAACTAGCAGAGTCCAATAGCTTAATCCACCAAAAGAAAATTTAACAGAGAAGCAAACACCACCAAATATAAATCACTTGAGAGACTTTATACTTTGTTTTTTTTGTTTGTTTTTTTGGTTTTTTGAGATGGAGTCTTGCTCTGTCGCCCAGGCTGGAGTGCAATGGCCCGATCTCGGTACACTGCAACCTCTATCTCCTGGGTTCAAGCTATTCTCCTGCCGCAGCCTCCTGAATAGCTGGATTACAGGCACCCGCCACCACGACCAGCTAATTTTTGTATTTTTAGTAGAGACAGGGTTTCGCCACTTTGGTCAGGCTGGTCTCAAACTCTGACCTCAGGTGATCCACCCGCCTTGGCCTCCCAAAGTGCTGGGATTACAGGCGTGAGCCACAGTGCCCAGCAAGACTTTATAATTTGTTACCTGGAACAGCAAAGACTCTACTCAGAAATGATCCTAGACTTACACTTTGCCAGTAGGAAATTTAAGTGAACATAACTTGCTGAAAGTCAGAGAAAGAGTAAACTGGTAAGAAACAAAAAGAAACAAATCTGCATGACCATGCATTCCCAGTTTTCGCTCCAAACATACTTGAGCACTAATATTTAAGCCTTTATATGCTCACTTTTATAACGAAGTGTGGAAGAAGTTCAAGAATCCTACAGGCCAACAATTCTGAGGAAAGAGAAAACAAGCTTGTAGAAAAAAAATAAAGCAGCCATATGGCTAATGTCTATAAAGAGGATCAATTTGCAAACCTTCCATTCATGGAAGACTTGGGTAATAATGGACCTAAAGGTTATTCTGTAAGGCCTGGACTAGGCACCAAAATATTTAAAAACTAGATACAGTACAGGCTGAGGGTAATCTGAACTCAGCTCTGACAGCCTGACCTGATCAGGAGGAATCAGTAGATCATCTGTGCTTCTGAGCTATTAAGCGAATACTTTTTTTGAGTGCAAACAGAATTTGAAAAAAAAAAAGAGAAATTCAGAAAGAAACGTTCAATAAGAGAAAAAGCCTGTAAAGAGTTGTGCCAGCAGGCTTTCCTCCAGAGCAAAGGAGAAGATGTAATCTGTGTTAGTACTCATGAGCAGGTCCACCGTAAACCTCAGATCAGACTTGGTCTTCACTGTTGGGGGCCATCTTAAGGTATGGTGCCCAGTGATTTCTAATTTATTCTAAATAGACTTGGTATTTTCTCCATGGTACTCACATACCTTAGTGGTGATAAGCTTCCAGAGGAACATGTGATCATCCATGTGATTGAAGGAAATATCTGATATTTCTCATGGATGCTACACATACCTATTTAGGATACATTTTTCAGAGGCTATTTGACAAAGTAGAAAGTGAACTGACTTGGGGCCAGGCACGGTGGTTCACACCTGTTATCCCAGTGCTTTGGGAGGCCAAGGCGAGAGGATCCCTTGAGCCCAGAAGTTTGAGACCAGACTGGGCAACATAGCAAGACCCTGTCACTTAAAAAAAAAAAAAAAAAGGAAAAGTTAGCCAGGTGTGGTGGTGCACACCTATAGTCCCAGCTACTCAGGAAGTTGAGGTGGGAGAACCCCTTGAGCCCAGGGGTTCAAGGCTGCAGTGAGCTATGATTGCACCACTGCACACTCCAGCCTGGGCAACACAGTGAGACTGTGTTTCTAAATAAATAACTAATAAAATGAAATTTAAAAAGAAAGTGAACTGACTTAGAGTGCAGAGTCCTAAATTCTAGTTGGTTTTGGCCCCTACTGTGCACAGGAAGTGAGGCTTCTCCTGAGTAGTGTGACTTTCCTCCAGAGAGGAGTTTTCACTTTCTGCAGGACTTCGTGCTGGGTGAGGTAAGGCTGGAGCTGCTGGCACCACCTAGCCACAAAGAGGAAAGAGCCAGAGGCAGACTAATTATGAGGAAGAAGAGCCAAGAGATGGGGAGAGAGAAAAACCAGAACCTGAAAGAAAACAAAACTGGAGTCTCTGGAGGAAGACATGCCTGACTTCAATTATCTGAATTAATAAATTCCTTTTTTCTTTTTTTTTTTTCTTTGCTTAAGAGGTTGTTTGTATTGGGTCTTCTGTCAGTTTAAAGTAACCCAGAAGGCACAACATAACCTGCCCAGCTTTATGGGACTTTCTTGGGCCTCCGTCCCCTCTCTGTGAAATAAGTGGGTTAGGTTATTTATCAGGGAAGGATTGTGTTTGGCTGCTAGTAACAAACACCAGTGGTGTAGAGGTTTTATTTTTCTCATGCAAGAAGTCTGGAGTTAGGCAATTGATATGGTTTGGCTGTATCCCCACCCAAATCTCATCTTGAATTGTAGCTCCCATAATTCCCACGTGTTGTGGGAGGGACCCGGTGGGAGATAATTGAATCATGGAGGTGATTTCCCCCATTCTGTTCTCCTAGAAGTGAATAAGTCTCACAAGATCTGATGGTTTTATAAGAGGAGACCCCTTTCGCTTGGTTGTCATTCTCACTTGTCTGCCACCATGTAAGACGTGCCTTTCGCCTTCCTCCCCAGCCATGTAGAAGTATGAGTCCATTAAACCTCTTTTTCTTTATAAATTACCCAGTCTCAGGTATGTCTTTATCAGCAGCATGAAAACGGACTAATACAGCAGTCTAGGGCTAGTCTCACAGCCCCACAATGCCATTAGGCACATAGGCATCCCTGTTAGCCAGCTTGAGAGGTGGCATTTGTTCTCATACTCAGAAGATGGCTGTCCCCTCTAGGCATCATGTCTGCATGCTAGGCAGGAGGAGGAAGGAAGAAGAAAGGGGCCAACCCACACAGTGGCTTTGACTTGCATCTCATTGGCCAGAACTGTGTCACATGGTCACTATCTGAAAGGGAGACTGGGAAATGTGTAAGTTGGGTACACTGTAAATGTGTTGTAAAAGTTGTAAATGTATAGATGGGTACATCGATACTCTGAACAAAATTGAGGGTCAGTTTGCAAGGAAGTGGGGGGAGAATAGATGTTGGGTAGACGATGACAGTATCTGCCACCGAATACATAATACCAAAAGTAACCTCTCTCTCAGAAACTCTGTAATTCTAGTCTTCTTTCCATTTTATTTTACTTAATCATTTCCTAATGGAAAAGAGCTAAGTATTTTATGGAAAGCACATTTTTAAAATCCAAATATTGGAGAAGTAGAGGTATGTCTCATATATTAAAAGACAATACATTTGTGTGAGATATCAGATTACAGTCAAAATTGCTTCACGTTTATTATATTTTTCCTGAAACGTTCTTAAACTTTTAAATTCCAAACTTGAGGAAACTTATTCTCACTAATCGCAGCTATTCAGATATCTTCTTTTGTTGAACTAAGTTACCTGAATTTTCCTTCTAATTTTCCAGTCCTGGCCAGGTGCAGTGGCTTACGCCTGTAGTCCTAACACTTTGGGATGCCAAGGCAGGCGGATCACTTGAGGTCAGGAGCTGGAGACCAGCCTGGCTAACATGGTGAAAACCCGTCTCTACTAAAAAAATACAAAAATTAGCTCGGTGTGGTGGCACACACCTGTAATCCCAGCTACTCGGGAGGCTGAGGCAGGAGAATCGCTTGAGCCTGGGAGGCAGAGGTTGCAGTGAGCCAAGATTGCGCCACTGTACTCCAGCCTGGGGAACAGAGCAAGACTCTGTCTCAATAAATAAATAAATAAAATAAGTGAACTAAGTTACCTGGGTTTTCCTTCTAATTTTCCAGTCCTTCTCAAATGATTTCATACCCTTGTGTTTCATCTCTCCAACTAAATTGTAAACTTGTCTAGAGCAGGACCCAACACTTAGCACAATGCTGGATTCGTAGTGAGCAATCGATAATGTTTCAGCAATGAACGAATGAATGAATAATTGAAATCTGAGTTTCTATGTCTTTTCTCTCCCCAGAACTCTGCCTTCCATGCATGCTTGTGAACTCACTGCCTCTAAGAGTCATTACCAAGGCAATTTGTATCCTAGGCAGCCAGCTTCAGAAAGCCTTTTATTTTCTGCCCTCAAATCCTCTCCACCATTATACATTCAGCTGGCCCCACAAGTGTGCCCTGACCACTTCCCTTTGCCTAATTGTATCACCTAGTCCCCTTCCCATTTTAACAGATTAAAGGTCTTACCTTCAGGAAATTCTCCTTATGTCTAAATTAAATTCGGTACACAGCTATTTCCTCTTCCTTTGCTCTCTAAGTTGACAGAACACAGCAGGTAATATGTTTATCAATGCTTTAGAAAGGCCCGAGTGGTTTTTTCTAATAAAAAATAAGGTGTGTGGGGGGTTATACTTCACAAACAATAGGTGTTAATTGTAAAAACAAAAAATAATCACTGAAAATATAAATAAGTAAGTAATAATGATTCAAAAACTCATAAACTATCACATAGAGAAGATCATTTAGTATATATCTTTCAGGAATTTTTCATGTATATTTTGCATTACATGTTATAAAAATTGGCTATGCTATGTATACTGTTATCCTGCTTTCCTGATTTAACTGTGAACATCAGTCCACATCAGTCCATATTCTTAATAATGTGTGATGGCAGAAGACTATTCCATTACAGGAAATACCTTATTTAGCTAATCTCCTACTTTTGGCATTTAGTTTATTTTCTTTTTCAGAAACCTTTGTAGGCTGGGCGTGGTGGTTCACACCTGTAATCCCAGCAATTTGGGAGGCCAAGGTGGGTGGATCACTTGAGGTCAGGAGTTTAAGACCAGCCTGGCCAACATGATGAAACCCCATCTCTACTAAAAATACAAGAATCACCCAGGCATGGTGGCGCACGCCTGTAATCCCAGCTACTCAGGAGGCTGAGGCAGGAGAATCACTTGAACCTGGGAGGCAGAGTTGGCAGTGAGCTGAGATCACACCACTGCACTCCAGCCTGGGCGACAGTGTGAGACTCTGTCTCACAAAAAAGGAAAAAAGAAGAAGAAGAAACCTTTGTAAATACCACTGAAATGAACATCCTTGTAGCTAAACCTATGCTTGTGGCCTTTCTTAATTATTCCCTTTAGATACGCTCCTAAGATTTATTTTGATGACCAATAAGGAGGAGCAATACACATTTCATGTGAAATGGGAGAGAGTGAAGCAAACCCACAGTAGTACTTTACCATTATTTTGGGACCTAAAATGTATTTGGCTTGCAGGCTCCAGGGCTTACTCAGCATAACCTAATGCAATGGTTTTAAAATTTATTATTGTGGCACCACACCTGGAAATCTGAGCTTTCTGCAGAACACTGAAGAAATTTGCATATGGAAACTTAAACATCTTAAAACATATAACATCATACTAAACCAGATACCATCCTATTGCAGCATCTAGTATAGACAAGCATGAGGTATCCATTTAAGAAAAACACGTTAGAGAAAAATTTACAATTAACCCATTTATGCCTGAGGTTTCTATTTTTTGAATTTTTGCAATCAGACCTTAGCGATGATCTTGAGCAGTAGGTAAATAACTCCCATATGCTTAGCGTTCCAATAATGGAACACTAGGCATAAATGGGCCTAAAGTATGGCCAGGCACGGTGGCTGAGGTCTATAATTCCAGCATTTTGAGAGGCCAAGGCAGGAGGATTATTTATGTCCAGGAGTTTGAGACTAGCCTGGGCAACATCGTGGGACCCCCATCACTACAAAAATAATAATAAAAAAAATTAGCTGGGCATGGTGGTGTGCACTTGTAGTCCCAGCTACACGGGAGGTTGAGGTGGGAGGATCACTTAAACCTGGGAGTTCAAGGCTATAGTAAGCTGTGATCACACCACTGCACTCCAGCCTGGGCAGCAGAGCAAAACCACATCTCTAAAGAAAAAAAAGAAAAAAAAAAGAAAAAAAGAAAGTATGGCCCATTAATTAATTATTTTTTTACTCTAAACTAGAAAAAGGCTGGTACAATCTGACATGGTGGAGCTCAAAAACCACTAGTGCAGGTGGTAAAAAGCAGAATATTTCATTTTTAGTCTCTATTCTGACACTTTTTTTTTTTTTTGAGACAGAGTTTCACTCTTGTTGCCCAGGCTGGAGTGCAATGGCATGATCTCGGCTTACTGCAACCTCCACCTCCCAGGTTCAAGCAATTCTTCTGCCTCAGCCTCCGAGTAGCTGGGATTACAGGCATGCGCCACCATGCCTAGCTAATTTTGTATTTTTAGTAGAGACAGGGTTTCTCCATGGTGGTCAGTCTGGTCTCGAACTCCCAACCTCAGGTGATCCGCCCAACTCGGCCTCCCAAAGTGCTGGGATTACAGGTGTGAGCCACCACACCCGGCCTCTGCCACTTATTTAATACATAAATCTCCTAATCACTCCGAAACCTCAGCCTTCCCTTGTGCAAAAGGATTTAATAACAATATCTGTGTCATAGGGGAAAAAATGAGCTGAAGTGTGAGAAAATGCTTTGTAAAGTGTAACACTGTGACACAAATGTTAACAGTAGTTCTTATTGTAGTTGATGAAGTATTGAAAACTTTAGGCTTGATTGACAGTAATCCTAGCACTTTGGGAGGATGAGGCAGGCTGACCCCACCTAGGAGTTCGAGACTAGCCTGGGCAACACGGCAAAACCCCATCTCTAGAAAAAATATAAAAATTAGCCTGGTGTGGTGGCAGGCACCTATATTCCTAGCTACTCAGGAGGCTGAGGTGGGAGAGTCACCTGAGCCCAGGAGATCGAGGCTGTGGTAAGCCATGATTGTGCCACTGTGCTCCAACCTGGGTGACAGAGTGATACCCTGTCTCCAAAAAGAAGGAAAGAAAGAAAAATTTAGGCTTTATTGGAACTGAGTTTCTAACAAAGATCTGACAGCATAAATAAAATCCTAAATATAAGAATGTAATGATTTGGCTGGGCGCCATGGCTCATGTGTGTAATCCCAGCACTTTGGGAGGCTGAGGCAGGCAGGTCACTTGAGGTCAGGAGTTCAAGACCAGCCTGGCCAACATGGTGAAACCCCTGTCTCTACTAAAAATACAAAAATTATCAGGGCATGGTGCCGGGCGCCTGCATCACAGCTACTCTGGAGGCTGAGGCAGGAGAATTGCTTGAACCTAGGAGGCGGAGGTTTCAGTGAGCCAAGATAGCGCCGCTGAACCCCAGCCTAGGCAACAGAGAGGCTCCGTCAAAAAAAAAAAAAAACTGGTTGGGGGAGGGTTATATGAACAGGGACTAAAAGGTAGCAGGCAAAAATAAAAGTTGTTTTTGTTTTGTTTTGTTTTTCTAAGACAGAGTCTCTCTGTCACCCAGGCTGGAGTGCAATGGCATGGTCTCAGCTCACTGCTACCTCCACCTTCGGTCGGGTTCAAGTGATTCTCCTGCCTCAGCCTCCCGAGTAGCTGGGATTACAGGCATGCACCACCACGCCCAGCTAATTTTTTTTTTGTATTTTTAGTAGAGACAGGGTTTCACCATGTTAGCCAGGCTGGTCTTGAACTCCTAACCTCAGGTGATACACCGCCTCAGCCTCCCAAAGTTCTGGGATTACACCGTGGTGTGAGCCACGGTGCCTGGCCAAAAGTATTTTTATATTTATTTATTTATTTATTTATTTATTTGAGACAGAGTTTCACTCTTGTCTCCCAGGCTGGAGTGCAGTGGTGCAATCTGGGTTCACTGCAACCTCCGCCTCCCAGGTTCAAGTGATTCTCCTGTCTCAGCCTCCCAAGTAGCTGGGATTACAGGCGCCCACCACCATGCCCGGCTAATTTTTGTATGTTTAGTAGAGATGGGGTTTCACCATGTTGGCCAAGCTGGTCTCAAGCTCCTGACGTCAGGTGATCCTCCCACCTCAGCCTCCCAAAGTGCTGGGATTACAGGCGTGAGCCACCGTGCCCAGCCAGAAGTATTTTCATATTTGTAAGACTTATGAATTGTTTTATTTTAGAATTTCCATTATTACTCATAATACATCATTTTAAATAAAAATTTAAATGTATAAAGAACAAATAGTTTCTCCTCTTTGTCTTATTTTTTCCTTCTGTTTCTTTAAAGTTTGAAATTACATGCGCAAATCAATTTAAAGAAATTGATCCCAGCTTGAGAGTACTTCGAATTCTGTGTCCTTTAATCAGCTTATTCCTGCTCAACTTCCAAAAATATTTGTAATTAGACAGGAAACATATTCTAATCTATGTTCTAGAATTAAGCGTTCTATCTTGGTTAGAAACAAACATCAGATAAATAAATGTTATAGGGGCCAGGCACAATGGTTTATGCCTGTAATCCCAGCACCTTAGGGCACCTATGTGGGAGGACCCCTTGAGACCAGCCTGAGCAACATAGCAAGATCCCATCTCTACAAAAAAAATTTCAAAATTTAGCTAGGCATAGTGGCATGCACCTGTAGTCCTAGTTACTTGGAAGAGTGATGCAGAAGGATCACTTGAGCCCAGGAGTTCGAGGATGCAGTGAGCTATGATCATGCCACTGCGCTCCAGCCTGGGTGACAGGGCAAGACCCTGACTCAGAAACAGAAAAAAATACAGAAGACAAAGATGTTTTCCTCTCAGTGCTACTATTATATATTGTCCTGGAGGTTCTAGTCAATGCAATAGAAAGGGTTGCAAAGTAAGGAAGAAAAATCTTTGTTATTTACAGTTGAAATGTTTATCTACATAGGAAGTCCAAGAAAAATATTAAAATAATACAGCAACTTGCTGGCAAAGACATTCAAAAATGTCGTTAATTATAAAAAATACAATTTCAAGAGCAACAAAACTATGAGACGCCCATGAAAATATAACAAAAGATGGGAAATCCTTTTTGTTGTTGTTGTTGTTGAGATGTCGCTCTAAACAGGCTGGAGTGCAGTGGCGCCATCTCGGCTCACTCCAACCTCCGCCTCCCAGGTTCAAGCGATTCTCCTGCCTCAGCCTCCCGTGTAGCTGGGACTACAGGCGCGTGCCACCACGCCCAGCTAATTTTTGTATTTTTAGTAGAGACAGGGTTTCACCATGTTGGCCCAGATGGTCTCAATCTCTTGACCTTGTGATCCGCCCACCTCAGCCTCCCAAAGTGCTGGGATTACAGGAGTGAGCCACCGTGCCCGACCGGGAAATACTTTTAAGGAGAAATTTACAAAATGTTTATTGAAGGACACAAAGGAAAACTTAAAAAAATAGAGCTGATACTATGTTCCTGAATAGAAGGACTCAATATTACAAAGTTGTCTATCAATACATTATAACACCAACCAAAACTCCCAAAGGACTTTTTATGGCTCTTGATAAACTGATCCTAAATTTCATATGAAAGAACAAATAGGCCAAAAATAGCCATGATAATTTGGGGGGAAAAAGTACATAGAGGAGGGAACTCGACCTGCCAGATAAGAAACATTTGTCATAAAGCCGTATTATTAAAAAAAAAAAATGCAACATTTGTTTAGGAATAGACAAACAGATTAAAGGAGCAGATAAGCCAGAAACAGCCTAAATACATATAGAAACTTGTCGTAAAATAGAAATGGCTTTATAAATCAATCAGTGGGAAAAAAATGAAAAACGCAATGGTGCTAGAACAATTATTTATACAAACCCCCCCACAAAACTAATTAGTTCCTTACGTAGATGAAAATAAGTTTTAAATGGATTAAAAATTTGAAAGGTAAAAAGCAACATGTAAAAATTTTTGGAAGAAAATGCAGAATGTCTTTATGGCATCAGAACAGGGAAAGATTTTGTAAAGACTCAAAAGTACAAAGCATAAAGAAAAATATTGGACTACATTAAATTCAAAATATCTGTATACAAAATATATTATAGAAAATATCAAAGGATAACATATAAACTGAAGTTATTTACAGCTCATTTACCCAACAAAAGATTATACACAAATATAAGTATACCTTGAAGATATTTCAGGTTCATTTCCAGACCAAAGCAATAAAGTGAGTCATATGAATTTTCTGGTTTTCTGGTGCATATAGAAGTTATGTTTACACTGCACTATAGCCTATTAAATGTGCAACAGCATCATGTCTAAAAAACTGTACATACTTTAATTCATTAATTAATTATCATTATTTTTTGAAACGGAGTTTTGCTCTTTTTGCCCAGGCTGGAGTGCAATGGCACGATCTCAGCTCACTGCAACCTCCGCCTCCTCGGTTCAAGTGATTCTGCTGCCTCAGCCTCCTGAGTAGCTGGAATTACATGTGCACACCACCGTGCCTGGCTAATTTTGTATTTTTAGTAGAGACAGGGTTTCGCCATGTTGGCCAGGCTAGTCTCAAATTCCTGACCTCAGATGATCCGCCTGCCTCAGCCTCCCAAAGTGCTGGGATTACAGGCGTGAGCCACCGCGCCTGGCCCGTACTTTAATTTAAAAATACTTTATTGCTGGCTGGGCACAGTGGCACATGCCTGTACTCCCAGCACTTTGGGAGGCCAAGGTGGGTGGATCACTTGAGGTCAGGAGTTCAAGACCAGCCTGGCCAACATGGCGCAACTCCGACTCTACTAAAAATACAAAAAAATCAGCCGGGTGTGGGTGGTGGGCGCCTGTAATCCCAGCTACTCAGGAGGCTGAGGCAGGAGAATCACTTGAACTCAGGAGGCGGAGGTTGCAGTGAGCCAAGATTGCACCACTGCACTCCACCCTGAGCAACAGAGCTAGACTCCGTTTCAGAAAAAAAAAAAAACTTTATTGCTAAAAAATGCTAACAATCATCCAAGCTTTCAGTGGGTTGAAATGTTTGTGCTGGGGAAGGGTCTTGCTGAGATGTTGATGGCTGCTGACTAATTAGGGTGGTGGTTGCTGAAGGCTGGGGTGGCTGAGGCAATTCTTAAAATAAGACCACAGTGAAGTTTGCCACATCAATCCTTTCTTTCAACAAAGATTTCTCTGGAGCATTTGACGCTGGGTTTTTTTGTTTGTTTGTTTGTTTTAGAGATGTGGGGGGGCGGGGGGTCTCTCTATCTTGCCCAGGCTGGCCTCGAACTCCTGGGCCCAAGCACTTCTTTCTCCTCAGCCTCCTGAATAGCTGGGATGATAGGTGGACACCACTGTACCCAGCTCGTGATGCTGTTTGATAGCATTTTACCCACAGTGCAACTTCTTTGAAAATTGGAGTCAATCCTCTCTAATTTTGCTGCTGCTTTATCACTGAAGTTTACATAATAGTCTAAATCCTTTTTTGCTGGCCAGGCACAGTGGCTCATGCCTGTAATCCCAGCACTTTGGGAGGCTGAGGCGGGCAGATCACCTGAGGTTAGGAGTTGGAGACCAGCATAACCAATACAAGGAAAGCCCGTCACTACTAAAAATACAAAAATTAGCTGGGCATGGTGGCGCATGCCTGTAATTCCAGCTATTCAGGAGGCTGAGCCAGGAGAATCGCTTGAACCTGGGAGGCAGAGTTTGCAGTGAACCAAGATTGCGCCACTGCACTCCAGCATAGGCGACTTTTCTGTCATTTGTAACCTCACTGAGTCCTGACTGACCCATCTAGAAATTATCAACAAGTTAATCTAAATCAACACTCAGTTTTTTATAAAAGGAAAAAGGCCATAACTATTAAGCAAAGCCAAAATGCCTAGACTTAAGGCCCCAGAGGCCAATCAAACCACAACAATCAACATTTCTGCTGTTTACAATGTACAAACTATTCCAGATAAGTCTGTTGATCAAAGAACAAAATCAACAAACGAAAGAAGTGAAATGAATGCAATGCTTAAAATAGAAGAAGATATTTTATGAAGCAATGTCTTACAAACTCTATATTCATATAAATCAGCTCAAGGTGAAGTTTTTTCCTTCTGTTTTATTTTATTTTAATTTATTTTATTTTTATTTTTTGAGATGGAATCTCACTCTGTCACCCAGGCTGGACTGCAGTGGCACAACCTCAGCTCACTGCAACCTCCATCTCCTGGGTTCAAGCCATTCTTCTGCCTCATCCTCTTGAGTAGCTGGGACTACAGGCGTGCACCACCACGCCCAGCTAATTTTTTGTATTTTTAGTAGAGATAGGGTTTTGCCAGGCTGGTCTCGAACTCCTGACCTTGTGATCCGCCCGCCTCAGCCTCCCAAAGTGCTGGGAT
Organism: Homo sapiens; assembly: GCF_000001405.40. NCBI lineage: Eukaryota > Metazoa > Chordata > Mammalia > Primates > Hominidae > Homo > Homo sapiens. Next base: position 69,545,442 of record NC_000016.10, on the reverse strand, counting down.
TACAGGCATGAGCCACCGTGCCCAGCCTTCTGTTTCATTCTAAAATAGGAAATATCTCAGCTGGGCCCAGTGGCTCACACCTGTAATCCTTGTACTTTGGGAGGCAGAAGGATAGCTTGAGGCCTGAGTTCAAGACCAGCTGAGGCAACAGCAAGACCCTGTCCCTACCAAAAATAAAAAAATAAAAATTAGAGCTGGTTGTGGTGGCTCACGCCTGCAATCCCAGCACTTTGGGAGGCTGAGACAGGCGGATTACTTAAGGTCAGGAGTTCAAGATTAGCCTGGCCAACATGGTGAAACCACATCTCTACTAAAAATACAAAAAAAAAAAAAAAAGTAGCCGGGTGTGGCGGCACACGCCTGTAATCCCAGCTACTTTGGAAGCTAAAGCAGAAGAATTGCTCTAGGAAGCTAAAGCAGAAGAATTGCAGAGCGAAACTCCGTCTCAAATAAATAAACAAATAAATAAGAATAAAAAGTAGCTGGGTGTGGTGGTGTGCATCTGTAGTCCCAGCTACTCAGGAGGGTGAGACAGGAGGATCACTTGAGCCTAGGAGTTCAAGGTTACAGTGAGCTATGATGGTCACTGCTCTCCAGCCTGCAAGAAAGAGATAGACCCTGTATCAATAATAATAATAATAATAAATAAAATAGTAAGTATTTAAAATATACAGAAAATAGATGCCACATATCCCCAATCCAGAATTAACAGATGTCAACGTTCCGTATATTTCTTCATATTGTTTTCACATTTTTTAGAAAGAAAAAAGACATATACAGAACACTTAAGTCTCATTCCCTATTCTTTGTTCCTTTCTCCTTCCCCTTAGAAACTACTATGCTAGGCCAGGCACCGTGGCTCATGCCTGTAATCCCAGCACTTTGGGAGGCTGAGGCAGGTGGATCACCTGAGGTGAGGAGTTCAAGACCAGCCTGGCCAACATGGTGAAACCCCATCTCCACTAAAAATACAAAAATTAGCAGGCATCTGTAGTCCCAGCTACTTGGGGGGCTGAGGCACGAGAATCGCTTGAACCCAGGAGGTGGGGGTTGTGGTGAGCTGGCATCCCGCCACTGCACTCCAGCCTGGGCAATAGAGCAAGACTCCATCTCAAAAAAAAGAAAAAAGGAACTACTATTTTGAAGTTGGTATATGTCATCTGGTTGTTTTCATACTTTTACTACATATGTACATATCTCATTGTTGAAATTTGCATTTTCCTATGACTACTCTGGACATCTTTTCAGATGTTTATTGACCATTAAGTTTCCTCTTCTCTTTGTTTCCTTTGCTAATTTTTTCATTTAGGATATTTTTATCTTTTTTTCTTATTGATTTGAGCCTTTTCCTTTTTTTAAAATTTAATTTTTTTTTCTTTTTAAGGATAGGGTCTCACCTTTTCAACCAGACTGGAGTGCAGTTGCACTCTCGTAGCTCACTGCAGCCTCAAACTCCCAGGATCAAGTGGTCCTTCCACCTCAGCCTCCTGAGTAGCTGGGATTGCAGGCGCCTGCCACCACACCCAGCTAATTTTTGTATTTTTAGTAGAGACAGGGTTTCGCCATGTTGTCCAGGCTGGTCTTGAGCTCCTGACCTCAAGTCAGGTGTCTTCTAATTCAATTCAATTCTAACACTGCCTACCTAGAGATAGTGTCAGATCCCACAGGTCGAGGGCTCAGTCCCACAAGTCTGCCCCCCACTTTCTGATGCCAAACACAAGTCCCAGGTTGTTTTTCCCATGCTTCTGACCAACCAGATATAAATAGGGGTTCTCACAACCCCCTCCTCAGGTTTGATTAATTTTCTAGAGTAGCTCACAGAACTCAGGGAAACAAATGTTTACATTTACTGGTTTATTGTAAAGGGTATTGCAAAGGATACAGATGAAGAGATGCATTGGGTGAGGTATGGGGAAAAGGGCAGAGTTTCCATGTCCTCTCTGGGGTGCCACCCTCCAGGAACCTCCATGTGTCCAGCTAATCAGAAGGTCTCTGAACCCTGTCTTTTTGGGTTTTTATGGAGGCTTCATTACATAAGCATGATTGATTAAGCCATTGGACATTGGCGATCAACTTAACCCTCAGCCCCTTACCCCTCCCCAGAAGTTGAAGGGTGGGGCTGAAAGTCCCAATCCTCTAATCATGCCTGGGTCTTTCTGGGACCAGCTCACATCCTGAAGCTACCTAGAGGCTGCCAAGTCACCAGTCAACTTATTAGCAGACTAAAACACACATCACTTTGAAGGATTTTAGGAGTTGTATGTCAGCAAATTGGATGAAGACCAAACACATATTTCACAATATCACATTACTATTATTATCATCTTACAGATGAGAGGACTGAAGTTTTATTCTCCTATACAGCTCAGGATTCCCATTCCTCAAGAGGGACATTAAGATGCAAAACAACAGGTATACTATCAATATATTATACATCTAAACAACTCTATATGATCACTATATATTGAAACAACAGCTATATAAGCTGGGCATGGTGGTGCTAACCTTAGTCCCAGTCCTCAGGAGGTTGAGGCAGGAGAGTTGCTTGAGCCCAGGGGTTTGTGTACAGCCTGGACAGCATAGTGAGACCCCATATCAAAAAACAAACCTATAAATATGGGTAATTAAAAAAAACACTCAAAAGAATACTACATACTGTTTTATATAAAATATATGTACCTTGTGGCTCATGCCTGTAATCCCAGCAGTTTGGGAGGCTGAGGCGGGTGGATCACCTGAGGTCAGGAGCTTGAGACAAGCCTGGCCAACATGGCGAAACCCTGTCTCTACTAAAAATACAAAAATTAGCTGGGTGTGGTGGTGGGCGCCTGTAATCCCAGCTACTCAGGAGGCTGAGGCAGGAGAATTGCTTGAACCCAGGAGGCAGAGGTGCAGTGACCCGAGATTGCGCTACTGCACTCCAGCCTGGGCAACAGAGCAAGACTCCGTCTCAAAAAAAAAAAAAAAAATATATATATATATATGTATATCTTTATATGAATGTTTATGATTTATGTACATATATACACTCTATACATACTTTTTTTTTTAGAAATGGAAGTAAAAATTTCAGCCTCATTGTAGGGGATGGTGGTTAAATCTGTCTTTGGATTTATCTGCAATATTTCAGGGCTTTTTTGTTTTGTTTTTTGTTTTACAAAGGTAGAAACAAATAAAACACTGGTAGCAAATATGACAAAATGTTAATGATTATTTCTAGATGGTGAAAATATGGGTGTGATTTTTTTAAAAAGTCTTTGTGCTTTTCTGTATTTTAAAAATTTCTTGAGGCCGGGTGCAATGGCTCATGCCTGTAATCCCAGCACTTTGGGAGGCCGAGGCAGGTGGATCACCTGAGGTCAGGAGTTTGAGACCAGCCAACATGGTGAAACCCCATCTCTACTAAACATACAAAAATTAGCTGGGTGTGGTGGCACATGCCTGTAATCCCAGCTACTCGGGAGGCTGAGGCAGGAGAATCGCTTGAACCCAGAAGATAGAGGTTGCAGTGAGCTGAGATCGCGTCATTGCACTCCAGCCTGGGCGACAAGAGCGAAACTCCATCTCAAAAAAAAAAATCTCAAAATATAAAAGATTTTCTGAAGAAAAAATGGGTCTGGGTATAGTGGCTCATACCTGGAATCCCAGCATTTTGGGAGGCTGAAGCGGGAGGATCGCTTAAGCCCAGGAGTTCAAGACCAGCCTGGACAACATAGGGAGACCCTGTCTCTTCAAAAATAAAAAAAAAATTATTTTCATGCTAGGCATGGTGGCACACTCCTGTAGTCCCAGCTACTCAGGAGGCTGAGGTGGGAGGATCACTTGAGCCCAGGAGGTGGAGGCTGCAATGAGCAGTGATTACTCCAGCCTGAACAACAGAGCAAAACTGTCTCAAAAAAAAAAAAAAAAAGAGAAGAAGGAGAAGGAGGAGGAGGAGACAGAGATGGAGATGAAGACGAAGAAGAAGAAAAAATGGGAAGGAACTACACCAAAATAGTAATAGTGATCATCCTTTTATTCTTCCTTCTGCTTTTCTATAATTTCCAAAGTTTTCATAATAAGCAAATCTGTAATGGGAGGGAAAACACTAGATCTTTCTGTTTTGTTCGGAAGTTTTGTTTTTAGCAAACTTAATCCTAATACCTGGAGGTTAGTTAATGTCAGTATAGAATCAACACTCAGTAACAAGTATCTGCAATTAAATAGGTGATAGAAAAGCCCACATTTTTTTTTATTCTTTTTTTTTTTTTTTTTTTGAGTCAGAGTCTCGCTCTGTCGCCCAGGCTGGAGTGCAGTGGCATGATCTCGACTCACTGCAATCTCCACCTCCCAGGTTTAAGCAGTTATCTCACCTCAGCCTCCCGAGTAGCTAGGATTACAGGCACGTGCCACCATGCCTGGCTAATTTTTGTATTTTTAGTAGAGATGGGGTTTCGCCATGTTGGCCAGGCTGGTCTCGAACTCCTGGCCTCAAGTGATCCGCCCACCTCGGCCTCCCAAAGTGCTGGGGTTACAGGCAAGAGCCACAGCACCCAGCCAAGCCCACATTTTTCTAACAATATTTCCCCACCCAGATAAGTGGATTAAAGCCCTCTCCTAAGATTTAAATCATGTGAACATGAGTAATGGACAAAATATCAAGGTCTATTGTAAACTTAATTTCTAAAGAGTAGAATATATATTTGCCTGCATATGTGTATATTCTAAAATACTGAATTGTGGTTCCTGCCCCAAGACAACTGACACATTCAAACTAGTAGAAATGAGGTATTTGCTGGAATTAGATAGTTTCTCTTACAATTATTATTAATTGCATTGATATTAACAACTGGGTAACAGCAGGTGTGAATGGGTAAAATGACTCTAAGTCACAACCACATGGGGGAAGTTAGAAAAACTGTGCAGCATGGAAACCTTTTTACTTTTTTGCTATCTGGGCAAGCAAAGCTTGGGTTTCCAAGTTTAGTGACAGATTTATTTTAATGTAATTAAATAATTGGAGTTTTCCACTGCCAGAAACTTTTATCCACTTTATTACTTAGAGGATTAAAAGAAAATTTGATCTGATGTTTTATAGAGCTTTCTCTTCCCAGGGACCCAGAGAGGGGACAACTGGGAACATATGACCCTGGATATTATCTGTTTCCATTGCATCTGACTGAGCACAGCATAGACTAGATGATTGCCAAAAGTTTAAAGTCAGTCTCTCACCTCTATTGTTCCAGAAGAATTGGGTTTTATGCTGGAGGAAGAAACCTTAGAAATCACTGAATCCTTGTTTTACAAATTATGGCACTCTCCTGGCAGAACTAATAAAATTACACTTATGCATATACTGTGATGTAATTTCCCTCTTAAGAGCTAACAAGGAGGAGCCTAATGCTATGGTTTGACTGTGTCCCCCAAATTTCAGGTGTTCAAAATTTAATCCAAATTTGCATGTTGATTGGGGCTTTAGTGAGGTAGTTAAGATTAGATAAGATTATCTTGGTGGGGTCCCCAGAGTGGGACTGGTGGTTTTATAAGAAGAGGAAGAGGCCGGGCACGGTGGCTCACACCGCCTGTAACCCCAGGACTTTGGGAGGCAAAGGCGGGTGGATCATGAGGTCAGGAGATCAAAACCATCCTGGCTAACATGGTGAAACCCCGTCTCTACTAAACATACAAAAAATTAGCTGGGCGTAGTGGCAGGTGCCTGTATTCCCAGCTACTCAAGAGGCTGAGGCAGGAGAATGGCATGAACTCAGTGGGCAGAGCTTGCAGTGAGCCAAGATTGCGCCACTGCACTCCAGCCTGGGTGACAGGGCGAGACTCTGTCTCAAAAAAAAAAAAAGAAGAGGAAGAAAGATCTGAGCACACACACACACTCTTCTCTTCTTGCCATGTGATGCCCTCTACCATGTTATGAAGAAGCAAGAAGGCATCACCAGAGGCTAGAGCCATGCTCTTAAACTTCCCAGCCTCCAGAACTGTAAGCTAAATAGTTTTTTTCTTTATAAATTACCCAGACTGTGATATCCTGTTATAGCAACAGAAAATGGACTAAGACCTCTAAGGAGACAATACAGAGATGTTCATTGCAGCATTGTTTGTAACAACAACAACAAAAAAAACCTGAAACAGCCAAAATATCCATCAGTAGGAGAATGGCTACCAAAACATAAAATAGTCATACCACAAAGCACTATGCAGTAGATAAAAGAAATGAGCTAGATCTAACAGGACAGATGTCGAAAGCAGAATGAGTGAAACAGCCAAGTTACAGAACCTGTGAAACATATATTTGTATAAAAACTCATGCAACAAAACTATTTTACATGGGTATAATATATGTAATATGATCTTGAATGTAAAAATCTTCTAAAAGGTCTAGACCTGTGCTAATACAGTAGCTACTAGCCACATGTGGCTATTTAAATTAAATGAATTAGTCACACTAGCCATATTTTGAGAGTCCATTAGTAACTATGGCTAGTGGCTTCTGTTTTGGACTACACAGATATATAACATTTCCATAATTGTAGGATGTTCTACTGGACAATGCTGATCTAGACAAATACATGCCAAATTCATAAGATCACTTAGCTGGGTAGTGGTAAAACCAAAGCTGGTGTCAGACGACTACTATTGATGTATTCTTGGCATGAGGGCCCATTTGGGTCATGGATGAATGGATGGATGAATGGATGGATGAATGAATGGATGGATGGACTCATTCGTTCATTCATTTACAAAGTATTCATTCATTTGGAATCATTTGCTTACTATATGTAAAATGGTTTCAGCCCTTGGGAAACAAAATGTAATCTGATGCTATCCCAGGCCCAGAGGACAGAATAGGCAGGTGTCAGTCATCATCTACGCACCAAATACCTTTTCCGTCACAGACTCTGTGTGAGGACTGGGTTCAGTGGCAAACAAAAAGATATAATCCCTCTTCTTGTGGAATGCACAATCTGCAGTAGGGTTTCTCAACACTGTGGACATCTTGGATGGCTCATTCTTTCTTCTGGGGGCTGTCTTATACATTCTATCTTTTCTTTCTTTTTCTTTTTTTTTTTTTTTTGGAGACGGAGTTTCTGTCTTGTCGCCCAGGCTGGAGTGCAATGGCACCATTTCGGCTCACTGCCACCTGTGTCTCCCAGGTTTAAGCAGTTCTTCTGCCTCAGTCTCCTGAGTAGCTGGGATTACAGGTTCATGCCACCATGCCTGGCTGATTTCCGTATTTTTAGTAGAGGTGGGGTTTTACCTTGTTGGCCAGGCTGGTCTCAAACTCCTGGCCTCAGGTGATCCACCCACCTCGGCCTCCCAAAGTGCTGGGATTATAGGCATGAGCCACTGTGCCTGGCCTAGTCTTGTACATTTTAAAATGTTTAGCAGAATCCCTGATCTCTATCCACTAAATGCCAAAAACATCCCTCCATCCTGCCTCCCTCCAGTTGTGACAACCAAAGATATCTTTAGACATTGCAAATGTTCCCTGGGGACAAAATTGTCCCTATTGAGAACCACAAGGAAATACGGACATTAATCAAATTATAACAAATTATTTAAATGATGACAAGTGTGCTGACTGCTGTGATAGGGATGTGTGGGATTCTTTGAAAGCTTTAACAAGGGGCCTGACCTAATCTTTAAGGGGTAGATGAGAAAAGCTTCCCTGGGGATGTGACGACATTGCCTCCTCTTTTAGCCAAACATGGACAGAACTTGCCTGCAATGGACACAATTCTGTATAAACAGGTGTATGCCATGATCTTGGAGAAAGGAAGTGAGACATCAGGTTCCTTTAGGAGAGGTAAGGTAGGCTGGCTTTGATGCATAATTATCCATTTCAGATGCTGCTATCTAAAGCACACTCAGCTGGCACAGCCTGGGCAAGCGGCCATGAACTTAAGACTAAACCAGCTAGTAAGAAATGGAGACCAGCTGTAGATCCTGTCTTCCTCACCAGAGATCTGGAGGTCATAAACAATAGAGCAAAATGAGAATCAGGATTTACCACATTCTCTGATTTCTCAAAGGATTTGGATAAACTCTCCCTCTGCCTCGCACCAAGCCTTTTACAACACAATAAATCCTAGTAGAGAGAAATGGAAAAGACATGTGAGATGAGCAAATGTCTTCATTCTCAGTGGTCACGGGATTCAGGAGTCCCCAGTTCAAAGATGTGATCAGATCTTTAACTGTTCCTTAATGAGGCCAAAAGGGACTCCTTGGAGCTAGGGCATCTATTTTAATGTTTTGAGAATTCTGTTTTAAATGACTTTGCATCCTACTGTGACTTCCTCATTTTGTCTCCCCCGAAAATCAGTGGGCCTGGACTGTGAGAGAGGGAGCTTAATGATCTCTTGCCCTACCCACTTTTTTTTTTTTTTTTGACGGAGTCTCGCTCTGTCACCCAGGCTGGAGTGCAGTGGCACGATCTCAGCTCACTGGAACCTCTGTCTCCCAGGTTCAAGTGATTCTCCTGCCTCAGCCTCCCTAGTAGCTGGGACTACAGGCGTATGCCACCATGCCTGGCTAATTTTTTGTATTTTTAGTGTATTTTCATCATGTTAGTCAGGATGGTCTGGATTTCATGACCTCGTGATCTGCCCGCCTCGACTTCCCAAAGTGCTGGGATTACAGGCGTGAGCCACCGCGTCTGGCAGTACCCACTTCTTTTATAGATGAGGAGACTATGGTCCAGAGAGAGGAAGTATCTGGCTCAAAAGTGTACAGCTGCCTGGGCATGGTGGCTCATGCCTGTAATTCCAGCACTTTGGGAGGCTGAGGCAGGAGGATCACTTAAGCCCAGGAAGCTGAGGCTGCAGTGAGCTGTGATTGCACCACTGCACTCCAGCCTGGGTGATAGAGCAAGACCCTGTCTCAAAACAAAAATAAACAAAAATAAAACTGCACAGTTATTTGTGGCAGAGTAATTCTCAAGCATCTTGATCTCCTCTTTCCCCTATATTTGAGAACAACAAAAGACAATATAATATACATATTAATTTATATTTTACATATATATTGATATATATGCAATGTGGGGATCCTGAACAAAAAAAGGATGTTAGTAGATAAACCAGTGAAATCCTAATGAAGTCTGGTGTTTAATTAGCAGTAATAAACTAATATGGGCTTCTTAGTTTTGACAAGTGTTCCATGGTTATATAAGATGATCACATTAGTGGGAACTGGGTGAGGAATATACAGAATCTCTGTACTATTTTTGTATCTGTTCTGTAAATCTAAAATTATTTCAAAATAAAAATATCATTTAAAAAAGACGTAATAAATGTGCATAAAAACAGGTTCAAACAAAACAGAAGTGTTTAAAGAAACCACCACCAAAAAAAGAATTAAAGTTCTTTCTTTCTGCCTTATGATGCTGCCCCTAATTTCCAACCACTTTTAATAGCAGAGTGTGTCTTTGGGTATATTTATGTTAATTCAAATACACAGAGTTTTAAAATATTCTATCTCATTTCAACAATGAGAGATAATCATATGATAACAATCATATGAAATGGGCATGACAATCAAATGAGGAAACCGAGGCTCAGAGAGGTTAAGTACCTGGCCCAGAGCCACAGCTAGTAAACAGTAAATATCAGGGACTAGATTTAAAGCAGACTCTGACTCCACCTAACTCCAAAGGCCATGCTGTTTGCAGGGTCTGCTAGAGCTGTGGAGTGGATGAGTGGGAGCCCGTTTGTGTTCTCCAAGTCACACGCTCTGGCAGGGGCTGTGTCTGCTTAAAGGACAGGTGCCACCCTTTACTTAGCATGAAGGCTCTCTATGGACAACACCAGCCCTCCTCCTTCCCTCTATCCTATGCCAAGAGGAAGGTGATGCTGGCCATGGCCATGATCGTTGTAGAAAATAACGAGTGTGATTGAGGATGTTTCAGGTTGTCAGCAGTGAAGGATGCGAACGGAGGTATGTTCTGTAAATATCAGGAAACACAGGAGTATGAGATCTCATAACATGTTCTAGCAAGCCCATATTCTGCAGATGATGGGTGCGCATTTTGGGTCCTTTGGTGTGAACCAATAGCAGAGGATTCCAAACAAAATACATTCAGCTTTCTTTCTCAAAGCAATGTGCTCCACTTGCTAGGAATGGAATTTTCACACATTTAAGGTCAAAATGAAATTTCTGGGAGGGATCTGTGAATCATCTAGCCAGTCACCACTTGCAGGGGCCTCTGAATGGGAGGAAATCAGGACAACAATATGCTGAGTTTTTCACCACTGGCTGCTGGGCAATTCAGGATATTGAGCCCTGTGTGACCTTCCCAACAGAAAAATCACCTTTGGATACAATAGCAGAGTGGTGTTCAGAATAATTCCCTAGAAAAACAAACTAAGTTTTGCACCTTAGAAAGGAGGAAACTACAGTCTGTCTTACTGTCCTTCACTCTGTGCCAAACCCTGCATTAAGCACTTTTCTGTGCTCTCACTTGTTCCTCACATCACTTTGTGAGGAATGTTCAGTACAATTATCATGCCCATTTCACAGATGAGGAAACTGAGCCCAAAGAGGAGAGGTATCTTACCCATTCATATTCCATAACCAGCTAAGAAACAATTCCGCATCACTGGGTGCGGTGGTGCACGACTGTAATCCCAGTACCTTGGGAGGCCAAGGTGGGCAGATCACCTGAGGTTGGGAGTTCAAAACCAGCCTGACCAACATGGTGAAACCCCCTCTCTACTAAATACAAAAAATTAGCTGGGTGTGGTCGCATGCCTGTAATCCCAGGTACTCGGGAGGCTGAGGCAGGAGAATTGCTTGAACCTGGGATGCAGAGGTTGCAGTGAGCCACGATCATGCCACTGCACTCCAGCCTGGGCAACAAGAGCGAAACTCTGTCTAAAAAAAAATAATAATAATAAAAATCAAATTCAAAACAGAATACATTCAGCTCACACCAAATCCTTTCCTTTTTTTTTTTTTTTTTTTTTTGAGATAGTCTTTCTCTATCGCCCAGGCTAGAGTGCAGTGGCTCAATCTCACTCATTGCAACTTCTACCTCCTGGATTCAAGTGATTCTCCTGCCTCAGCTTCCCGAGTGGCTGGGACTACAGGCGTGCACCATCATGCCTGGCCAATTTTTGTATTTTTAGTAGAGATGGGGTTTCACCATGTTAGCCTTGGCTGGTCTCGAACTCCTGACCTCAAGTGATCTGCCCGCCTTGGCCTCCCAAATTGCTGGGATTACAGGCATGAGCCACCACACATGGCTTGTAGTATTATTTACAGTGAAAACTGGAAACAATTTAAATGCCCATAATTAGAAAATGATTGATCATGGTATGTTCAAAAGATGGCATACGATACACATGTTAAAAATCATCTTTCTTTTGCCTTATAGAAATATTTATCAATCTAGCATATGGCATATGTGCACAATACAAATGTAATATGACATTCAAGGATGTAATTGCTAAGATTGCCATATCATTCTCTTTGGTATAAGAAAATAATAGATTGAGTATCAGAATCTGAAAGGCACAGGACTCCAGGAGAAAAGGAGTCCAGGAAAAGATAGAAATGCTCTTTAAAGGGCATCACGATATAGGACATGTGTGCAATTAGCTCAGTCTTGAAAAGCTTGATGTAAGATTAAAAAAAAAAAAATCACCAGCATCCTTAATTGTGTACACATTTGTTGAGTGCTTACTATACGCAGACACTGGAGACTCAATGATGGAGAGAAAACGTTCCTATCTTTCTGAGCAATGCAGTCTGCATAAGAAGGCATTGTTGGCCAGCACAATGGCTCACACCTGTAATCCCAGCACTTTGGGAGGCAGAGGCAGGCGATCACTTGAGGTCAGGAGTTCAAGACCAGCCTGGACAACATGATGAAACCCCATCTCTACCAAAAATACAAAAAAATAGCTGGGCGTGGTGGCACATGCCTGTAATCCCAGCTACTCGAGGGGCTGAGGCAGGGGAATCGCTTGAGCCCGGGAGGTGGAGGTTGCAGTGAGCTGAGGTCACACCATTGCACTCCAGCCTGGACAACAAAGTGAGACTCTGTCTCAGAAAAAAAGAAAAACAAAGAAGTAATTGCTCTATCTAGTCTGTGGGTAGCATCAAATGACTGAGTTAGGAAAGATTTTCTCCATCTGATAATACTTAGAGGGGTGGTTCTCCAAGTGGGGTGATGTTCCCCGCAGGGGACATTTGGCAATGTCTGCAGACATTTTTGAATGTCACTTCTGGGGGGCGGGGGAGGAGTGCTTCGGGCACCTAGTGGTAGAGGTCAGGATAGTAAACATCCGACAAAGTACAGAACACCTCCTAAAACAAAGAATTATGTGGCTCAAATATCAATAGCGCTGAGATGGATAAACTCTGACTTAGACCATCAGGATTCTTTCTTGGAAGTTACAGAGTTACGTTTCATGGTGGGAATGGGGAGGGAGTGTCCCACAAGGAGATGGCAGCCTTGCAGAGACGTGAGTGCAGGAGGGAAAAGGATTTACCTGGGTGATCGGGAAGCTTGTTAGGCAAAACTATGGGTGGAGACAGTCCCAATTTACTGAGAATGCTACTCCAAACGTTAATTTGTAAATTGCTTCTTTGGCATATCTTGGATCCCTTCCATGCCTCCTTCCAGAAGGAGACCATATGTTAAAAATGAAAGGCTCTGGAGATAAAATCAAAAGACCTGGGTTGAATCTCAACTTCATAATCATGAAAATCATTTTACTTTTCTAAGCCTCAGTTCCCACTTTTGAGAAGTGGGGATGCAAATGCTACCCCTCCCACTGCTGAGAAGAGAACAGTTGTTTGGGCTGCTTGGCTCTGGATACAGGCTCATGTGTAACTCTGACATTGTATGTTTATAACATATCAATAAATGAAAAGGGTGGTTATAAAGCAGTACATATTGTATGCATCCAATTTTTGTTCAATGTGAATGTCTGCTGAGAAAATAGTCGGGAAGTAATTATATCAAACAGCTAACATAAATTGTTCTTGAATGGCCAGAAACAAAAACCAAACCAAAACACGAACCAATATATTACCTTTGGTATTAGATAATAAATACATGTTATTGAAATTCATAAAAGTTATCTTTTTCAAAAGAGATTTTATGATATGAGAAATACTTAGGATGTAATTTAAGCAAAAACAAAAGCAAGTTAGAAATTGCATGAACTTGCCAGACAAGGCTCATGCCTGTAATCCCAGAACTTTGGGAAGGAGGATTGCTTGAGGCCAGAGTTCGAGACCAGCCTGGACAACACAGTGAGACCCCACCTCTAAAAAAATGAAAAAGAAATTAGCCAAGTATGGCAGCATACATCTGTAGTCCAGCTACTTGGGAGGCTGAAGCTGGAGGATCACTTGAGCCTAGAAGGTCAAGGCTGCAGTGAGCCATAATCATATCACTGCACTCCAGCCTGGGTGACAGAGTAAGACCTTGCCTCAAAAAAAAAAAAAAAGGGGTTGCACAGGCTTGCACTGTTCAACATGGTAGTCACCAGCCCCACGTGCCTACTGAACACTTGAATGTGGCTAACTCTGAATTCAGATGTGCAAGCATGTAAAATATCTCATTTTTAATTTAATAATCATAAAAATTGCTAAATGTTTATATTGATTATATGATAAAATGATATTGTTGAAATATTTGGTTGAATATAATATATTGTGCAGTGGCTCATGCGTGTAATCCCAGCACTGTGGGAGACCAGGGCGGGCGGATCACCTGAGGTCAGGAGTTTGAGACAAGCCTGACCAACATGGCGAAACCCCGTCTCTACTAAAAATATAAAAATTCAGCCAGGTATGGTGGCAGGCACCTGTCATCCCAGCTACTCAGGAAGTTAAGGCAGAAGAATCGCTTGAACCCAGAGGTTGCAGTGAGTCAAGATCATGCCACTACACTACAGCCTGGGTGAGACTCCATCTCAAAAAAAAAAAAAAAAAAAAAAAAAAAAAAAAAAAATATATATATATATATATATATATATACACACACACACACATACACACACACACAATTTCACCTGTTTTTATTTTTCTTTAATGAGGCTTCTGAAGCATTTTAAATTACATATATGGTTCACACCTGTGGTTTGCATATTTCCTTTGAATAGTGCTGATATAGACTGCAGAAACTTGACTATATAATGAAAAAATACAGAGAAAAAAAATAGAATGGAAAAATACCAAACTCATCACTGTGATAAAGTTTAAACGATAGGATTATAGGTGATTTTTTCTGCTTCTTTGCATTTTTCTGCACTTTCAAATATTCTACGGGGTCCAGATCTCCCTGTGATAATTTGGAAAAGGGCAAAAGGAGTCTAGAATCTCTCCTGTACTCCTGGGGCAAAAACTATTCTTCCTTAAAAAGATTACATCTTATGGGGACTGTTATTTTGTGAATTAAAAAATGGGGTGCCAGCTAGTCTCCATGGTTCTGGGTATGACGGAGAAGGTCCCACATTCTGATCCCTGCTCTGGGCGAGGAGGGGCATCTTCCTCCTGCCTTCCCCACAGAGAAGGAACCAAGGGTATGAGAACTATGAGAAGCAGCTCCGTGGATGCTCAGAACATCCCTGGGCAAGGAAGTGAGTCATCCGGTGAGTCAGCCCCGCCGCCCTGCTTTCATTCTTGGGATTGTTCCATGTCACTGCTCCTCTCTGTTACCCTTTCCCCCCCACCCCCGCATCACATGTGTGGTCTCAAGGCAGCCCAGGCAAATCGCACTAAGAAGGGCTCCTGGGTGCTCAGCACCTAAAGTGGGTCATTCATGGCACTGCCTGCGGTCACCCACAAGCTCGCCTCTTACTCTCATGTCAACTCATCCGGCAAAGGTGTTATTAGCATTCCCATTTCACAGATGAGAAAACGAGACAGAGAGAGGAGAAATACTTGGCCAAGGGCTCACAGGTAGGAACAGACTGGGTCCTGAGATTCAAGTTCAGGCTGATTCCAAAGCATGTGTTTCCTAGAACTTTCATCTAGGTCTGCCACAAACAGGACTGGGAAGTAATATATTTTTTTTTTTTTTGAGACGGAGTCTTGCTCTGTCGCCCAGGCTGGAGTGCAGTGGCGCGATCTCGGCTCACTGCAAGCTCTGCTTCCTGGGTTCACGCCATTCTCCTGCCTCAGCCTCCCGAGTAGCTGGGACTACAGGCGCCCGCCACCACGCCCGGCTAATTTTTTTGTATGTTTAGTACAGACGGGGTTTCACGTGTTAGCCAGGATGGTCTTCATCTCCTGACCTCGTGATCCACCCGCCTCGGCCTCCTAAAGTGCTGGGATTACAGGCGTGAGCCATCGCGCCCGGCCAAGACTGGGAAGTAATTAACTTGTGTCTTCCAAGCCTCCATTGCCCTAGATTTCAGGAGCCTGAGACCTTCATAAGGTCTGATCGCTCTCTTACAAAACAGGTCTCTGGGAAAGAGTCTAAGAATCTGATATCAGACATTTACAACGAAGTATGAATTTAGGCCCATCATTACTCCTTCGGTGAAAACCTGCAATGTGAAGTCTTATTCCAATTGTGGGGTGAAAGACTAAAAGGAATGTCTACCACTGGAATACACACTGGGGAGATGTCTGGGGAAGAAAGGGCGTGTGCTTAGAGCTACTCTCTGTTGAACCGGACCAGGAGCCACCCTGGGCCATCTGCTCGGGAACGCAGTCTTGCTTCCAGTTTACTAAACCAGGTGGGTGGGGCCAAGGCCCAGGAAGCAGACGCTCATGTGATGTAGCTGCCACAAGAATCCCACCCCCTACAGATTCCTCCAGTGGAGAGTCACACCTAGGGATTAAGCATTTCCCTTTCTTTTCAACCTTTTGATTTTTTGGTAATTTAATGTTTTTATAGGTAATCTGTTCACATGGTTCAAAAATTATATACATTACACACACACACACACACACACAATTTTCTTTCTCTTTCCCTTACCAAGTCCTCCTTCTCCCTAATTCTTATCCCACTCCCACAGTCTCTGATGTTATTAGTTTCTTGTGTATCTTTCCAGAGTTTCTTTATGCATATACAATAAATGCACACATGCACACACAGCCACCCTTCTTTTTATACAAAAGTTTCAGGCTCTTTTTACAAAAGTAAAAATGCTACAGGGAAGAACACATTGCAATAAACACTTGAATTTAAAGGAATCTAGCCGGGCACAGTGGCTCACATCTGTAATCCCAGCACTTTGGGAGGCCAAGGCGGGCAGATCACCTGAGGTCGGGAGTTGGAGACCAGCCTGACCAACATGGAGAAACCCCGTCTCTACTAAAAACACAAAATTAGCCAGGCGTGGTGGCGCATGCCTGTAATCCCAACTACTTGGGAGGGTGAGACAGGAGAATTGCTTGAACCCGGGAGGCAGAGGTTGCTGTGAGCCGAGATTGCACTGCTGCACTCCAGCATGGGCAAGAAGAGCAAAACTCTGTCTCAAAAAAAAAAAAAAAAAAAAAAAAAAAAAAAAAGGAATCTATAGGTATTTTCTTTCTGGGGCCACTAACTAGGCCCCAGTTTTTTTTTCAGCTTTTGCGTTTTTAATGTCAGGTTTAATAATGCATAATGTACATGCAGTAAAATGTATCCTTTTTAGTGGGCAGTTCTGCAAGTTGTCACAAATGTATACAGTCTCACAGCCACTACTATGATCAAGATGCAAAAGGGCCCGGCGCAGTGGCTCACGCCTGTAATCCCAGCACTTTGGGAGGCCGAGGTGGGTGGGTCACATGAGGCCAGGAATTCGAGACCAGCCTGACCAATGTGGTGAAACCCCATCTCTACTAAAAATACAAAAATTAGCCGGGCATGGTGGCGCATGCCTGTAATTCCAGCTATTTGAGAGGCTGAGGCAGGAGAATTGCTTGAACCCAGGAGGTGGAGGTTGCAGTCAGCCAAGATCATACCACCGCACTCCAGCCTGGGCAACAGAGTGAGACGCCATCTCAAAAAAAAAGAAAAAAAGATAAAAAAGACTTCTCCCACCCCCACCACCAAATTCTTTGATGCCCCTTTGCAGTCTCCTCTATTGCCACCCCCAACCCCTAGCAACCATTGGTATGTTCTCTGTGCTTCTAGCTTTATGTTTTCTAGAATGTCTCATAGATGGAATCATACATCATTCCACAAAAATATGCACTCTTTTGTGTCTTGCTTTTCTCACTTGGCAGAGTGCATGTGAGATTCATCTCTGTTGTTGTTGCATATGTCGTGCATGTTAATAGTCTGTTTCTCGTTATTGGCGAGTTGTATTCCATTATTTGGATGTACCACAGTTTGTTTATCTGTATATCAGTTGAAGAGTTAAAGGACATTTGGACATTCATTTGGGTTGCTTGCAGTTGGAGGATATCATTTCCATTACTTCTCTTCTTTTTTTTTTTTTTTTTTTTGAGACGGAGTCTTGTTCTGTCACCCAGGCTGGAGTGCAACGGCATGATCTCGGCTCACTGCAACCTCCGCCTCCTGGGTTCAAGTGATTCTCCTGCCTCAACCTCCTGAGTAGCTAGGACAACAGGCGCCCGTCACCATGCCCAGCTGATTTTTTTTTGTATTTTTAGTAGAGACGAGGTTTCACCATGTTGGCCGGTCTCAAACTCCTGACCTCAGGTGATCCACCTGCCTCGGCCTCCCAAAGTGCTTGGATTACAGGCGTGAGCCACCCTGCCCGGCCTCTCTCTCTTTTTTTTTTTTTTTTTTTTTTTTTTAGTGATAGGGTCTCACTCTGTGGCCCAAACTGGAGTGCAGTGGTGCCATAATAGCTCACTGTAGCCTGAAACTCCTGGGCTCAAGCAATCCTCTCACCTCAGCCTCTCAAGTATTAATAGCTGGGATTACAGACACATCACTGCCCCTGGCCATCTCATTTTTAATCTTTATAATAGCCCCATGACTTGGACTCACTAGCCTCATCCTAGAGGGGAAATCTGAGGGCAGGAGAGGTTCAGTGGCCTGCCCTCCCACATCACTCAGTGGATAAGTGGCAGAGATGGGATCTGAATTCAGATTTGACAGGAAAAAACCTTCTGCTGGGAACGGCGATGTGATCCTGTCTTCCTGCCACTATGTTCAAAGGAGCCAAAGACACCTAAGCTGTAAGGGCTAAAGGTATTAATAAAACACAAACTTCTCTTTCTAATTTTGGCTCCCTTACAAGAATTCAGACTAGTGGTGAGAGGAAATACTAACAGGGGCCCCTCTAGGCTGGCAGCACGCTCTACTGCCTTGAGCCTACCAACTTTCCCAAAGGGAATGATTCCTAATGTTTTCGAGTGGGTATGGAATGTGCTCTTAAAAGTTTATAGTTCACTTAATACGCATCATCTCATCAAAGAACAACTTCACAGAGGGGTGGACCTGGCTCTCCCTGCAACCCACCTACAGAGCACGGACACCTGGTGAGCTTCGTGCTCAAGCCTATGAGTGACCCTTAGCATTTCCCTCAATTCTGAGCCGTACACCCCTCCCCTTGTGCAATGACAACCTGGCAATTCCATACGCCCTCCTGGCACGCCTGGATTGGCAGGGTGGTGGCCTGGAACGCCAGTCCTCCTCTTGGGAGTTTGTAAGGAATTAGGAGGGCCATATGAGCACCCAGAATGGGGCCTGGCACCCAGGAGACAGGCAGCAAATATTCTTCCCCTTCGCTTTGCTTAATACAAGAGTCAGGTACCATGCCAGCAAACGAGACACTGGAGGTTAGACCAATGTGCTGCGTGCCACAAGCAAGTCACCTCCTACTCCAATGCTTGCAGTTTCCACATTCATAATGTGGAGCAGGTCCAAGTTCATTAAATGGCATATAATTATATATGTAGCCTTTCTTTCAGGTGAAAGAGGAGGGATTAAGGAAAAAAAAACTCTATAATCTCCTGGGTACCCAGAGGGCCTTGCCCACCCCAAGCAGAGAAAAGATTTTACAACCATAGAGAAGCTATCAGACGCAGCTGGAAGAGACCTGAATCCTATTGATCACACAAAGCCAGGCCCACAAGGGGACATGAAAGAGTGTTTCACTGGTCATAGAATAAATAGATTTTCTGTGTCACACTTATTGTAGAAGTCTCTATAAAGTGGATTGTGGAGATAGCGACCTAGAGGGCACAGATACTTCACTGGGGTGAAATGAGACCATTGTGTATGAGCCAGCGGTCTCATGTTAATTCTATTTGGCCCACACATAGGGTGACCAACTCATCCTTATGTGCAGTGGAAGTTCCACATCCCAGCCGGGCGCAGTGGCTCACGCCTGTAATCCCAGCATTTTGGGAGGCCAAGGTGGGCAGATCACCTGCGCTCGGGAGTTCGAGACCAGCCTCACCAACATGGAGAAACCCCGTCTCTACTAAAAACACAAAAAATTAGCCAGGCGTGGTGGCGCATGCCTGGAATCCCAACTACTCAGGAGGCTGAGGCAGAAGAATCGCTTGAGCCTAGGAGGCGGAGGTTGCGGTAGCCGAGATCGCGCCATTGCACTCCAGCCTGGGCAACAAGAGCAAAACTCCGTCTCAAAAAAAAAAAGAAAGAAAGAAAAGAAAAGAGAAAGAAAGTTCCACATCCCAGGAAACCCCTTATCCTAGACATCACAGGAAACAACTCAGTCCTGGACAAACCGGGATGGTTGGTCACCCTTCTTACATGATCATTTCTTAAAGCCGAATTCATAACCAACATTCACAACTGAGAGGATTTCTCATGAAATATTCCAAATGTCCAGAATCTCTTAAAAACTGGACAGCTTGGTAACTCTGCACCCAAATTTTGCACATGGAAACAATTGGCTGGTGTTGAGCGGTAGCAGCTTCTCCCCGATGGATCAAGCACTCACTGCTTTGCCACAGTCCCCATCACTCCTTGTCTTACATACACCCGTCCACTTCACTCCAGGTATTACCTGCCTGGCTCCTGTAGCATTAGAGTTTGCAACCCTTGAGGTAAATGTACTCTAGCCTTTGAAGAGCTTACAAATTTAAGAGATGGCCGTGCACAATGGCTCTCACCTGTAATCCCAGCTACTTGGGAGGCCAAGGTGGGAGGACTGCTTGAGGCCAGGAGTTTGAGACCAGCATGGGCAACATTGGGAGACTCCTGTCTCTATAAAAATTTTTTTCTTAAAATTATCCGGTTTGGTGGCATGTGCCTATAGGCCCAGCCACTCCAGAGGCCAGCCTGGGCAACAGCGGGAGACCCCCGTCTCTAAAAAACAAACAAACAAAAACTTAAGAGACGAAACTTTTAAAAGCTGACCCTGGGTTACTCCTTTCCAAATGTTCCAAGATAGGAATATTTTAGTGGCTACAAAACACCATCAATTTTCTTCTTCTTTTTTTGAGACGGATCTCGCTCTGTTGCCCAGGCTGGAGTGCAGTGGCACAATCTCGGCTCACTGCAACCTCCACCTCCCCGTTCAAGCAATTCTCCTGCCTCAGCCTCCCGAGTAGCTGGGATTACAGGTGCATACCACCATGCCCTGCTAATTTTTGTATTTTTAGTAGACACGGGGTTTCACCATCTTGGCCAGGCTGGTCTCGAACTCCTGACCTCAGGCAATCCACCCACCTCGGCCTCCCAAAGTGCTGGGATTACAGGTGTGAGCCACCGCGCCTGGGCAAAACACCATCAATTTTCTTACTTGTGCTCTTACTTAATAAACAAAGTAATGTAAACAGTGAGACTTTACACTGTTTGCCATAAAACTTAGTGGTGGTGGTGTTCAACGTAAAAAAAAAAAAATTAAAACTCCGCTGTTTTCATCTTGAATTGACCCTCAAGCACAAATTCTAGTTGCAAGTAATAGAAACCGAATCTAAAGTAGTTTCAGGAGAGAGACTGATTTAATGACTTCTGTAATCAAATTACAGACCAGTGGGAGTGGGTATCTGGATCCACGGTCAACTGGATTCAGAAACTCCAGTTCTGCTCAAGCCAGAATTCTGTTCCAGGTTCTCTGCAAATCGGCTTCATTCTCTCAGGCCAGCTACTCCACAGGGAAGGGGAAATGAACAAAGGCAGCTCTGAGCTGACATCCTTACTATTTGAAACCCAAAAGGTGGAAATGTTGTGGAGAGAGGGAGTACACTTTTTTCTACTAGTTGGAAAAATCCTAGGAAAGAATTTCTGTTCCTGGGCCTATCTAGGGTCTGTTCCCAGAAGAAAGGAGGGATGGGTTTCAAGCAGGCCCAAATCATATCTACCAACAGGTCACTCTCTGTGGGTTTTAATGATCTTTAGAGTCCTCCAGGTTGGAAGCTCTTCTCTGTAGTCTAGTTTTTTTGGTAGCAGTGATAGTAACCATAATTGCTTACAATGCGCCAGACACTATTTTCATTGCTTTGCATATTACATGCATGTGCATAAATACATATTATCTCACTTAATCCCCTCAACAACCCCCTAAGGGAGTTTATTCTCCCTGTTTTACAAATTTGGAAACTAAGACACAAAGCAGTTAAGTAGTTGAGACGCTTGCCAAGTGGGCCCGACATCAGCTGTGAACTGAACCCAGGCGGCCTAGCCAGAAATCACAGGGCCCAATCATATCACAGCTGCCTATCTGAGAGAGCTATATACTAGACTATAAAAGATTTGTCACAAACGCCTGCGTGCTGGCAATGCGCAAAGGTGTGACCAATAATGGTGTGGCTTTCCATCTGTGAGCGTGGGTTGGGGACTGGGTGAGAGGTCTCCCAGATTCCTGCCATGCTTGCTACCTGTGCTGGGAAATCCGGCTTTGATCTGCCCCTGGAGCCACCGGGCACAGCACTATCTGTTTATCTAGCTCTCCGCCAGGCACCTTGCCTCAGACTCTCCCGCTGCTGCATTTTTACTTCTCATCAAATCTGCATCCAGTGACCCGAGTCCTGCATCAGTAATCAGAAAAATCATGTTTTGATTTTTTGTTTTGTTTTGTTTTGTGTTCCTAGTCTAGACTCTGTTTCTAACAGAATACAAATAGCAACATGTTTGTTGATTGTCTGGGTTTTAGAGGACTTAAACTCAATTGAACAAATGCGTAGTGAGTTTCTACAATGAGCCTATGTGGCCAGAGGTTATAGCAACAAGTGAGAAGCAGATTCTGCCCTTAACAACCAAAAAGCTACATTTTTAAAAAAGGACTTATCTCTAAACTCTCCGTTCTGGATTAGGCAAAAGCTTTCTGGATGGTCTGGGTCCCTTCAGTTTCTCGATGTTTTCAATTCTTTGAAAGAGCTGCAGCCAGTCTAGTGGCTGTAGAATGCCGCTTTCATCGACAGCAGGAACGTCTTTCCTCCCACCCCAGGACTAAATCGGACCTTTAAATCAGGCCTTCTCCCTTACCTTGGGGTAACCCAACCCAAGTGAATTGATTTGCTCCCTGCATTGTTAACCTGTGGGAATTAAGCTTGTCTATTGTTGTCTCCTGGTGCACACCCCTTCTTTGTAATTGACCTTCATCCAGAATTCTTGGTAGGCTTAGGCAGCCATATTTTAATCACATGATTTTCTTCTTGGCCACAGCTGATTGGTTCTGAGTGATCACCTGACCCAGCCCATGGGCTGAACTGAGCCAATCGGCTTCTTTGTCCTTCAGAGTCTGACTTAAATAGTTCAGAGAGTGAATGAGGAAGGTTGGGCCTGGAGCAGGAGAGTATTGTGGCATTAAGATGTCAAGCTTGCACCAGGTAAAATCCTAATAAGAGAGATAAGCCAGAGGATGAAGCCTATGTACAGAAAAGAGCAGAAGTAAGAGACCATCCATGAGGCATGATCGCAAGAGAGGAAAGGAGAGAAGGAGGAGGGTCGGTGCCCAATTTACCAGGTCTCTTTTGAATCCATGTCTTAGCCTTGGATGTCTGATGCACCTTTCAATAAACTCCCAATTTATTTGAGCAAGTTTGGTACGGCCTCAGTTTCATGCAACTTAATTGATTAGAATATCAAAATATTTTGCCCATATTATGATTATCACAGTTATTACAATAAAAGATAGATATTCTGCCTATCCCCAACAGATGGTCATGTCTTTTTTTCATCTTTCTGTCTCCACTACTTTCCCTTGCCTCTGTGCCTAGAGCGTAGCATGTGCTCAATAAAAGCTTGATGAAAGAATGAAGGAATGTTCATCTCCTCTAAATTTCTCTGCCTGGCTTTCCAGCCTTCCCCCATCTGGCCCCGTATCTAACCTCATTACCCACTACTCCTTACTCCACACCCTCCACTGTGGTTAAACCAGTCTCACCAAGGCATCCGGCTCATTTCTCTGGGCCTTTCCTCATGCTGGAATGCCCTCCTCCCTCTTCTTCACCTACTTATCCTTCTTAAATCAGCCCCCTCCTTCTCCATCCATTCTTCAGACATTTACTGAATGCCCACTGTGTGTCAGACATTATGCTAAGCGCTGGGCTACAGTGGGGAAAAAAACAGATGTGCTTTCTGTAGCCATGTTACTTATTGTAAAAGGGGAAAGATGTATTCGTTTTGAAGAGAAACCAGAGTATATGTTGCTTATTGTCTTACAAACCTTCCCTGTGAAGTTTCCTCCAAGAGCTGCACCACCCCCCGCCATCTCCTGCTCATCTTCCTCCTCGCTTACCTCGTTTAATTCTTCCTAACTCACATCACTGTTTGTTAACAGGTTCTCTTGAGTTTGTTTTGCCCACCAAGCCTCCTCCTATTAACTGGATTTTATGTGTCTTCAGGGCTGAAGCCTGAATCTTGTACTTTTTCTATTTATACTTACGTGGCTCAGCAACAGGGACACAGTGGGCACCTAAAAAATAACTCTTCACTGCCTGCCTGCTTGATCAAAAATGTCTCCTGCCCTCCTGGCCTGGTAAATGAAAGGACAGAGAGGTATTTGTCTGTCTTTGCAATCCCAGGAATAAACATCAGCCTGGATTTCAGCTGATCCCCATAACCCTGGCCATAAAGCACCATCTAAAGCCAGGGGAGAGATGAACAAATAGAGGTTGTATTTGTTCTGTTTAGTCCCGGGTACTCTGGGGGAAGGCTTCACAGACCTCCTCACCACAAACCCATGCTAACAAACAAGAAGCCACTTCTCTGGCAGTCTCCTGTACAGTGTCCTTTTACCTGGGAGTCAGCTCCCTTGTCTCCAGCCCTTTTGAAAGACACCTTTCAGCTCTGTGTCTTTACTGGGTGGAAGGGAAAGAAAAATTAGGGGCACTAGATTTCATTCTCTCCCCAGACATAAGCAAAGGTAGTCCACCCCAGACCGAGCTCAGCAAAACCTCACCACAGAGTTTCTCTGCATAAAGAAAGTGCCTTTTTGAAACACAAAGTCAGTCTTTCAAATCAGGAAGGGAAAAAATAACCCACCAACCAACCCCAAACCTGCACTTGGCCAAAATCCTGAGGTTGGTGGCAGGATTGAACTGAATCATTTCTCTTTACTCTGATTGCATCAGCGACAGGCAGCTACTTGGTCCCCAGAAGAGGCCTCATGCCATGTTTGTGCCTAATTTTGATTCCTTATTTTCTTGTAAGCAAAGCCATCTTAACTAATGTGAGATGGGAATTGGGTTCAACCCAGGTGGCTGAGGCCAGAAACTGATAGTTGTGAGACAGAAACTGTTATACCCATTAGGGGCTGTTCCTCTTAAGTCTAAACTAGCTCCATCTCTCTGTTCCCTGTTTGAGAGGTTCCATGATACCTTTGACATGAAGTCCTAGCTCTTAAGTATCCTAAGTTCTATGTAGTGATAACTACAACTTTTTGAGCAAAGTCTTCCTAAGTACTCTGCCCTTGCCTAGACATTATATATAAAGTATTTCACTGGATCCTTTAAGAAAACAAACACCCCATGAGGTAGGTGCTATGGTTAGATCCATTTTATAGATATGGAAACTGAGGCCCAGAGAAATTAGGTGCCTTGTGCATAGCTGAGGCGGGACTTGGACCCAGGCTGCTGACTACAAAGCCTACACTCTTTTTTTTTTTCTTTTTTTTTGAGACAGAGTGTTGCTCTTGTTGCCCAGGCTGGAGTGCAATGGTGCGATCTCGGCTCACCGCAATCTCCACCTCCAGGGTTCAAGCAAGTAGCTGGGATTCCAGACATGTGCCACCATGCCCAGCTAATTTTGTATTTTTAGTAGAGATGGGGTTTCTCCATGTTGGTCAGGCTGGTCTCAAACTCCTGACCTCAGGTGATCTGCCCGCCTCAGCCTCCCAAAGTGCTGGGATTACAAGTGTGAGCCACCAAGTCCAAAAGCCCACACCCTTAATCACTGTGCAAATGAGTCTCCCTTTCTTCTCACCTTTCCAAGGACCCCCCATTCTCTAAAGACTGAAGGAAATTCCACCCCCTTCCAGATATCTGCAGCCCACTCTGAGCTCTCCCTTAACTGACTGACTTCCTCTAGTCTGTTAACACCTCGCAGGACATTTTGAAATCATCATTCATTTGTGCAATAATTATTGAGCACCTATGTATGCCAGACGCTGTTCTAGGAGACCCAGCTGTGAACAGAACAGACAAAAGTCCTTGCCCTCACGGACTTTACATTCTATGGAAGCAGACTGACACGCAAAAATACAAATACACTTTGGGAGGCTGAGGCGGGTAGATCGCTTGAGCCCAGGAGTTAGAGACCAGCCTGGGCAACAGGGTGAAACCCCATCTCTACAAAAAATATAAAAATTGGCCTGGAGTGGTGCTGTGTCCCTGTAGTCCCAGCTACTCCGGTGGCTGAAGCTGGAGAATGGCTTAAGCTCAGGAGTTTGAGGCTGCAGTGAGCTGTGATGATGCCACTGCACTCCAGCCTGGACAACAGAATGAGACCCCATCTCAAAAAAAAAAAAAAAAAAAAAGAATATAAATACGTAAAAAAATTATATTAAGGCCAGGCGTGGTAGCTCACACTTGTAATCCCAGCACTTTGGGAGGTCAAGGCAGTGGATCACCTGAGGTCAGGAGTTCGAGACCAGCCTGGCCACCATTGTGAAACCCTGTCTCAACTGAAAATACAAAAATTAGCTGGGCATGGCGGCACACACCTGTTGTCCCACCTACTTGGGAGGCCGAGGCAGGAGAATGGCTTGAATCTCGGAGGAGGAGGTTGTAGTGAGCCAAGATCACGCCAATGAACTCCAGCCTAGGTGACAGAGCAAGACTCCATCTCAAAAAAAAAAAAAAAAAAAAAAAGAAAAGAAAAAAACTGTATTAGATAGCAATAAGTGCTAAATTGAGAAATAAGACAGAGAAAGGAGATAGAGAATGTGTCAGAAAAGGTAGAATTGCACACAGAGTGGCCAGGGCAGGCCTTACTGGGAATGTGATACCAAACTTCAGAGCTAAGAAGACTGAGGCATGGAAAGGGAAGGGCATTTGAAATGGAGGGAAGGGAAACTACAAGGGCACAGAGGCCGACGTGTGCCTGCTGCACTCAAGGAACAACGAGGGGACCAGCGTGACGGGAGGAGGACAAGTGAAGGCAAGCATAGTTAGGAATGCAGTGAGAGAGGTGAGAAGAGGACACCAGCCTCTGTGGAGGCCTGCAGAGCCTGGCGAGGGTGTTGGTGTTTATTCCGAGTGGAATGGGGAGCTCGTAGAGGATTCTGAGTAGCCTAGTGTGGGGTGGGAAAGTGTGATGCCTTTCCTCACCCATCATAAAGGTCACTGCCAACACTCCTATAACAAAAGATAGGTTAACAAGAGAAAAGCCTAACACGTTTGTTTGTTTATTTATTTATTTGAGACTGAGTTTCATTCTTGTCCCCCAGGCTGGAGTGCAATGGCGCAATCTGGGCTCGCTGCAACATCTGCCTCCTGGGTTCAAGCGATTCTCCTGCCTCAGCCTCCTGAGTAGCTGGGATTACAGGTGCCCGCCACCACGCCCGGCTAATTTTTGTATTTTTAGTAGAGACGGGGTTTCACCATGTTGGCCAGGCTGGTCTCTAACTCCTGACCTCAAGTGATCCGCCTGTCTTGGCCTCCTAAAGCGCTGGGATCACAGGCCTGAGCCACCACGCCTGGCCCTTACACATTTATTTAATCAAAGGTTTTTTTTTTTTTTAATGCTTTAAGTTCTAGGGTACATGTGCACAACATGCAGGTTTGTTACATATGTATACATGGGCCATGTTGCTGTGCTGCACCCATTAACTCATCATTTACATTAGGTATATCTCCTAATGCTATCCCTTCCCCCTCCCCCAACCCCACGACAGGCCCCGGCGTGTGATGTTCTCCACCCTGTGTCCAAGTGTTCTCATTGTTCAATTCCCACCTATAAGTGAAAACATGTGGTGTTTGGTTTTCTGTCCTTGTGATAGTTTGCTCAGAATGATGGTTTCTAGCTTCATCCGTGTCCCTACAAAGGACATGAACTCATCCTTTTTTATGGCTGCATAGTATTTCCATGGTGTATATGTGCCACATTTTCTTAATCCAGTCTATCATTGATGGATATATGGGTTGGTTCCAAGTCTTCGCTATTGTGAATAGTGCCGCAATAAACATATGTGTGCATGTGTCTTTATAGCAGCATGATTTATAATCCTCTGGGTATATGCCCAGTAATGGGATGGCTGGGTCAAATGGTATTTCTAGTTCTAGATCCTTGAGGAATTGTCACACTGTCTTCCACAATGGTTGAACTAGTTTATAGTCCCACCAACAGTGTAAAAGCATTCCTATTTCTCCACATCCTCTCCAGCACCTGTTGTTTCCTGACTTTTTAATGATCGCCATTCTAACTGGTGTAAGATGGTATCTCATTGTGGTTTTGATTTGCATTTCTCTGATGGCCAGTGATGATGAGCATTTTTTCATGTGTCTGTTGGCTGCATAAATGTCTTCTTTTTAGAAATGTCTGTTCATATCCTTTGCCCACTTTTTGATGGGGTTGTTTGATTTTTTTTCTTGTAAATTTGTTTAAGTTCTTTGTAGATTCTGGATATTAGCCCTTTGTCAGATGGGTAGATTGTAAAAATTGTCTCCCACTCTGTAGGTTGCCTGTCCACTCTGATGGTAGTTTCTTTTGCTATGCAGAAGCTCTTTCGTTTAATTAGATCCCATTTGTCAATTTTGGCTTTTGTTGCCATTGCTTTTGGTGTTTTAGTCATGAAGTCCTTGCCCATGCCTATGGCCTTAATGGTATTGCCTAGGTTTTCTTCTAAGGCTTTTATGGTTTTAGGTCTAACATTTAAGTCTTTAACCCATCTTGAATTAATTTTTGTATAAGGTGTAAGGAAGGGATCCAGTTTCAGCTTTCTAAATATGGCTAGCCAGTTTTCCCAGCACCATTTATTAAAGAGGGAATCCTTTCCCCATTTCTTGTTTTTATCAGGTTGTCAAAGATCAGATGGTATTATTTCCGAGGCCTCTGTTCTGTTCCGTTGAACTATATCTCTGTTTTGGTACCAGTACCATGCTGTTTCGGTTACTGTAGCCTTGTAGTATAGTTTGAAGTCAGATAGCCTGATGCCTCCAGCTTTGTTCTTTTGGCTTAGGATTGTCTTGGCAATGCAGGCTCTTTTTTGGTTCCATATGAACTTTAAAGTAGTTTTTTCCAATTCTGTGAAAAAAGTCATTGGTAGCTTGATGGGGATGGCATTGAATCTATAAATTACCTTGGACAGTATGGCCATTTTCACAATATTGATTCTTCCTATCCATGAGCATGGAATGTTCTTCCATTTGTTTGTGTCCTCTTTTATTTCGTCGAGCAGTGGTTTGTAGTTCTTCTTGAAGAGGTCCTTCACATCCCTTGTAAGTTGGATTCCTAGGTATTTTATCCTCTTTGAAGCAATTGTGAATGGGAGTTCACTCATGATTTGGCTCTCTGTTTGTCTGTCATTGGTGTATAGGAATGCTTGTGATTTTTGCACATTGATTTTGTATCCTGAGACTTTGCTGAAGTTGTTTCTCAGCTTAAGGAGATTTTGGGCTGAGATGATGGAGTTTTCTAAATATGCAATCATGTCATCTGCAAACAGGGACAATTTGACTTCCTCCTTTTCTAATTGAATACCCTTTATTTATTTCTCTTGCCTGATTGCCCTGGCCAGAACTTCCAACACTATGTTGAATAGGAGTGGTGAGAGAGGGCATCCCCGTCTTGTGCCAGTTTTCAACGGGAATGCTTCAAGTTTTTGCCCATTCAGTATGATATTGGCTGTGGGTTTGTCATAAATAGCTCTTATTGTTTTGAGATACGTCCCATCAATACCTAGTTTATTGAGAGTTTTTAGCATGATATTTAATCAAAGTTTTACATGACACAGGGAACTTCAGAAATGAAGACCTAAACACCCCGGGAAAACTGTCCATTTTTCTGCTTAGCTTCAAGGAAGAATGGGCGGCTGTGTAGAGATGTGATTAGTCAAGGGGGGTATGATCTAATGCAAACAGACTGAGGGGGAAACCTAGCAAGGCCTGTCTGTGCCGATTCTTCTTGGCCTTTCTGTGTAGCATTTCTTCCTCTCAGATATAGGGTAGGACCTTTCTGGAAAGAGGGCCTTATGACTTACTCTCAGATGAGGGAGGTCAGAGAATTTCTTAATGGCCAGCTCCTCCACAGAAAGGTGGGCGAAGGTTAGAGTGAGTGATATTTCTAGGGGGAGAAATATCACTTTGGGGGAGAGGGGTTCTACATTTTTGGGTGTTTTGTTTTTGTTTTTTGAGATAGAGTCTCACTCTGTCGCCCAGGCTAGAGTGCAGTGGCGCAATCTTGGCTCACTGCAAACTCCGCCTCCCGGTTCAAGCCATTCTCCCGCCTCAGCCTCCCGAGTAGCTGGGATTACAGGCATGTGCCACCGCGCCTGGCTAATTTTTGTATTTTTGGTAACGACGGGGTTTCACCATATTGGTCAGGCTGGTCTCAAACTCCTGACCTCAGGTGATCCACCCACCTTGGCCTCCCAAAGTGCTGGGATTACAGGCGTGAGCCACTTTGCCCCACCCAGGTTTCTAGTTTTTATGATGTGGCTTGGAGAAAGAGGAATTCTGGTTTCTATGACTCACTTCAGTGGAGAAAAAGGGGCAGGAGATAGGAGGGCAAGAAAATGTCAGAGAGATACTTTGCTTCTGAGGCCTTCTAATGTCCTTTAGTTCAAAGTACTAAGCCTGCCAAAGCACTATACTTTGGGGTATCATTTTCTGAGCCCTAACATTTGCATTTTAACAGTACAACTCTGGGCCAGGTGTGGTGCGTCATACCTATAATCCCAGCACTTTGGGAGGCCAAGGCGGGTAGATCACCTGAGGTCAGGACTTTGAGACCAGCCTGGCCAACATGGGAAACACTGTCTCTATTAAAAATACAAAAATTAGCCGTGTGTGGTGGCAGATGCCTGTAATCCCACCTACTTGGGAGGCTGAGGCAGGAGAATCGCTTGAACCCAGGAGGTGGAGGTTGCAGTGAGTTGAGATCGCGCCATTGCACTCCAGCCCAGGCAACAGAGCGAGTCTCCACCTCAAAAAAAAACAAAACAAAACAAACAAAAAAACAGTACGACTATGGCCATTGTGTTGAGAGCAGACTGAGGAAGCACAAGGCAGGGATGCTGTGAATAATGGTGGAGGCTGATGGTGGCTTGGATGGAGGGAGTGAAGGTGGCAAGAGTAGTTGGATTCTGTGTTTTGAAGTTAAGTCAACAAAATTTCCTGACAGTTTGGAGGTGGGAGGTGAGAGAAAGGGAGGAGTTAGGAATGACACCCAGGTTTTTGGCCTGAGCATCAGGAAGAATGGAGTTGCCATTTACTGAGATAACCGTGGGAGGAATGGGTTTGGAGGAGGGATCAGGAGCTCAGCGTTGGACATGATGCATTTGAGATGCCTACTAGGGACCTAGGTGGAGATGAGTAGGTGGTTCAACAAGCAGTTCTGAAGTTTAGGGGAGAGAGCTGGCTGGAAACGCCAATGCGGAAGTTATGAGGGTATAGATGGTATTTTTTAAAGTCACAAAAGTGGGTGAAGTCATCAAGGAAGTGAAAGTAGCTTAAGAAGAGAGGTCTAAGGATCATGCCCTGGGGCACTCCAACATTTAGATGAGGAGGAACCCGCAGGAGCAGACCAAAAAAATAAAATAAAATAAAATAAGGAGGTAAGAAGAAACTTACTTGAAGAGCGTTTCAAGATAGAGGGAAAGGTTGACTGTGTCAAATGCTTCCCATTGGTCAAGTAACAAGAGGACTGAAACTTGACCCATCAGATGAAAATAAGAAATGCTTAATTAAATAGTGCTCTTGCTTAGTTTAGATGTGGATTCCTCTAGACTTCTCGGTAAGACTAGGCAGGGCAGGGATTTTGTCCTTGAGTTCTGTATCTTACTCTCATCTCACCACCATATTTCTGTTCCTTCCTCCCCTGTCCTCTTACCCCCATTCCCCCATACACCTCCATCCAGGCTTTGCTGAGGTCTGAGGATTGGCTCAGCCAAGGGACCCTCAAGCCTGAGCTGAA
Source organism: Homo sapiens (assembly GCF_000001405.40). Taxonomy (NCBI): domain Eukaryota; kingdom Metazoa; phylum Chordata; class Mammalia; order Primates; family Hominidae; genus Homo; species Homo sapiens. The sequence continues at coordinate 69,514,040 of NC_000016.10, read as the reverse complement.
GCACTAGAACAATCTCTTAGGCAAGTCACTGCTTCCCAGATTTGGCAAAGGAAGTGAGCTGCAACCACCACTTTCAAGCAAAGAAGATGGAAGGGATAACTCAGGGTGGTAGAAGGGGAATATGCTGACATCTCTGTAAAGGGAAGACAAATTTTGCTTGTAAAAAAATGCCCATGGCAATTTTTGTGGTTGTAAGGAAGCAAAGGAATTTCTCCTGGGCTGCTTGGCTCCATGGTTTAGGTCATTAATAAGTCTTTTCTAGTTGGATTCATCCTGCAGCCTAGATGAGGGTAGAGGTTGAGAACTAAATTCCTCTGCACTGAGTTCTTCCCTGGCAGGTGAGGGAGACAGGCGTGTCAGAGCCTGGGAACTGGGAGAAGGGAGATGTGAGCAAGATGGCTGGCAAAGAATTCCCAGGGGTGGGGCTGGGCTGAGGAACCTGTTTTAGGAGGAGTGAGGGCTAACATTAATTTTTGAAAAACTTTTCACTGGAGCATATAATAGATAATAGGGAGAAGTATGTGCCACTCAATGAATTTTCACAAACTGTGCAGACTCATATAACCAGCACCCAAGTCAAGCAACAGAAGCTTACTCAAGGACACCCAGGAGCCCCCCATGTCCTCTTCTAGCCATGACTCGGCCCAAGGGCAATCACTAGCCTGACTCTGAATGGCATGAACTTGTTTTGCCTGTTTCTACACCTTATATGAATGGGTCTTATATTTTATGTCTGACTTCTTTCACTTAACATTATATTTGTGAGATTCATTCATGCTGTTGCATATACTCATAGATCTTTCATTCTGATTATTATATACTCTTCCATTACATGATTATACCACAATGTATTGTTGATGGACATATAAGTGGTTTCCACTTGGGGGCCATTACAAATGGTGCTGCTATAAACATATTTGGACATGTCTAATACTCAAGTTCCCCCCAAGAGTTTACTTTGAAATTTTTCAAACATATAGAAATGTTGAAATAATTGTACAGTCAATAACTATTATGAACCAACCACTCATATTCTAAATTAAAATTTTATATTTGCTTTATCACTTATCTATCCTATATCCATTTATCAATTCATCTTTTTTTTTTTTTTTTTTTTGAGACAGAGCCTTGCTCTGTTACCCAAGCTGGAGTACAGTGGCTCCATCTCAGCTCACTACAACCTCTGCCTCCCAGGTTCAAGCCAGCCTCCCACCTCAGCCTCCCAAGTAGCTGGGACTACAGCTGCATGCCACCACATTTGACTAATTTTTGTATTTTTTGTAGAGATGGGGTCTCACTATGTTGCCCACGCTGATCTCAAACCTCTGAGCTCAAGCAATCCAGCCACCTCAGTCTCCCAAAGTGCTAGGATTACAGGTGTGAGCCACCATGCCTGGCCAATTCATCTTTTTTTTTTTTTAACGCATTTTTAAAATGCATGTGTTGGCTGAGCGCGGTGGCTCAAGCCTTAATCCCAGCATTTTGGGAGGCCAAGGCGGGCAGATCACTTGAGGTCAGGAGTTTGAGACCAGCCTGGCCAAAATGCTAAAACCCCAACTCTACTAAAAATACAAAAAATTAGCTAGTGTGGTGGCAGGTGCATGTAATCTCAGCTACTCAAGAGGCTGAGGCAGGAGAATCACTTGGACCCGGGAGGCGGAGGTTGCAGTGAGTCAAGATCGTGCCATTGCACTCCAGCCTGGGCAACAGAGCAAGACTCTGTCTCAAAAATAAAAATAAAAAATAAATGCATGTGTAGAGTAAACTCTACACAGCAGTCCACTTTACCCTCAAACATTTCAATATCATTCACAAAGGTTTAATATTTATTTATGAGTTTTTCTTTGAGGGAAAATTTCTACAAAGTGAAATGCATGTATGTGAACTGTGCCATTCAATGAGTTTAAGAAATGTATGCACCTGTGTAACCTATACCCCTGTCAAAACATGAAACATTATCACCCAGAAAGTTCCCTCAGGCACCTACCCAATTTCCCTCACCACCATTGTGTTCTCATTTTTTGCACCATAGATTAGCTTTGCCAGATTTAGAACTTCATATAAATACCATCATACAATATGCACTTGTTTGTCAACAGCTTCTTTCACTCAGCGCGGTTTTGAAATTTATTTATGGTGTTGCATGAACAACTTGTTCCTCTTTATTGCTGAGTAATATTCTCTTGTATGAATACACCACAATTTCCTTATCCATCCCCCTGTTGACCAACATCTGGAAGGTTTCCAGTTTTTGGGCCTTATGAAGAAAAATGCTATGAACATTTTCAATCTAGTCTTTTTGTGGACATATGCTTTCATTACTCTTGGGTAAATATCTGGGACTGAAATCACTAGGTAATACGTGTATGTTTAGTTTTACACGAAACTTCCAGAACTTTATTTCAAAGTGAGTTGTATGATTTTGCACTCCCACCAACAATATAGGAAAGTATTGTTCAATATCCATGCCAACATCTGGTGTTGTCAGGCTTTTTAACTTAAGCTATTGAGTGTGGAGTGATACCTCGTTGTGGTTTAATTCGTATTTCCCTGAATAACTAATGGTGTTGAGCACCTTTTCAAGCGTTTATTAGCCATTCATATATCTTCCTTTGTCTTTTTGTTGTTGTTGTTGTTTGTTTGTTTGTTTGTTTTGAGACAGAGTCTCACTCTGTCACCCAGGCTGGAGTGCAATGGTGTGATCTCAGCTCACCACAACCTCCGCCTCCCAGGTTCAAGCGATTCTCCTGCCTCAGCCTCCCGAGTAGCTGGGATTACGGGCACCTGCCACCACACCCAGCTAATTTTTTGCGTTTTTAGTAGAGACGGGGTTTCTCCATGTTGGTCAGGCTGGTCTCCAATTCTCAACCTCAGGCAATCTGCCCACCTCGGCCTCCCAAAATGTTGGGATTACAGGCATGCGCCACCGCGCCTGGCCTGTCTAGTTTCTTTATTAGATACTGAGAAGTAAAATGTCCAACTATGATATGATAGTGGATTTTTGTATTTCTCCCTTTAATTCTGCCATTCTGTCAGTTTTTGCTTCATGTATCTTGAAACTCTGTTATTAGGTGTACACATATGTATGATTATTATGCCTTCCAGGTGATATTTATTATTATAAAATTTCTCTTTTAACCTCTAATAATAATCTCATCCTGAAGACTACTTTGATTTAATGTAGGCACTTCAACTTTCCTATGCTTATTGTTTGCATAATACATTTTTCCCATCTATTTCCTATCAACCTCTTTTGTGTGTCTCTTGTAGACAGAGTATAGTTGGATTATGCTTTTTAAAATCTGCTTGGCTATCTCTACCTTTTAAGTGAAGTGTTTTAGACCATTAACATTTAACATAATTATTGGTATGGTTGGAAGTAGGTCTACCATTGTACTGTTCCTCTGTTCATTACCCCCACCCTTTTCCTGTTCCTCTGTTGCTCCTTTCTTGCCTTCTTCTGAGTTAATTGAATATTTTTTAGAAATCTACTTTCAGCTGGGCATGGTAGCTCACGCCTGTAATCCCAGCACTTTGGGAAGCTGAGGTGGGCGGATCACTTGAGGTCAGGAGTTCAAGACCAGCCTGGCCAGCATGGTGAAACCCCATCTCTACTAAAAATACAAAAAAAAAAAAAAAAATTAGCCGGGCATGGTGGCGCATGCCTATAGTCCCAGCTACAGCATTTTGGGAGACTGAGGTGGGTGGATCACCTGAGATCAGGAGTTCAAGACCAGCCTGGCCAACATGATGAAACCCCGTCTCTGCTAAAAATACAAAAAATTAGTTGGGCGTGGTGGCGTACGGCACGCCTGTAATCCCAGCTACTCAGGAGGCTGAGGCAGGAGAGTCGCTTGAGCCTGGGAGACGGAGGTTGCAGTAAGCCAAGATTGCATCACTGCACTCCAGCCTGGGCAACAAGAGCAAAACTCTGTCTCAAAAAAAAACAAAAAACAAAAAACTACTTGCATTTATGTATTAGCTTTTATTAACATACTCTTTGCATTTTAAGTAGTCACTATAGAAATTATAATACATATCCTAATGCTTCACAATCTACTTAGAATTAATATTGTACCACTTTAAAATGTGTATTATGGGCCAGGAGCGGTGGCTTATGCCTATAATCCCAGCGCTTTGGGAAGCCAAGGCAGGCGGATCACTTGAGGTCAGGAGTTCGAGACTAGCCTGGCCAGCATGGTGAAACCCTATGTCTACTAAAATACAAAATTAGCTGGGCGTGCTGGTGCATGCCTGTAATCCCAGCTACTCAAGAGACTGAGGCAGGAGAATCACTTGAACCCAGGAGGCGGAGGTTGCAGTGAGCTGAGATCGCACCACTGCACTCCACCTTGGGCGACAGAGCGAGACCCTGTCTCAGAAAGAAAGAAAGAATAAATAAATAAATAAATAAATAAATAAAATATAAAATGTGTATTATATATTATATCTATGTAAATTATAAATCTCATAGTAAGAGGTTATAATTTTTGCTTTAAACAATCATAGGATTTTTAAAAAGTGAAGAGGAAAAATTGCTTTTTTTGAGACAGAGTTTCACTCTGGCACAGGCTGGGGTGCAGTGGCATGATCTTGGCTCACTGCAACCTCCGCCTCCTGGGTTCAAGCCTCCTAAGTAGCTGGGATTACAGGCACCCGCCACCTCACCCAGCTGATTTTTCGTATTTTAGTAGAGACAGGGTTTCACCATCTTGCCCAGGCTGGCCTTGAACTCCTGAGCTTAGGCAATCCACCGGTCTCAGCCTCCCAAAGTGCTAGGATCACAGGTGTGAGCCATTTTGCCTGGCCAGAAAAATTACTTTTTATGTTACTCTTATACTTACTATTTCTGGTGTTCTTCATTCTGAAGATATCTCATATCATGTCCTTTTACCCTGAAACGTTTTCCTTTAGCATTTTTAATAATGCAGGTCTGCTGGCAATGAATTATCTTAGTTTTTATTTATCTAAAAACATCATTTTGGCCAGATGAGGTGGTGGCTCACACTTGTAATCCCAGCACTTTTGGAGGTTGAGGCAGGCAGGGTTGAGCCCAGGAGTTTGAGACCAGCGAGAGCAACATGGCAAGACCTCATCTTAACCAAAAAAAATGTTTTTAAATAGACAGGCATAGTGGTGTACACTTGTAGTCCCAGCTACTCAGGAGGCTAAGGCAGGAGGATCCCTTGAACCCAGGAGTTTGAGGCTGCAGTGAGCTATGATCACACTATTGCCCTCCAGCCTGGCTGGCCAATGAATACCCGGTCTCGATTTTTTCAAAATTGACAAGCATTATTAAGGCTTAATGTGTACTTTTAATTGTTTGGGTTTCCATAGGACTTTCAGGCATCTTACTTTTCAGCCAAGGAACGTGAAGACTTGGCAAGAAGACCCACTCCCCCCGCATTGGGTCTATGGAGTCTGCTTAATCTGTGATACCACCTGGAAAAGTTGCTTACCAGCCAGATGCTGCCACACATGCCCCATGATGAGATAAACAAGGCAAAACACAGAGAGGCTGAAAAAGCTTCCTCTCACCATCAGTGATGCCAGGAAAAGACAGCATTTCCTGAGCCCCATGTTGCTCAGGTCACCAAAGCTGGGCATGTCTGGGGCAGGTGATATGGCAGCTGCTTCTAGCTTTCCCTAGGAAGGATTCATGCAGATCTGTAGACCCAGGACTAAATAAGGCATGTGAAGCACTTGCCTCAAGTGCAAAATTTAAGCGGGTGCCCAAAAACCCAATCAAGATAATATCTTAATACCATGTGAAAAACAAAGTTAATGCAAAAAAATCTATGATGAACAAAATATCAAACTTTTAAATAAGACAGACTTTGCATTCGCATGACTCACATCACTTACCACCCCCCTAATCTCAGCCCTGTTGGATCCTGCCTTTACTGAAAATGTTGATGTTTTGCTCATCATGGATTTTTCTGCATTAATTTTGATTTTTAAAAATATTGCATAAAAATGGCACTTATCTTGATTAATAGTGGGGTTTGGGGCACACTTAATTTTGCAGTTGCCTCACCCCAGTCCCATTCCGGAAGATCATTATGGACCTCTTCACAATCTTCCTTGCTACACCCCCATCCCCACCAGAAGAAATCCCCCCAGCCTACTTTGATGATAGCAAGGCATTTTTTTCATACATAAAAATAAAACATTGACTGGTGACACTAATGACAGCCAAGTGAGGGGTTTGGGTAAGTTCTTGGCATAGTTCACTTAGCAGTTTTATAAATAGGAGTTCTAACAGACTTCTGGATCCCAGAGTAAAAAAATTCACCAATTAAAATGATCCTAAATTTCCTCATTTCGACATAAGACACCAAGAACAAGATTAAGAAATACAAGAAATCTGAGTATTTTTAATGTCTGTTATAATGCACATTAATGTATTTGTTTTGAATTTGGGGCTGCAAGTGGATAGAATAATGAAATCTCGGATCTTATATTTTGTGGCAGAAGATGGCCAGCATGGTGCCATTCGTAAGATATTTCACACCTTTTCTTCAATCCTATTGTGTGTCTGCAGAGGCAACATGGAACAGTACTGGGGATCCCAGTTATGTGTATTACCCATATCAACCTGAACAAGTTACTAATTATCCATTCGGTCTCACTTTCCTCATGTGCAAAATGGGACGACAATTTACCTTAAATAAAGGTTAAAAAACATTTTATAGGCCAGGCATGGGGGTTCACTCCTGGAATCTCATTACTTTGGGAGCCTGAGGCAGTAGGATTGCTTGAGGCCAGGAGCTCAATAACAGCCTGGGCAACATAGCGAAACCTTGTCTCTACAAAAAATACAAAAATTAGCTGGGCATGATGACATACACTTGTAGTCCCAGCTACTCGGGAGGCTGAGGCAGGTGGATCACCTGAGCCCAGGAGTTAGGGGCTGCAGTGAGCTGATTATCCCTTTGCACTCCAGCATGGGTGACAGAGCAAGACCCTGTGTCTAAAACGAAAACAAAACAAAAAACAAGTCTTCATGTCTCTCTCCTTTATTTATGCTAAATAATTACAGGCTATCTCGATTATCCTTGGTCTCTAAAATTATAAAAGTTAATTCTGAACAATAAAAAATTATTATTATTATCTTTTAGACATATGAGCTCATTCTCTCTCTCAGGCTGGAGTACAGTGGCTCAGTCACAGCTCAGCTCACTGCAGCCTTGACCTCCCAGGCTCAAGCAATACTCCCACCTCAGCCTCTTGAGTAGCTGGAACCACAGGCACGCATCACCACACCTGGCTAATTTTTGTACTTTTTTTTTTTTTGAGATGGAGTCTTGCTCTGTTGCCCAGGCTGGAGTACAGTGGTGCTATCTCGGCTCTCTGCAACCTCTGCTTGAGGTTCAAGCTTGTACCCAGGTTCAAGCGATTCTCCTGCCTCAGCCTCCTGAGTAGCTAGCTGGGACTATAGGCACACACTACCACGCCTGGCTAATTTTTATATTTTTAGTAGAGAGGGAGGTTTCACCATGTTGGCCAGGCCAGTCTTAAACTCCTGACCTCAGGTGATCCACCCACCTCAGCCTCCCAAAGTGCTGGGATTACAGGTGTGAGCCACCACACCCGGCCAATTTTTGTATTTTTTGTGAAGACGGGGTTTCACCATGTTGCCCAGCCTGGTCTTGAACTCTTGAGCTCAAGTGATCCGCCTGTCTCATCCTCCCAAAGTCCTGGGATTACAGGTGTGAGCCACTGCACCCAGCTAAAGAATTATTTCTAAAGAACATTTTGAATGAGGAGACAGGAATAAGTAGGATCAGATTTTATTTTGAAAGTAATAATTACAAAACTTTTTGGAACCCCACATATTGGTATGTATAAATGAAATGGAACCATTTTTTATCTGTAATTCCAGGGAGTTCACAACAAATGCCCTGGGCTAAAACATCAGCAATCTGAGTTGATTTTTTAAAATCTGGTCTTAACACCTGGGCTACAGCTTCAGTGGGTCAAGGCTGCTCTTGACAATGGCTGTCATTCTCAGACGAGAGAAGCATCATATTCTCACCAGGACTTAATTAGGAATCTGGATTCTATTAATACTATTAATTTCTTCCCCAAAGGCAAGAAAATCTTGGGATTACAATTCATGATTCTCATTGTACAGTGTCTAGTAGGTTAGAATTATTCTTTCATTATTTTGCTCCTCCCTGTCTTTGTCTTTTCTTTTTTTCTTTTTTTTTTTTTTTTTTTTTTGAGACAGGGTCTTGCTCTGTCACCCAGGCTAGAGTGCAGTGGCACAATTTTGGCTCATTGCAACCTCTGCCTCCTAGGTTCAAGCGATTCTTCTGCCTCAGCCTCCCAAGTAGCTGGGATTACAGGTACCCACCACCATGCCTGGCTAATTTTTGTATTTTTAGTAGAGAAGGGTTTTACCATCTTGGCCAGGCTGGTCTCGAACTCCTGACCTTGTGATCCACCCGTGTCGGCCTCCCAAAATGCTTAGATTACAGGCATAAGCCACTGTGCCTGGCCGCCTTTTTTTTTTTTTTTGCCCACCCCCAGTTGGGAGTCTTGCTCTGTTACCCGGGCTGGAGTGCAGTGGCGTGATCACAGCTCCCTGTAGCCTCAACTCCTGGGCTCAAGCGATCCTTCTGTCTCAGCTTCCCGAGTAGCTAGGACTACAGGCACATGCCAATCACCACATCTGGCTACTTTTTGTATTTTTTGTAGAGATGGGATCTCACTGTGTTGCTCAGACTGGTCTCCTGGACTCAAGCAATCCACCTGCCTCAGTCTCTCAAAGTACTGAGATTACAGGCATGAGTCAATGCGCCTGGCCCCACATTTCCTTTATTCATTCATCAGTTGATGGACATTTGGGTTGTTTTCATTTTTTGGCTATTATGAATAATGTTGCTATGAACATTCGGGTACAAGTTTTGGTGTGGACTTTTCTTTTTTTTTTTTGGAGACGGAGTCTCGCTCTATCACCCAGGCAGAAGGGCAGTGGCGCGATCTTGGTTCAATGCAACCTCTGCCTCCCGGGTTCAAGCGATTCTCCTGCCTCAGCCTCCTGAGTAGCTGGGATTACAGGTGTGCACCACCATGCCCAGCTAATTTTTGTATTTTAGTAGAGATGGGGTTTCACCATGTTGGTCAGGCTGGTCTGGAACTCCTGACCTCAAGTGATCTGCCTGCCCTCGGCCTCCCAAAGTGCTGGGATTACAGGCTTGAGCCATCACATCTGGCTGACATGTTTTCATTTCTCTTTGGCATATGCCTAGGAGTTAAATTTCTGGGTCATGTGCCTCTTTATACTTTTCTTTTCTTTTCTTTTTTTTGAGGCAGAGTCTCGCTCTGTCGCCCATGCAGGAGTGCTGTGGCGCGATCTCGGCTCACTGCAAGCTCCGCCTCCCGGGTTCACGCCATTCTCCGGCCTCAGCCTCCTGAGTAGCTGGGACTACAGGCGCCCACCACCATGCCCGGCTAATTTTTTGTATTTTTAGTAGACAGGGGGTTTCACCGTGTTAGCCAGGATGACCTCGATCTCCTGACCTTGTTATTCGCCCGCCTCGGCCTCCCAAGTGCTGGGATTATACGCGTGAGCCACCGCGCCCAGCCCTATACTTTTCTTTTTTTTCTTTTTCTTTTTGAGACAGAATCTTGTCGCCCAGGCTGGAGTGCAGTGGTGTGATCTTGGCTCACTGCAACCTCCACCTCCAGGGTTCAAGTGATTCTCCTGTCTCAGCCTCCCGAGTAACTGAGATTACAGGCATGGACCACCACACCTGGCTAATTTTTGTATTTTTAATAGAGATGGGGTTTCACCATGTTGGCCAGGCTGGCCTCCAACTCCTGACCTCAAGCAATCTGCCTGCATCAGCCTCCCAAAGTGCTGGGATTATTGGCGTGAGTCACCGCGCCCGACCTCTCTTTATACTTTTCAAGAGAATCATATGAATTACCTACTGCTGTGTAGAAAATTGCCCCAAAACTTTATGGCTTAAGATAACAATAATAATAATAATAATATATAATAATAAGATAACAAGAGTTTCACTCCTGTTGCCCAGGCTGGAGTACAGTGGTGCGATCTCGGCTCACTGCAATCTCTGCCTTCCGAGTTCAAGCGATTCTCCTGCCTCAGCCTCCCGAGTAGCTGGGATTACAGGTGCCTGCCACCACGCCTGGCTAATTTTGTATTTTTTGTAGAGACAGGGTTTCTCCATGTTGGTCAGGCTGGTCTCAAACTCCCGACCTCAGGTGATCCACCTGCCTTGGCCTCCAAAGTGCTTGGATTACAGGCGTGAGCCACTGTGCCTGGCAGAAAACAATAATTATTATCACTCACAGTTTCTGAGGGTCAGGTGTTTGGAGCCCTCCAGGTTGCTCGTGAGGCTGCAGTCAGATGCTGGTCAGTGTGGCAAGGATCCGAAGGCTTGGCCTGGAGCTAGAGGATCCACACTGAAGGTGGTTCACTCACATAGCTGGCAAGTTGGTGCCAGCTATTGGCTGGGCGCCTCAGGTCCTGTCCACATGGACACCTGAGTATGCTCAAAGAACTTGGCTTCCTCCAAAACAAGCTAGACAAGAGATGAGTGTGGAAGCTGCATTATCTTTTATGACTAAGCATCGGATGTCACACCCAGTCACTGTCACCCTATTGTATTGTTCATGTATGCCAGCCCTGATTCATAGGAAAGGGACTACAGGAAGAGGTGGATACCAGGGGTGGTAGGATCAGCAGGGACCATCTTGGTGTCCCATCCAAGTACTAACGAGGCCCATCCTTGCTTAGCTTCCAAGAAAAGATGTGATCAGGATGGGCGTGATGGGTAGTGCCTGTAATCCCAGCACTTTGGGAGGCCGAGGCAGGCAGATCACAAGTTCAGGAGATCGAGACCTCCTGGCTAACAGGGTGAAACCCCATCTCTACTAAAAATACAAAAAATTAGCTGGGTGTGGTGGCGGGCACCTGTAGTCCAGCTACTCGGGAGGCTGAGGCAGGAGAATCGCTTGAAGCAGGGAGGCTGCAGTGAGTCGAGATTGTGCCACTGCACTCCTGGGTGACAGAGTGAGACTCCGTCTCAAAACAAAACAAACAAACAAAAAAAGATGAGATCAGATGCATTCAAGGTGCTATGGCCGTAGACCGGGATCATCCTGGAGGCTGGCTGATTTCAAACAGGTTGATTTCAAGGCTCTGTTCTCTTATTCCTGAGGAAATAATCCAGATGTATACACCCCAGGCTGGAGATCAAAAATTACATGTCTGCTGAGCACCTGTAATCCCAGCTCTTTGGGAGGTCGAGGCAGGAGGATCACTTGAGCCCAGGAGTTCAAGACCAGTCTGGGAAACATAGAGACTCCAACTCTTTTTTTTTTTAATAAAAATAAACAATTTTTTTTAATTACATCTCAAAATTGGCCAAGTCCTGACAGCAGGATCTGTCAGGATCTGTGATTTGCTTCCTCTTCTTGGTGAATTGAACAGCCTGCAGTGGAAAGTCCTATCTCTCCTGCTGGGGAATTTGAGGAGAAAGAGAACCTTAGTGCACTATGTAATAGAAATAAGATAATGAAGTCCAAGACTGCATGTTGCCCTTGGGCTGACACAGCCTGAAAGAGCCAGCCCTTTGTCTCTCTATCTACAGCAGCAAAACCTTCCTGGAATGTCATTTGAGTTATTCCACCCAGTGGTCCAATTCACTTTCTCTCCTGGCACATCAGCAAGTTACTTATTAAGCATCTACTGTGTACCCAAGAGCAAATCCCAGGATCATTTGAGACTAGTGTAGATGGATAAGCCAGAACTGCCCAGGCATGACCAAAATAGATGTTGTCAAACCCACCTGTCCGGAGGCTTCAAAGGCAAGGAACTGAAAAGTATTTCTTTCCTTTTTTTTCCCCCTGAGTTAGCATTTAGAGAAGTCACAGCCACGAGAATGCTTTCAGATTTACTTTCATTTAGAAAACTCCCAAGGACATGAGAGACAAAGAAAGATTGAGCAACACTTCTAGATGAAAGAAGAGTAATAGCACCTGACAACAACATGTAATGCGCATCCTGATTGTAGCCTGGACTGAGAAAAAATAGCTGTAAGATACGTGATTGGAAACTGGTGAAATTTGGCATACCAATTATAGATTAGATAACAGTATTCAGTATTAGATAACAGGATCAAGTTTAACTTTCCTACATTTTCTTTTTCTTTTTTGAGATGGAGTCTTGCCCTTATCGCTGAGGCTGGAATGCAATGGTACAATCTCGGCTCACTGCAACCTCCGCCTCCCGGGTTCAAGTGATTCTCCTGCCTCAGCTTCCTGAGTAGCTGGGATTACAGGTGCCCGCTACCATGCCTGGCTAATTTTTGTATTTTTAGGCAAGACAGGGTTTCACCATGTTGGCCAGGTTGGTCTCAAACTCTTGACCTTGTGATCCACCTGCCTCGGCCTCCCAAAGTGCTGAGATTACAGGTGTGAGCCACCGCACCCAGCCTAACTTTCCTATATTTTCTAATTATATTTTGGTCATATAATAAAACAGATTTGTTCTTAGGAAATACACACTCAAAGATTAGTGTATAAATGTGTCCACAACTTAACCTTCAAGTTGTTCAGGAAAAAAAGTATACAAACACACACACACACACACACACACACACACACACACACACGTTTATGGAGAAAGGAAGAGAAAGAGATAATCCCAGCACTTTGGGAGGCCGAGGTGGGTGCATCACTTGAGGCCAGGAGTTCAAGACCAGCCTGGCCAACATAGTGAAACCCCGTCTCTACTAAAAATACAAAAATTAGCTGGGCATGGTGGCACATGCCTGTAATCCCAGCTACTCAGGAGGCTGAGGCAGGAGAATCGCTTGAACCTAGTAGGCAGAGGTTGCGGTGGGCCAAGATTGCACCCATACACTCCAGCCTAGGTGACACAGTGAAACTCCATCTCAAAAAAAAAAAAGAGAGAACAAATGCAACAGGACGTTATTAATGCATCTGAGTGAAAGATATGCAAGAACTCCTTATAATATTCTGTTTGTTTCTTTTGTGTAAATTTGAAATTTTTCAAAATAAAAAGTTTTTAAAAAATGAAAGGAGGCCAGGTGCAGTGGCTCACACCTGTAATCCCAGCAATTTGGGAGGCAGAGGCAGAAGGATTGCTTGAGGCCAGGAGTTTGAGACCAGCCTGGGCAATATAGTGAGACTCTCTCTCTATTTAATTTAATTAAATAAAAAATGTTAAAAAATAAAAGGAAACTGCTGAGGCTCTTCTGTCAAAGACAGGACAGGAGAGGCCGTGGTGTCATCATTTGTTCATGGAATGTGGAATGGTAAGTAGAGGTCGAGGTCAGATGGCTACCCGCATGGCCATGCTGCTGCTGTGTCTTGGGAGCTGGAGGTGACAACTGTCTGAGTTGACAGCATCTCCTGGCAGCTGTTAGGAAGCCCAGCACTACCAAAACTTTGCACTGTCCTTGTGACCCTAGGGTCAGCCCCTCAGTCAGTCTCTACATGTTTCACCCCTACCTCTGATCTGGGGACATCTCAGTGGCTCCCCGTGAGGTCTCAGGCTAGGCCGTGTCCGCATCCGCCCTCTTGCTCTTTAAGATTGAGTACATCCTTCTGTGGAGTTGGGCCCTGGGCCAGAAGGCAGAAACCTCTCCCTTTCCCTCCAGATCAGAAGCAACCTGGCCAGAACACCATGGTATAAAACCCCCAAGTTTCCAAGAACATCTCAGAGCTGCGGAATTAACCAAATATCCTTGCGTGAGTTAGAAAACCCCTCCCCAAGATGCCACAGCATCAGAGGTTAAGGCACCCACCCTGATTCCTAGTCCAGCAGATGTGGAAGAGGCGGCCGAGAGCTCCATGAACATAAGAAACAGATCCTCCGGTCAAGGCCCAGAGAACACCCAAGTGCAACACACAGGCCCTTTGGCCTTCAGAATTCACCAAATATGAAGTCTATGAAATAGTTTCAATGCCATCCAAAACTGAGTATCACCATCGCCTGCGGGAGCCAACCCACTGCCTTCCAATTAGCAGTGAGAGGAAGTGGAAAGGGCACCAGGCCCAGGGGCTTCAAAGAAGAGGAGGTCAGGGAGATCCCTGACAAGAGAAGCAATCAGAGAGCCCCCAAGGAGATGAGCACAACGGGAGAAGAAGGCCTTTCTAGTTCCCGTGAAAGTGGTTACTGGACTCTAATGGCCCCAGGCAAGCCCACAGCCCACACAGCCCCCTCCTGGGGACAAAGCCCTTTCTCTTCCAGCTCTCAGGTGTGCAGGGGTCAGATCAGCTGGACACTATTCACAGATGATATTCTCCACCCTCCTGATTCCCAGCAATCAGGCAAATGAATCTCAGGCCCTAGCCCATAGCAAATTCTTTCTTTTTTTTTTGAGACAGAGTTTCGCTCTTGTCGCCCAGGCTGCAGTGCAATGGTGCAATCTTGGCTCACTGCAACCTCTGTCTCTCGGGTTCAAGCGATTCTCCTGGATCAGCCTCCCAAGTAGCTGAGACTAACAGGCACGTGCCACCACACCCAGCTAATTTTTATATTTTTAGTAAAGAGGAGATTTCACCATGTTGGCCAGGCTGGTCTTGAACTCCTGACCTCAGGTGATCCACCTGCCTTGGCCTCCCCATGGCGTGGGATTACAGGCATGAGCACCCAGCCCCATAGCAAATTCTTGATAGCAAACATTTTTTTTTTCTTTTTTTTTAAGACAGAGTCTCTGTCACCCAGGCTGAAATGCAGTGGCACAATCACAGCTCACTTGAGCCTTGACCTCCCAGACTCAAGCCATCCTCCCACCCCAGCCTCCCGAGTAGCTGGAACTACAGACATGCACTACCACACCTGGCTAATTTTTGCATTTTTTTTCTAGATACTAGGTGTTGCTATGTTGCCCAGGCTGGTCTCAAACTCTTGGGCTCAAGTGATCTGCCCGCCTCGGCTTCCCAAAGAACTGGGATTACAGGTGTGAGCCACCACACCTGGCCAACATTTTTTTAGTGCTTACCAAACACTGTCCCATGCGCTTTACAGATAACAACTCATGGAATCCGCCCAATAATCTCCTATGAGCATGGTGCTGTTATTATTCCCATTTGACAGATATGGAAATTGAGGCATGGAGAGGTTAAGTAGCACACCCAAAGTCACTCACCTGATAAAGAAGGAAGACAGGATTTGAACCCAGGCATCTGGCTTGAGTCTAGGCTCCTAACCACTTCCTTATGCTGGGTCTCCTAGCCCGCTCTACCTGCTGCTTCTAAAAACCTATCGATGAAATAAACGCTCATATTTTAGAAATCGTACATAGACAGAGATGGATAAGGGGGGTCTGCACAGCAGATTGACAGACGATGAGAAAAAGGAGTGGGTCTCACTGTTACCTGGTGCACTTAATCTCATTCGTTCCCTCATTCATTCATCCTATGTAGAATTCAGGGGCTACTAGGTGTTAGAATGAGGAGACATCAGAACAGTTGAGTTGGTGAAATGAAACCCGATCACACACATAGTGAAATAATCGGCAGAGGGGAGTGCAGGTCCAGCGTGTGGTGCTGGCGTGAGCAGCAGGGTGGGGTCGGGGAAGGAAGATCTGGCAGGAGGAAGGGAGAGGGCCAAGCTCCCTGGCCACCCCACCCCCACCGCAGATTGGGGGCCCTTCCCCTGTCCTGCTTATCTGACCCACACCCCCATCCTTATGTTAGCATTTCCCACACTGAGTTGAAGTTTCCTATTCACTCCTCTGTTATTAATATCTGTATCTCCAGAGATAGGCATGGATTCAGTGTTTGTTGAGTGACCTTCTGAATGAGAAAGCCTCTGAGGGGAAAAAAAAGAAAAAGCACACGTGTGCAGAGGGAAAATGAGCAGACAGGCTCACCTGAGCAGGGGGTGCCGCAGCAGGTGCTTCTCAAACTCTAACGTGCATAAGAAGCTCATGAGGAGCTTGCAAAGAACTGCAAATCCTGATTCAGGCGATGCGGGGGTGAGGGCCTGACAGTCTTCATTTCCAGTGAGCTTGCTGGGGATGCCAATATTCCCGGTCGCTGGACCCCACTTTGAGTAGCGATACCCTAGATAATCCCGACCCATCTCCACCCACAATAGGGGCTCATTCCACACTAGGAATCCCTCCCTCCCTCTGCCTCATCTTCCGGAAGCCACTCACGCAGCCTCAGCCAGCCACCGCTCCTGTTTTTCCTCCTCCTTCCCAGGACCAGGTTTGAAGACAATTGGCCTCATGCCTGCTGTTCCCACAAAGTGTCTCCACTGCTCCTAACTCCGGGAGGTTTGGTGAGGGGGCTCCTGTGGTCAGGGACATCTCCCAGGACTCAGAATCACAGCTCACTTTAGCTCCAAGAAGTCTTGCAATGAGAAAGCTTTGTTTAGGAGCTGGGGCTGGTGGGAGGAGGAGGGGAAGAGATGGCTGAGGTGGGGAAGAGACTTAGTGGTTCCATTAATCCTCATCAACACCCTCCACCCATGCTACTCAGATATATGTGACACCCCAGGTTTGCTATGCAATGGTGGCTTCCCTGTCATCCAGATGCCACCCTCAGATCTTCCCCATAAGGAAATTCTACAGCCACCACTGGAAACAGGCAAGGTTTGTCTTTATTTTGGGGGAGGTGGAGGAGGGAGGCATCTTTTCCCCAGTCAGTGACGCTCTGTTCATCGTAACTAGTCAGGACCCTGGTCCCCAATCTCCTTTGCGTCTCTTCCTTACAGGATCTGTATTAGTCTGTTCTCACACTGCTGACAAAGCCATACCCAGGACTGGATAATTATAAAGGAAATAAGTTTAATTGACTCACAGTTCCACATGGCTGGGGAGGCCTCACAATCATGGCGGAACATGAAGGAAGAGCAAAGGGGCGTCTTACATGGCAGCAGGCAAAAGAGAGAATGACAACCAAGCGAAAGGGGAAACCCTTTATATAACCATTAGATCTTGTGAGGCTTATTCACCAGAACTGCAAGGGAAAGAACAGCACAAGAAAGACCCACCCCCATGATTCAATTACCTCCCACCAGGTCCCTCCCCATGACAGGTGGGAATTGTGGGAGCTACAATTCGAGATGAGATTCGGGTGGGGACACAGCCAAACCATATCAGATCTGATGTTTTTATTTGCACTGAATTGTAAATGATTGATAAGACAGAATTATGTCACCTCTGAAGCCTCGTTATTCGGGGTTTGCTCCCCTCTCCCAACCCCAGATCTATTTTTCTGCTCTTCTCTGACCCTGGGAAGCTGACCTTTGGGGACCTCCTCACCCTCTGGCTTCCTGTTGGGTTCTGCCAATAGGGAGCTCTGCCAGGAGATCGGAGGTCAAGAGGAGACCACCATTGAGATATTTCCCACCTGCTTCAGCCTGGATCAGGGGGCAGTGGATACATCTCCACAGCCTCCATCCCCCTCAAGGCGGCTCCTCCATAGTGCAGCTCTCCCGGGTGCCCTTGAACTCTTCTGCCCCTGGGTGCTAAGAGCTTCCTGCTGTTGCAAGGCCAGGGATGCCTCACTGTCTCTGCAGATTCCTTTAGTCCCATCCATCTTGCTGTAAATAGTTCTTTTACTAATTTTTATTATTTTTTCTTCCCCCCACCCATTTAAACCCGGTTGAGTTTTTGAGTGTGCCTTCTGTATCCCACTGGAATCTGACCGATATAGGATGTTGCATTTTTATCAGGTACAGGGTCCAGATTTGGCTCAAGCCAAAGAAATGAAGCTCTAATCATAGAATTTGGGGCTAAAGAGAGTCCAGAGAGAGAAGGTATTTTTAAAGGGGAAAGTGTGTGGGTGTTTCTCAGTGCCTCAGAATCCAACTACAGCAAGGGCTGGAAGTGAGTTTCTCACTAATTTTATTCTCTTCAGCCGCCATGTACTGAGACACTGCTGTGTTCCAGACACCGTGCTCGGGATTGTGGGAACCGAAGACGATCAAGACCAGGCCCCGTGTCCCAGAACCTTGCATTTGGGGACACACACGACCAGGGCAGGATGAATGCCCTGGCACGGAATTGAATGTGACAGGCAGCCAAGCAGTGCAAAGCTGGCTGAGATAAGGGCCTAAACACAGTTCAGACAGAACAGTGGCTGAGCAGCAGATGGAGGCTATGTTCCAATGCTGGGGACCTGGGAGGAACTTGGGGCCCAGGAGGAGGTCACACAGGTCCCTGGAGGACTGTGAAGTCGGCCTATCAGCACCCTCAGTGCAAAAACCAGGACAAGCCCCTCTCTGTGACCCCCTCAGGGAAGCCTTCTCAGATACCCAGGCAGGTTTTCGTTGTTGTTGTTGTTCGCGATGGAGTTTCACTCTGTCGCCAGACTGGAGTGCAGTGGTGCGATCTTGGCTCACTGCAACCTCCGACTCCCTGGTTCAAACGATTCTCCTGCCTCAGCCTTCCGAGCAGCTGTGATTACAGGCATGTGCCACCATACCCAACTAATTTTTGTATTTTTAGTAGAGACGGGGTTTCACCATGTTGGCCAGGATGGTCTCGATCTCCTGACCTCGTGATCCGCCCGCCTCAGCCTCCCAAAGTGCTGGGATTATAGGCGTGAGCCACCACGCCTGGCCGGCCAGGCAGTTTTATTTGCTGTTCCCCAACTCTTCCTGCCTGTCTCCTTTCCTTGGACATTTCCCACTGATCAACGGCTTCCCATGCATACACATTATGCTGGGGCTTTGCGGCTTGAGCTCATTCAGTCCTTCCAACCACCTTTGGGGGAGGCCTCATGCATCCCATTTTATAGCTAAGTAAACTGAGGTTCAGGCCCAGCAACTTGTCCAAGATTTTATAGTCACTGAAAGAACCACAGTTTAAATCCAGACTGCCTTACTCCAAAATGCACACTCTCAACTATTCTATTGTTGCTTTTATTTCTAACTTGCAGGAATAGCAGCATCTACTACCAGCCAGGAGTGGTGCTGGGCACTTTGCAGTCAGTCCTCACAGCGCCCCCATGAGGTAGATCCTAGGATTCTCCTCAGTTTCCAGATGAAGAAACTGACCCATCGGGAGGTGACTTCACTCCCTGAAGGGCCCACAACCGGGTGGTGGTGGAGCCAGGGTTTGAACTCAGGAGACTCCCAGTTCATGCCCCCAGCCACTACATTCCTTGAGGGGAAGACCTAAGCTATTCTTTTTAAATAGACCTTCTTTTGTAGGACCTTTTAGATTTACAGAAAAATTATGAAGGTAATACAGAGTTTCCATATAACCCATTTCCAGTTTCTACTATTATTAACATCATCTATTAATAGGATACATTTGTTATAATTAATGTACCAATATTGATATATCATTATTAACTTAAGTCCCTACTTTATTCACATTGCCTTAGTTTACCTAATGCCCTGTTTGTGTTCCAGGTCCCATCAGGATACTATAGGACATTGTGTTGTCACATCTCTTTTATTTATTTATTTATTTATTTTTGAGATGGAGTCTTGCTCTGTCCCCTAGGCTGGAGTGCAGTGGCGCAATCTCAGCTTACTGCAACCTCTGCCTCCCGGGTTCAAGTGATTCTCCCGCCTCAGCCTCCTGAGTAGCTGAGATTACACGTGCCCACCACCACACCTAGCTGATTTTTGTATTTTTAGTAGAGATGGGATTTCGCCATGTTGGCCAGGCTGGTCTCGAACTCCTGCCTCAAGTGATCTGCCCACCTCGGCCTCACATTGTCACACCTCTTTAGGCTCCTCTTGGATGTGACAATTTATCACACTTTCCTTGTTTTCGATGACCTTAACAATGTTTTAAATTGTGGTAAAATATATGTAACATAAAAATTATCTTAACCACTTTTAAGTGCACAGTTCAGTTGTGTTAAGTATATTTACATCGTTGTGAGTCAGATCTCCAGAATTTTTGCATCTTGCAAAATAGAAACTCTATACCCATTAAACAGCAACTTCCCATTACCCCTCCCCTAAACTCCTGGTCACCACCATTCTACTTTATGTTTCTATGCATTTGACTACTTTAGATACCTTGTATAAGTGAAATTATATAATATTTGTCTTTTTGTGACCAGGTTATTTTACCTTACATAACATCTTCAAATTTCATCCATGTCATGGCATGTATCAGAATTTCTTTCCTTTTTAAGGCTGAATAACATTTCACTGAATGGATATATACCACATTTTGTTTATCTGTTCATTTGTGGATGGACACCTGGGTGACATCTACCTTTTGGCCATTGTGAATAGTGCTGCTGTGGACATGGTTGTACCAACATCTCTTTGAGACCCTGATTTCAATTCTTTGGGGTGTATACTCAGAGGTGGGATTGCTGGACCATATTGTATTTCTATTTTTAATTTTTTGAGGAATCATCATACCGTTTTCCATAGTAGCTGCGCCATTTAACGTTCCCACCAACGGTGCACAAGGGTTCCAATTTCTCCACACTCTCATCAACACTTGCAGTTTTCTGGGGTTTTTTGATGGCAGCCATCTTAATGGGTACAACGTGGCATCTTGTGGTTTTGATTTGCATTTTCCCAGTGACTGGGGCGATGAGCATCTTTTCATACATGCGCTTATTGGCCGTTTGCATATCTTTCTATCTTCATTGGGGGAATGTCTACTCAAGTCCTTTGCCTGTTTTTTAATCAGGTTGTTTAATTTTTGATACTGAGTTGTAGGAGATCCTTACATATTCTAGATATGCACCCCTTATCAGACACAGTCATATGTCACTTAATGATGGGGATATGTTCTGAGAAATGAGTCCTTATGCAATTTTGTCGTTGTGCAAACATCACAGAGTGTACTTACACAAACCTAGATGGCATATATATTTTTATTTACATATATATTATGCAAAACCAGGTATCCCAGCACCAGTACTGAATATCAGTCCTTTCCCTTACTGGACCTGCAATGCCAATATCAAGTACCATATATCAGGTTTCTTTTCTTTTTTTTTTTGAGATGGAGTTTTGCTCTTGTCGCCCAGGCTGGAGTGCAGTCGTGCAATCTCGGCTCACTGCAACCTTCGCCTCCAGGTTCAAGTGATTCTCCTGCCTCAGCCTCCTGAGTATCTGGGATTACAGGTGCCCACCACCACGCCTAATTTTTTTTGTATTTTTAGTAGAGACAGGGTTTCACCATGTTGTCCAGGCTGGTCTCGAACTCCAGGCCTCAGGTGATCCACATGCCTCAACCTCCTAAAGTGTTGGGATTACAGGCGTGAGCCACCACACCCGGCCCATATATCAGATGGTTTCAATTTGTGTTCCATTGTAATGTCACGGGACCACCGTTGTTTATTCTGTCATGAACTGAAACTTTTTTTGTATTGTCATGACTGTATGATTTGCAAATATTTTCTCACATTCCAAAGGTTGCCTTTTCACGTTATTAATTGTGTCCTCTGCTGCACAACCACCTTGACAGGTTTGAGGAGTACTGCTCAGGTACATCGTAGGCCCCTCTTTTTGAATTGGTCTGATTTTTTCTCACTATTAGACTGAGCATAGAGTTTGGGGGAGGAAGACCACAGAGGTCAATTGCCATTTCATCCCTTCATATCAAGGGTACATAAAATCCACATGATCTGTGACCTTAATGTTGACCTTGATGGCCTGGCTGAGGTCGAGTCAGGTTTCCCCTTTAAAGTTACTCTTTCTGCCCGCCCCTACCCTGACCCTTTTCCATAGTATGTTTCTCTTTGGAAGGAAGTTGCAGCTTTGGTGGTTTCTCTAAACCAAATACACCCTTATGCACAGTCCCTTTATTAAACTCTTCTCGAATTACCTGCTGGGACCCTGGCTATGATATAAACAGATAACACATTTCATGAAAGTCTTTTTGTGGACATATACTTTTTCTTGGATAAATATCTTAAATTTTTTTTTTTTTTTTAGAAATAGGCTCTCTCTCTGTCACCAGGCTGGAGTACAGTGGCACAGTCATAGCTTACTGCAGACTCCAACTCCTGGGCTCAAGCAATCCTCCTGCCTCGGCCTTCCAAAGTACTAGGATTATAGGCACGAGCCCTCATACCCAGCCTAAATACCAGTAGATATTCTGCCCAGCCTAAATACTGGTGCTTAGCACCTTGTCCTCACTCAAAACTTTTTTGAGGGAGTGTATATTCAGGGCACTTGAGTCTACGCCCCCAGGAAAAAATATAAAATAATAAAAAACCAAAATGTTTGATGAGACTAACTGAGTCACAGAACTAAGAGCTGTTAGGTCAATAAGCGTTTCATAGACTAGAGTACAGCGATTTCCAAAGTTGAGCATGGGCCAGGGATTGTGGCTCACACCTGTAATCTCAGTGCTTTGGGAGGCCGAGGCAGGAGGATCACTTGAGCCCAAGAGGCTGCAGTGAGTCCTAATTGCACCACTGCACTCCAGCCTGGGCAACAAAGCAAGACCCTGCCTCAAAAAATAAAAATAAAAATAAAATACAAACTTGAGCATGTAAGCCAGTGGTAAATGCTGAAAAAACAGAAAGGACATCTGAGGTAGACAGTGATTAAGAATTTTGCAGAAAGGACAGGCTTTGAAGAAGAGCCAATATGTGGGGACAACCAGTAGTAGGCTTCTTCCTGCAAGAGACGAAGACTTCTGGCCGGGCGCGGTGGCTCACGCCTGTAATCCCAGCACTTTGGGAGCTGGATCACCTGAGGTCAGGAGTTTGAGACCATCCTGACCAATATGGTGAAACCCTGTCTCTCCTAAAAATACAAAAAAGTTAGCCAGGCGTGGTGGCGCATGCCTGTAATCCCAGCTACTTGGAAAGCTGAGACATGAGAACTGCTTGAACCCAGGATGTAGAGATTGCAGTGAGCTGAAATTGTGCCACTGCACTCCAGCCTGGGTAACAGAGTGACACTCCGTCTCAAAAAAAAAAAAAAAAAAAAAGAGAAAGACAGACTTCTCTCCCATGCTGGCTGCGCAGGGAGAGTCCTGGAGGGTGTCCCTGCTGATGCCACAGCTGAGGGCCCTGTGAGCAGGGAGGCCCAACTAGAGCAAAGATTATGATGCCCTGGGTTTGTTGTAGTAAGATTTTTCATGATGTTTTATATCTTGTTGAGGAGCATTAATACCCTTTGTTTTTCCCTCTTGAAATCCACTCCTGAATTGCCACACTGCGAGAGTTTGTCCTGGCCAGAAGACAATCACGCAGTATTTTCTCCTTGGCTCTGAAAGATGTTTGTGTGTTGTCGGAAACTAGGTTTTGGCCTCTCACTAGCCAAGCGTGTCTTTGTCTCTAAAGCTCCTTCCAGCTCTGAAATATTACGACACAACAACTATACTTTTCTTCCTACATGTTTTTTCTTATTACAGAAGTATATGTGTTCACCATAGAAAGTTAGAAAATATAAATAAGGGTGCAGAAGAAAATATAAAATCACTTGTAATTTCACCACCCGACGCTAATTCTTTTTTTTTTTTTTTTTTTTTTTGAGATGGAGTCTCGCTCTGTCGCCAGGCTGGAGTGCAGTGGTGCGATCTTGGCTTACTGCAACCTCCACCTCCTGGGTTCAAGGGATTCTCCTGCCTCAGCCTCCCAAGTAGCTGGGACTACAGGCATGCGCCACCACACCCAGCTAATTTTTGTATTTTCAGTACAGACAGGATTTCACCATGTTAGCCAGGATGGTCTCAATCTCTTGACCTCGTGATCCGCCCGCTTCGGCCTCCCAAAGTGCTGGTATTACAGGCATGAGCCACCGTGTCTGGCCACCCGGTGCTAATTCTTATTAATAGTCACTCAATCATTTAACTGATATTTACTGAGTGCTCACCATGGACTGAGCAGCTTGAAATAGATCTTTCTAGGCTATTTATATTTTAGTGAAAGCATCCTGCTTTGTAACCTTCCTTTCACTTATTTTTTTATTTTTTATTTTTGAGACAGGGCCTTGCTATGTCCCCCAGGCTGGGATGCTATCGTGCAATCATGGGTTACTACAATTTCTGCCTCCCCAGGCTCAAGTGATCCTCCCACTTCGGCCTCCTGAGTAGCTGGGACCACAGGTGCTCGCCACTATGCCTGGATAATTTTTTATATTTTTGTAGCGACAGGGTCTCATCATATTGCCTAGGCTCGTCTTAAACTCCTGAGCTCAAGCGATCCTTCTACCTAGGCCTCCCGAAGTGTTGGGATTACAGGCGTGAGCTGGCTGTAACCTGCCTTTCACTTAATAGACAGTATGAACGCATTCCCACATTGGTAAATATTTTCCTACAACGTTCCAGTTTTTTGTGTTAATAAATACTTTCAGAGCTCAATTTTGAGCAAAGTCATAACCATTTCTTTTTTCCTTTAGAGACAGGGTCTTGCTCTGTCACTCAGGCTGGAGTGCAGTGGTGCAGTCATAGCTCACTGTAGCCTCAAACTCCTGGGCTCAAGCAATCCTCTCACCTCAGCCCCCTGAGTAGCTGGGATTACAGGCACGCACCATCACGCCTGGCTAATTTTTGTGTTTTTTGTAGAGACAGGGTCTGTGTTGACCAGGCTAGTCTCAAACTCCTGGCCTCAAGCTATCCTCCCGCCTTGGCCTCCCAGATCACTGGAGTTAAAGATGTGAGCCATCGTGCCTGGCTGCATTTCCTTAGGATAATTCCTAAATCTCCTAGGTTAATTAGTAATCACACCTGTGAAGCTTTTGGGAGGCAATGCCAAAATGTCGTCTCCAGCTTTCTTTACATCCTTCCACTCATACATACACATAGAAAAGGCCTAAACTGGGCCAAGCGCCATGGCTCAGGCCTGTAATCCCAGCACTTTGGGAGGCCGAGGCAGGCAGATCACGAGGTCAGGAGATCGAGATCATCCTGGCTAACACGGTGAAACCCCATCTCTACTAAAAATACAAAAATTAGCCAGGTGTGGTGGCAGGCACCTGTAATCCCAGCTACTTGGAAGGCTGAGGCAGGAGAATTGCCTGAACCCGGGAGGCGGAGGTTGCAGTGAGCCAAGGTCACGCCATTGCACTCCAGCCTGGGGGACAAGAGCGAGACTTCATCTCAAAAAATAAAATAAAAATAAAAATACCAAGGCAGGGAGATCACCTGAGGTCAGGAGTTCGAAACCAACCTGGCCAACATGGCGAAATCCCATCTCTGCTAAAAATACAAAAATTAGCCGGGGGTGTTGGTGGACGCCTGTAATCCCAGCTCCTCAGGAGGCTGAGACAGGAGAATCTCTTGAACCCAGGAGGTGGAGGTGGCAAAGAGCCAAGATTGCGCCACTGCACTCCAGTCTGGGCAACAAGAGTGAAACTCTGTCTCAAAAAAATAAATAAATAAAAATAAATACATAAACTAAAAATAAAAATAAAAAATTCAGCTCTTCAGTTTCACTAGCCACATTGCAAGTGCTCAATAAACATACGTAGCTAGTAGTTACTACAATTGACAGCACAGAAAACGTTTCCATCACCACAGAAAGTTCTGTCCGACAACACTTGTCCAGAATAATGTTCAGTTGATGTTAATCATCATTAGTTTGAGGTGGAGAGATCTGGAGTGATTTTCTTTATATGGCATTTCTTGACTCCTTTATAATGAGTATTTATCAATAAAAATATATATGTGTGTGTATGTGTATATATATATATGTATATATATGTGTGTGTGTATATATATATATAATATATATATTATGTATATATATATATATAATATATATAATGTTTAAAAGCCCTCCTCACAAAGGTTGTACTTTATACCCACTAGCCACCTGTAGATATGTTTAATTCTTCAGAGCCCTTATGTCTGGCCATAGGGTTTGAATTCTAATTTTCTTCCTAGAGATACAGCACAATAGAGATGTAAGACTCTCTGCCAGGTCCAGTGGCTCACACCTGTAATCTCAACATTTTAGGAGGCCAAGGTGGGAGGACCGCTTGAGGCCAGGAGTTTGAGATCAACCTGGGCAACATAGCGAGACCCCCCTTTCTAAAAAAAGTTTAAAATTAGCTGGGTGTGGTGGCTTGTGACTGTAGTCCCAGCAACTCAGAAGGCTGAGACAGGAGGGTTGCTTGAGCCCAGGAGGTCGAGGCTGCAGCGAGCTATGATCACACCACTGCACGCTAGCCTGGGTAACAGAGAGACCCCCATCTCTAAAAAAAAAAAAAAAGAAAAAGAATCTCTACACAAATTTACTTACATTTACATAAAGAAATTCCAGAAGGATACGTCAGTAATTAGTAAATCAGTTACCTCCGGCAGGGGGAATGAATATCTAGGCAGAAGAAGACAAGAATGGGAGGGAGACTTTGCATGTGAATGTATTGCCTATTTAAAAAGAGATTAAAAATAAAATTTGAAATATATCTTTTGTTTTTTTGGAGATAGAGTCTCGCTCTGTCACCCAGGCTGGAATGCAGTGGCGTGATCCCGGCTTACTGCAACCTCTGCCTCTCCGTTTCAAGCGATTCTCTTGCCTCAGCCTCCCAAGCAGCTGGGAGGACTACAGGCGTGCACAACCACACCCAGCTAATTTTTGTATTTTTAGTAGAGACGGGATTTCACCATGTTGGCCAGGCTGCTCTTGAACTGAACTCCTGGCCTCGTGTGATCCACCCGCCTCAGCTTCCCAAAGTGTTGGGATTACAGGTGTGAGCTGGTGTGCCTGGCCATATCATATATTTTAAATTACATAAATAGCATACAGTTGTTAATTTAATTTTAACAGTTGTTTTTAGCAGTTTTTTTTCTTAATAAAAAAATAAAAATGAAAGGTAGACAGTGACATTCCTTTCCCTAAAGGTTATTATTGACAGGCTTTCGAGAACCCTTCCAGACTTGGTCTGTTAGGAACAATCACACATAATAACTTTATGATGTAAGCAGGATCGTAGATATCTGTGCTGGGCCTTGTGGTTTTTGCCAATAGCACCATCTCTTAGACATTTGACCATGTCTGTGTGCATTTGTTCTTTCTTTAGACATCACCAGAGTCCTGCCTCCGTTCCTGTTGATGAAGGCTGGACAAGGAGGGCCTTTTTCTCTCACACTGCAGGCGGTCCTTGACGCCACCTCCACGTCTCTTTTGAAACCCCTGTGTCAGGCTGTTTCCAGGTGCCGGCAGAGCTGGCGTCAGTGGGTCTAGTCGATCCACCCATGTTGCCAGCCAGGTGTGGGGGCGGGGTTGCCTCCCTGACCTGGCAGGGGCTGTTCCTCCTGGCCCTCCTCCTGCCTCCGGTATCTCCTTGCTTGCACCTTTCCAAGGCGTGGGGGTGACATGAGAAAGGCACGCTGGCAGAGTACTGGGTGTCAGAAGGAGTCACCTACAGGTTCCTCTCTCCTTCTCCAGCAGCCAGTAATAACAAATTATTGTTGTTTTTGTTTTTTCCTTTTTGTGGAGAATGGGGTCTCCCTATGTTGTTCAAGCTAGTTTCACACTCGTGGGCTCAAGCAATCCTCCCTCCCTGGCCTCCTTAAGTGCTAGGATTACAGGCACGAGCCACGGCACCTGGCATAACAGCACTTTTACTTACTCCTCTCCTTTGCCCTCCAAACTCTCTTCCAGCCCCGACCTTGCTGGATGCATTCCTAAACCATCCTTAACTCCCCTGCATTTCTGTGATGGGTTTGCCACATTGACCTTAGAGGTCCACTCCCCACTCCTTCGCTGGGTGCATCATTGCTCATGCCTTCCACAGGCAGGGGAGCAGAGTGAGCAAGGTGCACTTCCAGAGCCTGCATGGGCTGGGGTGGGCAGGGGAGGGAGGCAGGGACACAGGGGCTGAGTCACCTTCAGATGTCTCTCTGATGCTCTTGAAATTCACCACCCAGCACCTGGACCAAATGGAGACCCTCCAGTTCAGAATTTTGTTCAGGAAGGTAGTGGGCCTGTCCCCTCACTGGGAAGCCAAGTAACTGGTTGAGCTTCAACGTTTGTGCTCCTGGGCCCACTGGACCAGAATATAGAAATCATTAGAGACAGAAAGAGATCAGTGATTGTCAGGGGCCAGGGCTGGGGAACTGGGGAATGAGGAGTGACTGTTAATGGGTACGGCACGGAGTTTCTTTTCGAAGTGATGAAAATATCCTGGAATCAGTGGAATTAGATGGTATCTCTGTGAATACACTAAAAACCACTGAATTGTAAACTTTAAAAGGGTGAATTTTATGGAATGTGAATTGTATCTCGATAAAAAATTTAGAGGGCTGTACATGTATTGAGATCGAATTTATATGCAATAAAATGCACCCACTTAAATGTAGAGTTCAATGGTTGTTAAAACATATACCCATGCCACCACCACCCCAATCAAAATATGAAACCTGTCATTCCAAAAAGTTCCCCTGTGCCCCTCAGCCTTTTTTTCCACCCGCATGGCCTGAAAAAGTCAGTGGACCCCCAAACCAAGGAGTAGCTAAAATCCCCAGAGCCTAGAGATTATTAAGGTCTCCTCAATATGCTGAACTGGTCCCACCAGCCAGGGATGATGTGGAAAGAGTCAGACAGATGTGGGTTTGGATCCCAGTTGTCACTTGTTAGCTATGTGACCTTGGGCGATTTACCTAACCTCTCTGAACTTCAGTTTCCTCATCTCAAAAAAAGAAAGAAAAAATAAATAAATTAGGCTAATAACTTGAACTTTGTAGGGTTACTGTGAGATCAGATGAAATTGAGGTATGCAGTTGGCACTTAATACATATCAGCTCTTCTTTCCTCCTCCTGCCTGCCAAGGAGATTAACTTTCTGCAGGGACAAGGTCAGCCAAGCCACTGTCTCTTAAGGAGGATTTTAATCATTTTTGTTTTTCTGGAAGGGCAGGAATAGGAGACTTTGACCTGAGAAGAGACCCTAACTTTGGTGCTGCTAAAAAGCATTAAGCTACAGTTTCTATGGGGCCTTAACCACTGTGCATTTGCAACACATTATGTTTCAAAGAAAATTGTCTGCACCAGGTGTGTTCACCTGGAAAACGGTCCACTGTCTTTCTATCTGTAGTGCCACCAAAGAGATCCGAGGCACCACGACCTCACTCACCTGGACCACGAATCAGCTTCTCACAGGTCCCCCATTTCCGTTCTTGCTCCCAAAGTTATGCTCCTTTCCACAGTGATCAGTTCTAAAAATGCAAATAGGGCCGGGCACAGTGGCTCACACCTGTAATCCCAGCACTTTGGGAGGCTGAGGCAGGCAGATCACCTGAGATTAGGAGTTCAACACCAGCCTGGCCAACATGGTGAAACCCCATCTCTACTAAAAACAAAATAGCCAGGCATGGTGGCACATGCCTGTAGTCCCAGCTACTCAGGAGGCTGAGGCAGGAGAATCACTTGAACCCGGGAGGCAGAGGTTGCAGTGAGCGGAGACCGCAACACTGCACTCCAGCCTGGGCAACAGAGCAAGACTCCATCTCAAAAAAATAAATAAATAAACAAAAATACAAATCGTTTCCACTCTACATTCTCCATTGTTTTCCCATCACCCTTGCAATAAAATCCCAACTCATTCCCATGGCAAGCAAAGCCCACTGTGACCTTGCTTCGCCTACCTCTCCCATCTCATCTCTCATCTCCCCGGCCTCACTCTGCGCTGGCCACATGCGTTTCTTCTGTTCCTCAAGCAAACCAACTTGTTCCAACCCCAGAACCTTTGCAGCAGCTCTTTCCTCTGCCTGGAGCTCTCCTTCTCCAAATGAAGGTTTCAGCTCCAATCCTGCTTTCTTAGGGACATCTCTGATGATGTTCCTGCCACCATCACATGGATCATGTCAACTTATTTTATGTTCATTTTTGCACTTGTCGCTACCTAAAATCATCTGGTACCTTGTGTGCGTTATTCACCAAGTACCCCCGGTGCCTAGAATTCTGTCTGGCACATGGCAGGCACACAATATGTGTTTATTTAATTGAGCCCCTTTGACTCGTCATTGATGTCTAAGTCAATGACCTTCAGGATCAAGTCTGTCTTCGTATGAGAGCGTCTAACATGTAAGTGTCTAGACAGTCATTTTATTTTTGGTATTTTTGGCAAAGTGAGTTGCTTCTGGAAAACCAGACAACGCCTGTCTCCCTAGAGTCTCATCCAAAGCTGTGCCACCTCTTCTTCAATCTGCCAAGACTCGCACTGCCTGGCCCCTCCATCAGAAAGAGGCATGGATAAGACAAAGATTTTACAAATCTTACTGGAGCATTCTACTGAAAAATAGGCATGCCACTGGATTGGACCCTTCAACCAGAGGCGGCCAGAGCTAGCAAGAGCTTGTGCTCCTCAGCGGGTTGAACACATGGGATTAATTCAGGCAGGAGCCAGGCGAGAAATGCCGGCCCCTGCAGAGTGCTAAAGAAGAGGAATTTTAAGATCCAGACTGAACAGAAAGCTGTTGTGAGGGTGGGGATTAGGAGTGATGAAGAGAGGTGGGAAGGACTTACTGCCTTAACCCAAGGGATCTGAATCTACTAGGGTTGATATTAAATGTTTAATCTGGGGCCAGGCACAGTGGCTCTTGCCTATAATCCCAGCACTTTGGGAGGCTGAGATGTGAGGATCACTTAAGGCCACGAGTTAGAGACTAGCCTGGTCAACATAGTGAGACAACCATCTCTATTTTAAAAAAAAAATTATTATATTTTTTTTGAGATGGAGTCTTGCTCTGTTGCCCAGGAGTGCAATGGTGCAATCTTGGCTCACTGCAACCTCCACCTCCCAGGTTTAAATGATTCTCCTGCCTCAGCCTCCCGAGTAGCTGGGATTACAGGCACCTGACACCACGCCCAGCTAATTTTTTAATTTTTTAGTAGAGACGGGGTTTCGCCATGTTGGCCAGGCTGGTTTCGAACTCCTGACCTCAGGTGATCCACCCATGTTGGCCTCCCAAAGTACTGGGATTACAGGTGTGAGCCACCATGCCCAGCCTATTTTTTAAAATTTTTTAAAGTTTAAATAAAATTTAACAAATAAAAATTTAATTTGGGGCATTTACATGTGTGAGTGTGTGTGTGTGTGTGTGTGAGTGTGTGTGTGTGAGAGTGTGTGTGTGTGTGTGTGTGTTTTAGAGAACTGGTCTGTAGTTTTTTATCAGGTTTGCAATAGGATCTGTGTCCCAAAAGGTTAAGAACCACAGTTCTGGAAGGCATGCAATTAGGCTAGCAAATCATCTCCATCCTAAACATGACCTGAACTGAAACAATCAAGAGAAAGGAAAAGTGCTTCATGCTCCAAAGAAAACAAAAGCCACTTCCAACAGGAATTGGCTGTCACATTCTCTGCACTTGGAAAAAAAAATCAACAGAGCATCCGCCCAGCCTGCCCAAGGCCCATCCCTTAAGCCCAGGTCCCCAGGGAAGGCAGTGAGCTTTTGTTTTCCAGTCTGTGGGCAACTGGCTGGGCAAAGAGCCAGTGGGGAGAGATCTCGATGGAAGAAAATACAGCGATGTGCCGAGTCGAGTGGGCTGGAAGCACCCGAAGGTGGGCCCTGGCTGATGCCGGGACAGAGATGCTGCGATGACCCATCGCAGGAGGAGCCATGTGCTGGCTGCTGCCTTCTCTCCTTCTCTCTTGACTTTGCTCCAGCCAGGATGTTGGGCCTGCTTTTCTCTCTTGGTGCTCCGGGCACCTCAGTATTAATCATGGGCCTCAGTGTTTTTCTAAGTAGATTTTTGGACCCTTCATGGTTGGCAAGTCCATGTTTCTCCCTGGGGCCACCCGTGCTATCAGATCAGAGCACCTGCCTATATTTAAGGTTGTGTCACGTTTGGTTTTCGGCGAACACTCCCTTCGCCTGGCCCTTCTTGCCTTTGTAAGAGAAGGACCTAGGACATGGCAAATGTCCCAGTGAACGCTGGAAGGAGCCCTGAGAGCAAGCGGGAGGGCCCGGAGCCAGCGTGCTGCGCCAGCACTCCGTGTAACCTCCAGGGAGGGCGCAGTCCACACATGTCCTGGCTTCCGAGAGGCAGGCCCTGGGTGTCAGCTCACAGCCATCCGCTCCAGCTCAGCCTCTCCAGCAGCCCCAGGGATTCTCACTGGGCCTGGAGTTGTTGTTTTTCTGTGTTTGCATATATGTCCTATCTTTACAGGAAACCAGGGGGATTCCTGGTTTCCTTCCCCAAATCTGTTTCTCCTCCAAGCTTTCTTATCTCAATAAACAGTGCCTTCATCACCCAGGTGCTCATCTTTCAGGTCCCAGCTGAAGCAGCACCTCCTCCTTGGAAAGATCCTCCCAAGCACCAGATCTGAAGTGACCCCATCACCCACCCACACACCAAGATACCCTCCTTCATGCCAGCCTGTTTGTTGATCACATTCTGTAATTATTTCATTTTTCTGTCTGTCTCCTCACTCAAAATGTAGAGCTGGCTGGGCACAGGGGCTCACGAATGTAGTCCCAGCACTTTGGGAGGCCGAGGTAGGTGGGAGGATCGCTTGAGCCCAGGGGTTTGAGACCAGCCTGGGCAATATAGTGAGACCCTGTCTCTACAAAAAAGAAAATTAAAAAATTAGCCTGAAGTGGTGGCATGGGCCTGTAGTCCCAGCTACTGGGGAGGCTGGGGTGGGAGGATCGCTTGAGCCCAGCAGGTCAAGGTTGCAGTGAGCTGTGATCACGCCACTGCACTCCAGCCTGGGCGACAGAGGAAGACCTTGCTCAAAAAATAAAAAAATAAAAAATAAAAAGTAGAGTCTATGAGGATGGGAACAGCTGGACATACTGTGTTTGTTTCTTTCGATTCACTCTCCAGCCCTCTCCCCTCCTGCCTACAGCTCAGGAGGCTGACCAATGGGGACTGTGCCTCGGGGGTCTCTGCAGACTCCTGGGTCGCCCACGCGCAGTTCCCATCCACGGAGGATCCCCAAGCTCCCAACTCCAAAGGCTTCCGGTTTGTGTCCCCTAAGGGGAGGCACAAGTAGGAGATGAGAGAGTGGAGGACAATGAGGCCAGGATGGCTCCCTCCCTGCTGTGGACCCTGCCCGCTCCCTCTGCTGCAACCCTTACCAGGCTCTAGTAACCACTTTCTCCCCTTGCCTGTCTGGGCAGTAACAGCTGCCATGTGTCACCAACCCTGAAATGCTTCACCATGCCTTCAACTAGTTCCTCTCTGCCCTGCACACATGGCTGCAAATGTCCCTTCATGAAACTCTCCTCAACGACCCTTTTTGAATGTGCCATTTGTTACCTGTCAGGAGCCTGGGGATGGTTCTGATCAATACTGGGGCCACGTCTGACTCATACAGTGTTTCCCAGCAACGTGCTGGGGAATGTCTGGCGTGTCTTAGGTACTTAATGCGTGTGTTTTGAATACATAAATCAATGATAAAGATATTGTGATTTTATTTACATTTTTATTAAGAAAGAATTTATGGGTCGGGTGTGGTGGCTCACACCTGTAATCCCAGCACTTTGGGAGGCCGAGGCAGGTGGATCACTTGAGGTCAGGAGTTTGAGACCAGCCTGGCCAACATGGGGAAACCCCGTCTCTACTAAAAATGCAAAAATTGTCTGGGCATGGTGATGTGCGCCTGTAGTCCCAGCCACTCAGGAGGCTGAGGTGGGAGGATGGTTTGAGCCCAGGAGGCGGAGGTTGCAGTAAGCTGAGATCGCATCACTGCACTCCAGTCTGGATGACAGAGCAGGACTCCATCTCAAAAAAAAAAAAAAAAAAAAGAATTTATGCACCACAAAATTCACCCTTTTAAAGTATACAATTTAGTGTTTTTCAGTGTATTCACAAACATATGAGATGAGACCATTACCACTGTCTAATTTCATCCCCTCAAAAAGGAACTCTGTGCCCTTTGGCAGTGACTCCCCACATCTCCCCTCCCCCTGCACCCGGAAACAACTTATCTACCTTCTGTCTCTATGAACTTGCCTATTTTGGACTTTTCATTCCAATGGAAGTTACAGTATGTGGTCATTTGTGTCTGGCTTCTTTCACTTAGGCACAGTATTCTTAAGGTTCACCCATGGTGGGGCATGTATCAATACTTGATTTCTTTTTATAGCTGAATAACATTCCAGTATATAGAGACAACACACTTTGTTTACCCATTCATCAGGTGATAGACGTTTGGGTCATTTCCGCCCCTTTGGGCTATTATGAGTAAGCTGCTATGAACATCGGCATACTTGTTTTTGTGTGAGCATGTTTTCAATACTCTTGGGTACATATCTAAGAGTGGAATTGCTGGGTCACATGGTAACTCTATGTTTAACTTTTTGAGGAAGCATACTGTGTTTTCCATGGGGCTACCCAGTACTTTCTTTATCCTGTGGTCCCAGTTATTGGCATCTGCATGGAAAAGAACCCAAACAGACAAGGATGTGAATCAAAGGAAGGCTCAACACTGCAGGTCCACTCCAAGGTATACATCCAGGAGACATTCTTGCACACACAAACCAGGCTATAAACGCAGTAATGCTCATAGTAGTATTGTTGGCAAAAAACAAAAAAAAACAAAAAAAAAAACCAATGACCTAATGTCCATTAACAGTAGATTGAGGTGGGTGTGGTGGTTCACACCTGTAATCCCAGCACTTCGGGAGGCCAAGGCAGACAGATCACCTGAGGTCAGGAGTTTGAGAACAGCTTGGCCAACATGGCAAAACCCTGTCTCTACTAAAAATTTAAAAAAATAATAAAAATAAAAAAATTAGCCGGGCATGGTGGCACTCACTTGTAGTCCCAGCTACTCAGGAAGCTGAGGCAAGAGAACTGCTTGAACCTGGGGTATGGAGGTTGCAATGAGCCGAGATTCCACCACTGCACTCTAGCCTGGCCGACAGAATAAGACTCCATCTCAAAAACAAAAAATAAAACAATAGATCAGATAAATACATTGTGGATGATGCATCCAAAAAAAATACGAATGACAGCTACACATAACAGCATGGGTGAATCTCACAAACATATTGTTGAAAGAAACACATCACAAGAGAATACATACATTATGATTTCATTTATACAAAGTTCCAGAACAAGCAAAACTAAATCATGTGGTTTAAGATTGCAAGTGTAGGTACAAAAACTATTTTAAAAAAATTACAACCAAAAAACCAGGATATTGGTTGTCTCTGGCAGGAAGAAAGGGAGACACGTCAGAGAGGGGCACAAGAAAGTCTTCCAGGCTGTAGCCAATGTTCTAGTTCTTGTCCTGGGTGATGGATACATTGGGGTTTATTCTGAATGGCTCATAACTGTATATAGGTACTTACCTACTTATGCCCTATTCTGAAAGGATTTTTTTTGTGTTTGTTTTTTTGAGACAGTCTCGCTCTGTCACCCAGGCTGGAGTGCAATGGCGTGATCTCGGCTCAAGTGATCCTCCTGCCTCTCAGCCAGGCTGGTCTCGAACTCCTGGATCAAGTGATCCTCCTGCCTCAGCCTCCCGAGTAGCTGGGACTCCAGGCACACACCACCATGCCCAGCTAATTTTTATATATGTGTGTATATATATATATATGTATATATATGTGTGTGTGTATATATGTATATATATGTGTATATATGTATATATATGTGTGTATATATGTATATATATGTGTGTATATATGTATATATATGTGTGTATATATGTGTGTATATATATATGTGTGTGTATATATATGTGTGTGTGTGTGTGTGTGTGTGTGTGTGTGTGTGTGTGTATATATATTTTTTTTTTTTTTTTTTTTTTTGTAGAGATGGGGTCTGGCTATGTTGCTCAGGCTGGTCTCGAACTCCTGGGCTCAAGTGATCCTCTTACCTCAGCCTCCCAACATACTGGGCTTACAGACGTGAGCCACCACTCCCAGCAAGACCTCTAGCTCATTTTGTTGTTTATGGAAGAAGAATATGTGGGCTTTGGGGACCAAAGTATCTGGAGAAAGACCTGGCTCAACTAGAGGAAATCCAAATAAGGAAAATTAGTGGAGCCTGAGGCAGGAGGATCACAGAAGACAGAGGCTACAGGGAGCCATGATCACACCACTGTACTCCAGTCTGGGTGAGAGTGAGACCCAGTCTCCATAAATAAATAAATATATACATACCTAAATAAAAACTAAAGTTCTCAATAACCTAGACAGCGTAAGGTTTATAGTTGCTTTCTTCTAAGTCCAGTGATTTCTTTGGAGTTTTCCTCCCATAAATAAAATCTTTCTCTCAAAATGTTGCTGGACAAAGTTCTCCAAGGACCGTTGCTAGTCCATTAGTTTTTATCTGGTTTTTCATATTAATTATGACTGGGTTCTAAAAATGATGAAGCTGTTCATTGGCAAGGCTTTGAGGCCCTTCCATCCAAACCAAAAGGGAAAACATTTCGACTGAGATAAGCGTGGGTTGGCCACACACTGGTGACAGGAAAGCTTTACAATAAGCTTCTGGGAGTTTGTGAAAGAAAGCAGAACCTACCGCTTCATTCGGCTGCCTGGTACAATAACCACAATATGCCATCCATATCCTTCCAGGCAAGATATAAACAGTTTGTTTAGAGGTCTGGCTACAATATAATACTTAAAAAATAAACTTTTTAAATTGACGTAGAACTTACCAAAAAACACACAAATCATAAGCACACAGCTCAGTGAATTTACCCTAAAGTAAACTATAACCACCACCCAGATCAAGAATTTACTGGCATTCCAGAAGCCCCTCTCAGTCACTGTCGCCACCCTCTCCCTAAAGGCAACCATTATAACTTTAATATTCTGACCTCCATATTTTTATATATCTGATGGCCCAGATAATTATCTCTGGAGGCCAGCGTTAATCAGAAGCTGGGAGGATTGCTTGCCCATGAGTCATTCCTCTTAGGAATAGTTTATCAGTGAGGATGCTTCCAGCTGCAAGTAATAGAAACCTCAACTCAAATGGCTTAAACAACAAGAAAATTTATGATCTCCACATAAATGGAAGCCCTGCTGCAGGGTTAACTGAGTGAGCAGCTTGAGTCAACAGAGACCCATGTTCTTTCCACCTCCTGCCTTGGCCATCCTTGCTGTTTGCTTCCTGCTCCAGCTGGTGGTAGAACAGCCACCAATGCTCTTTCTTGTGGCTCTCTCTTTGGAGAGGAAACTTCTCCCAGAGGTCCCTCTGCAGACAGCACCTCACAGTCCATTGGTGAGAACAGGGTCACATGTGCAACCAGCCAGACCAGGGGCTGGGATTATCCCAATGTCCTAGACCTATCATTGGGGTGGGATGGACATTGAGAGGTCCACTCCAAAGCTCCCCAGAGAAAGACATGTAACTAAATGGAAAGTGTCTGCTTTCCTTTATAAACATGCTTTACATTACTAATTGGTAACAAGAGTTATAAACAGGGGAGGTACGTGGCTAAACATACTGTTGGAGATTCAGGGTTAGAGGGAAGAAAGTAACTCTTTGATGAAAGAATAAATTGACCATGGCAAAATAAACACAGCAGCTCTTGCTCTTTCTCCTCTGAACGTCAACGATCCTTCCTGACTGAATTGCCTCTTTGGGTACTAAGTCATAAACATATTTTTTTTAATTATTGGGATAGTGTCTGTTACCAGTTATGTTAAGCATGGGACATCATGTTTCAGTCCAATTTAGGACGAGTCCCCCCTCTTTGCAAATCACATGATGACATGCAGTGCACACGGGGCATGTCATTTAAATGCCTCAAGGTGTGCAAGCTGCAGCTCTTCCAAAGACTCCAGGTTCCTTCAGTTACCTCAATAATATCCAATAGCCATTCAGTTGCCCTAGATGTTTGAATATCCTCTCACATTAAAAGCCCAATTTTTACAATTAAAAATTGCCACCATTAAAAGCACTGTGGTGGCCAGGCACGGTGGCTCACGCCTGTAATCCCAGCACTTTGGGAGGCTGAGGCAGGTGGATCAGCTGAGGTCAAGAGTTCGAGACCAGTCTGGCAAACATGGCCAAACCCCATCTCTACTAAAAATACAAAAATTAGCTGGGCGTAGTGGCGGGCGCCTATAGTCTCGGCTACTCGGGAGGTTGAGATGGGAGAATCGCTGGAACCTGGGAGGCAGAGGTTGCAGTGAGCTGAGATCACACCATTGCACTCCAGCCTGGGCAACAAGAGCAAAACTTCGTCTCAAAAAAAGAAAAAAAGGCCGGGCGTGGTGGCTCACGCCTGTAGTCCCAGCACTTTGGGAGGCCAAGGTGGGCGGATCACAAGGTCAGGAGATCAAGACCATCCTGGCTAACACGGTGAAACCCCGTCTCTACTAAAAATACAAAAAATATTAGCCAGGTGTGGTGGCGGGCACCTGTAGTCCCAGCTACTCAGGAGGCTGAGGCAGGAGAATGGCAGAAACCCGGGAGGCAGAGCTTGCAGTGATCTGAGATCACGCCACTGCACTCCAGCCTGGGCGACAGGCTGTTTTGAGACTCCGTCTCAAAAAAAAAAAAAAAAAAAACAGTCACGGTGGCTTATGCTTATAATCTCAGCATTTTTTGGAGGCCAAGGCAGGATTGCTCGAGCCCAGAAATTCGAGACCAATCTGAGCAACGTAGCAACACACTGTTTGTACAAAAAAAAATTTTTTAATTAGCGGTGGGATGGTGCACATCCTTAGTCCCAGCTACTCAGGAGACTGAGCCAGGAGGAGTGCTTGAGCCCTGGAGTTTGCAGCTGAAGTGAGCTATGAATGCACCACTGTACTCTAGCTTCGGTGACAGTGAGATCCTGTCTCTTAATAAATTATAATTAAAATGTAAAAGTCCCATTTTTTTCTAAAGGATATTATAAATATGAATCATACATATGGATACATGTATTAATATTTATATTCTCAAGGTGGCTGAGAATGTAACACACTTCCATCTCTTTTTTTTTTTCTTTTTTGAAGACGGAGTCTCACTCTGTCACCCAGGCTAGAGTGCAGTAGTGCGTTCTTGGCTCACTACAACCTCTGTCTCCTAGGTTCAAGCAATTCTCCTGCCTCAGTCTCCCGAGTAGCTGGGATTACAGGCGCCCACCACCACACCCGGCTAATTTTTGTATTTTTAGTAGAGATGGGGTTTCACAATGTCAGCCAGGTTGGTCTTGAACTTCTGACCTCAGGTGATCCGCCTGCCTCGGCTCCCAAAGTGCTGGGATTACAGGCCTGAGCCACCGTGCCTGGCTAAGAGGTCTTTAAATAATCATTCGCAGAGGATGAACACACAAAGTAATATTATTCTTAATACCAGCAAGAGAGGATGAATACCAGGGCAATTCCAATTGAAGAGTGAAAAGTTCAGCACATCCTTCAGAAAACTAACATTCCTGAGGAAGGTTTTTTTTTAAATGTTTCTAAGATTTTAATTGTACTATATTTATAAGGCATTGTGTCAGCACAAATATTATAAACATTATAGCTAATAGGCACAGTTCTAATATGAGAAGGTACACCAATAGTACCTGATCTTGATGGGCCTAATCCTACCCAAGTTTTAGAAAATTTATTCCTTTTTACAAAGTAAAAATATAATATTGCACAATCATCAAATATTTTGGTTGTTTTTATGATATCCAACAGCCATTCAGTATTCCTGGGATGTTTAAATTTTCATTCCTGTTAGAATTCCAATTCCTTTTCAAGAATAACATAGGAGTCATATACATTTTGCTGTTCATTCTTATGTCAACCAGAAATGTATCTTTTATTTGTAACTTAATACTACTTCCCTTTGCTTTTCAGTGTAGGTTAGGCCTTCTTGAAAGAAGTTGAATATTTCATGATGTCAAGACCCAATGTAGCCAAGGATCCTCCAATGAGGACCCTCAATGTTACAAAGAAGCCTCTGTTAATTTGTTCCGTGAAGGTCAGATGAAGGTTGTGGAGATTTTAAGAGGAATGCTCTTTTCTACCATACCAGCAGAGTGCACATTTTTCACTTCTGTTTTGCTAAAACTACCCCCAGCCAAGCAATCCAATGGATTCTGAGCATCTTCTATGTGTAGGGCGTTGCACTGTGATATGGTTTGGCTCTGTGTCCCCACCCAAATCCCATCTTGAACTGTACTCCCATAATTCCCAAGTGTTGAGGGAGGGACCTGGTGGGAGATAATTGAATCATGGGGGCGGTTTCCTCCATACTGTTCTCATGGTATTGAATAAGTTTCACGAGATCTGATGGTTTTATCGGGGTTTTTGCTTTTGTGTCTTTCTCATTCTCTCTTTGCCTGCTGCCATCCATGTAAGACGGG
Organism: Homo sapiens; assembly: GCF_000001405.40. NCBI lineage: Eukaryota > Metazoa > Chordata > Mammalia > Primates > Hominidae > Homo > Homo sapiens. Next base: position 69,473,936 of record NC_000016.10, on the reverse strand, counting down.
ACTTGTTCCTCCTCCTTGCCTTCGCCATGATTGTGAGGCTTCCCCAGCCACGTGGAACTGTAAGTCCAATTAAACCTTTCTTTTGTAAATTGCCCAGTCTCAGTATGTCTTTATCAGCAGTGTGAAAACAGACTAATACATACTGGTATAGTGAAGGAACATAGAGTAAGAATACTGCCCCATCTCTGCCTTCAGAGACTCCAGTCTATTTGGGAAGACTAACAAAAACCATTCAGGTGCCAAAAAATGACATGGCACAAGTGTGACAGGGACTCAGGGAAGGGAGAATTCAGTTGGAGTGGACAAGAGTGATTTGAGGTTTCATGGAGAAAGTGAGACTTAGGCTGGTCTTTGAAGGCTGGATATGACTTAGCTAGGCCGATGTGGCAAATATGCTGCCTGTGTACTGCCACTCTCTTCATGCCAGTGTGGTTCCACTTCCTACTGAGCTCAGACCCAACACAGTGCTCCAGGCAACCCAAGCCCATCCACTGGAGCCAGAACTCATGACAAAATTCATTTGCCAACAGAAATGGGTGGGAGTGGATATTGGATATTGGCTCATGGAAAACAACGCTCAAAAGTACAAGGGGTAGGAAAGAACAAGGTGGGAGCAGAAGACAGTGGATGTGGCCAGCTGAAAGTAGGTTCTCTAGGCAATAAAATCTGATAGGTAGTATTGGATCAATTCATAGAAGATATTGAAAAACAGGCAGTTCTCAAAGAATGTTTAATAAAGAATAGCTTAGAGGCCAGGCACATTGGCTCATGCCTGTAATCCCAGCACTTTGGGAGGCCAAGGTGGGTGGATCACCTGAGGTCAGGAGTTCGAGACCAGCCTGGCCAACATGGTGAAACCCTGTCTCTACTAAAAATACAAAAAATTAGCCAGGTGTGGAGGTGCGTGCCTGTGGTCCCAGCTACTCGGGAGGCTGAGGCAGAGGTTGTGGTGAGCCAAGATTGCACCACTGCACTCCAGCCTGGGCAACAGAGCAAGACTCTGTCTCAAAAAAAAAAAGTGATAATTCATAATTCTTATGAGCAAATGATTTCTTAAGTAAATAGATTGGATTCATTTTAAAAGAATTATGTGACCAAAATGATTTCTACTTTCCAGGTACCTAAGAAAAGGTACACCAGCATTGGATTTAAGATGCAAAATATCCAGTTCCACAGTGAAACGGGCATTCTTAGATCTTGCTGGTGGGACGGTAAATTGTGCCACTCTTAGAAAGTAGTTAGAAAGTGATACAGAGACTTAACAATATACACATCTTTAGACTGAATAACTTCAGAGCAAGAAATTGATCCTAAAAAAAAAAAAGCCAAGAAAAGGCTTTCAGACAAGTATTTCTTTACAATGCTGCTTATAATTTCTAGAAGTCTTATTCTCTGAATGTTCCTTTTTTTCTTTTTTTTTTTTTTTTTTTTTGAGACGGAGTCTTGCTCTGTCACACTACACTCTGTCGGAGTGCAATGGCGTGATCTCAGCTCACTGCAACCTCTGCCTCCCAGGTTCAAGTGATTCTCCTGCCTCAGCCTCCTGAGTAGCTGGGATTACAAGCACCTGCCACCACACCCAGCTAATTTTTGTATTTTCAGTAGAGATGGGGTTTCACCATGTCTGCCAGGCTGGTCTCAAACTCCTGACCTCAGGTGATTTGCCTGCCTCGGCCTCCCAAAGTGCTGGGATTACAGGCTGAGCTGGCTGAATATTCCTTTTCTAAAATAGCATCCTACTGTATTCATGGAGACAATGTCATCTCTCATCTCTTTGGTGTTATCAGCTTGTTGTTTTGTTTTCCCTGTCAGTTTTATTCTGCATTGTTTTTTTCTTTTTCTTATTTTGTTTTGGTCTCTAAGTTTCATGGGAAGGCTTTCCAAAAATGGTTGATGGCCTTTGGCTATCCACATTTAGGCAAGTTACTAAACACCTTTTGGGGCCGAGCATGATGGCTCACGCCTGTAATCCCAGCACTTTGGGAGGCTGAGGCAGGCGGATCACGAGGTCAGGAGATCGAGACCAGCCTGGCCAACATGGTGAAATCCCATCTCTACTAAAAATAGAAAAACTAGCCAGGTGTGATGGCACATGCCTGTAATCTCAGCTACTTGGAAGGCTGAGGCAGGATAATCGCTTGAACCCGGGAGGCGGAGGTTGCAGTGAGCCGAGATCACGCCACTGTACTCCAGCCTGAGCGACAGAGTGAGACTCCATCTCAAAAAAAAAAAAAAAAAATCTAAATATCAATCCACTATAAAATTCTGTGAAACCTGAGCGTGGTGTGGTGTGGTGGTATGTGCCTGTAGTCCCAGCTACTCAGGAGGCTGAGGAGGGAGGATCACTTCAAGGCCAGAAATTTGAGACTGCAGTGTGCAGTGATTGATTGTACCTGTGAAGAGCCACTGCACTCTTGCCTGGGCAACCTAGTTGAGACCCTGTCTCTAAAAATAAATATGTAAATAAAAAGAAATTTTAAAATCTATGAAACCAATCTCCTATCCAGAAAGATTCTAAATAATTCATGTAGACATTCTGCTCTCAGGGAGATGGAGCATAACTCCCCACTCCTTAAGTGTGGGCTGTGCAGCGACTTCCTGCCACAGTGTGGAACAATATAGAAAGTCCCTCCTGAAGAGTGACTAGAGAGTGGAGGAACCTGATAAACAGTCCCTCAGCCAGGTGATCAAGGTCAGCATCAACCATCACAGATCATGTTGACAGTGTGTCCTCTGGAGATGAAGTAATGAAAATGGCAATTTATCCCTGTGGTCTTCCTCTCCCCATTTCATAACCTCTGTCTAATCATGAGAAAAACATCTGACAAATTTTAACAGAGGGCATCCTACAATGTACCTGACCAGTACTCCTTAAAACTGTCAAGGTCAGCTGGGTGCGGTGGCTCATGCCTGTAATCCCAGCACTTTGGGAGGCCAAGGCGGGTGGATCACGAGGTCAGGAGTTCAAGACCAGCCTGGCCAGCATGGTGAAACCCCATCTCTACTAAAAATACAAAAAATTAGCCGGGCGTGGTGGCGGGTGCCTGTAGTCCTAGCTACTCGGGAGACTGAGGCAGGAGAATGGCGTAAACCCAGGAGGGGGAGGTTGCAGTGTGCTGAGATTGAGCTGAGACTCCGTCTCCAAAAAAAAAGAAAAAAGACAACAGGCAAAAACTAAGAAACTAGCATAAGAACTTCAATAATAACGTACCAATATTGGTTCATTAATTGTAACAACTGTCGCATATAAACATGTAATGTTAATAATAGGGGAAACTGGTTATGGGACCTCTACTTTTTTTTTTTTTTTTTGAGACGGAGTCCCACTGTCGCCCAGGCTGGAATGCAGTGGCACGATCTCAGCTCACTGAAACCTCCACCTCCCAGACTCAAGCAATTCTCTTGCCTCAGCCTCCCGAGTAGCTGGCATTACAGGTGCATGACACAACACCCAGCTAATTTTTTTTTTTTTTGTACTTTTAGTAGAGATGGGGTTTTCCCATGTTGGCCAGGCTGGTTTCAAACTCCTGACCTCAGGTGAGCCGCCCACCTTGGCCTCCCAAAGTGCTAGGATTACAGGCATGGGCCACTGTGCCTGGCCTATACTATCTTCATTATAGCATGGCTATAGTTGTGCATGCAGGCACAGCATGATAAGCCATACTGAATCCACTTCGCCCTCCCTGTGGCCCAGCCTAATGCAGGGCACCCTGAGAAATGCAGAAGTGCCTTCCTTCAGAGGGCTTTTAGTTCATTAATGAAGACATTTAAATATACATGCAGTATGCAATTACAGCATCTCCCTGGGGAAACTGCTTTCCCTATGATCCCTTTCCCATTCAAGGCTGGGGGATGGGTCCCCATCCCCTTGATGGGACCAGAAGTAGACACTCATATTACTCAGCCAACCACATTTTCACTTCTAATTATTAATTTCCTTCAGAAGTTTAGACAGGAAACTAAAGTAACCACTTTGGTTCCTATGGGTTTCTGGTTCCTGTTCCTAGTTCCTCAGGAGGGCCAGCTGGGATTTCTACCCTTGTGTTCCACCAGATACTCATTCGTTACTGATTCACAGCAAGTCATTTCTCTCTTACCTATGTGAGCTTAAGTGGGTTTCTGTATCCTACTCTATGACAATAATAATCTGTAGGTGTTTTAAAGTGAAGAATGTTTCCTCTTTCCAGAGATACTGAGACTTGGCATGGAATAAAAAATGAGTTTCTGGGCACAGTAGCTCACACCTGTTATCCCAGCACTTTGGGAGGCCAAGGCCAAGGCCAGAGGACCACTTAAGCCTAGGAATTCAAGACCAGCCTGGGCAACATAGCAAGACCTTTTCTCTAAAAAAAATAAAAATAAAAAAAATTTAAATTAGCTGGGCACGGTGGCATGCACTTGTAATCCCAGCAACTCGGGAGACTGAGGTAAGAGGATTGCTTGACCCTGGGAGGTGGAGGCTGCAGTGATCCGTGATCATACCACTGCACTCCAGCCTGGGCGACACTGTGAGACCCTTACTCAAAAAATTAACAGCAACAAAATGACTTTCTGTCTTATGGGAACTCAGGTATACTTGGAAAGGAAGAACTCTTTTTTTTTTTTTTTTTTTTGAGATGGAGTTTCACTCTTGTCCCCCAGGCCGGAATGCAATGGTGCGATCTCAGCTCACTGCAACCTCCACCTCCCAGGTTCAAGAGATTCTCCTGCCTCAGCCTCCCAAGTAGCTGGGATTACAGGCATGCACTACCAGGTCCAGCTAATTTTTGTATTTTTAGTAGAGGCAGGGTTTCACCACGTTGGCCAGGCTGGTATCAAACTCCTGACCTCAAGTGATCCACCCACCTCGGCCTCCCAAAGTGCTGGGATTCCAGGTGTAAGCCACCGCGCCCGGCCAGAAAGGAAGAACTCTTATAAGGACATTACCCAGGCAAGTGTTTTAAGGTCAGATAAGTTGCAGAGACCATAGTTGTCAAGAGACGTGGGTTTCAGAAGCCCTATTTGAAGTAACTTAAAAGGCAAATTTGACTCACATGAAAGGCCCAGAGCTAGAATGTAGCTTTAAACGAAGGTGAATAGAGATGTTCAAACAGAACTGCATTATTTCTGGATGGTCCAGCTTATAAACAAATTATTTCTTCCCAGTGTTTTTAGGACAGAGTGTCAAGTACATTTTTGTACCACAACACAAAAATGAAGATGTAGCCAGTGCAGTGGTGCGTGCCTGTAGTCCCAGCTACTGGGGAGGCTGAGGTCGGAGGATGGCTTGAGCCCAGGAGTTCCAGTCCAGCCTGGGCAACGTAACAAGACCCCAGCTCTAAAACAAAAGAAAAAGAAAAGAGGAGTATAGCTGAGGTGGTGTCTTTTATAAAATAAAACACAAGGCAAAGCAAGGGGGCAAGATGAGGTAGGATGAGAGGTAGGGAAAAAAAGTTACAAAAGAGAAAAAAGGGTCAGACTGGGAGTCTCGGAAGCTCATTTTCCAGTGCTGTTCATGACTTAGCCTCTCCTGGTTCTATCTCTATTTGTCTCTGATTAGATTTCTTAGGTTATTAAAATCAGAGTGAGTAGGTCTGTCAGAAGATTCTTATTATGAACATCATTGTATTGTTTGGGAAGACAATCCCACCTCAATTTCTGAAAAATGGGAAAAAAAGAAAAAAGGAAATTGGGGCCAGGCACAGTGGCTCATGCCTGTAAACACACACTTCAGGAGGCTGAGGCAGGAGGATTGGCTTGAGGCCAGGAGTTTGAGACCAGACTGGGCAACATAGACTCTACAAAAAAAAAAAAAAAATTTGACGTTGCTGGGCATGGTGGCACACAGCTGTAGTCCGAGCTACTTGGGAGGCTGAGACTTGAGCAGAGGAGTTTGTGGCTACAGTGAGCTATGACCATGCCACTGCTCTCCAACCTGGACAATAGAGCAAAACCCTCTTTACAAAAGCCAAAAACTATATATTTACATACACAGTTCCAGGTTAAATTTTATCCAGGATCCTAGACTGATGGAGTTATGCAAGGACTTCTCATCTGTGCTGCTTAAGGATTTCATCAGTTGTCCTCAATTCTCAATCCTTTGCCTCTTATGAAAAGTTGTTTCCAGCAACATAGTCCAGATCTAAATTCTCATTAACTGGCTTCAGGAAACTTTTGCATGGGACTCAAGGGTCATTTCAAACTAGTCTCTACTGAGGCAGGTTTAAACCCTGGCTCTCAGGCGGTGGCTCACGCCTGTAATCTCAGCACTTTGGGAGGCCAAGGCGGGTGGATCACTTGAGGCCGGGAGTTCAAGACCAGCCTGGCCAACATGGCATAACCTTGTCTCTACAAAAAAATACAAAAATTAGCCGGTTGAGGTGGCGCATGCCTATAGTCCTAGCTACTTGGGAGGGTGAGTGAGACAACTGCTTGAGCCCAGAAGGTGGAGGTTGCAGTGAACCAAGATCACGCCGCTGTGCTCCAGCCTGGGGGACAGAGTGAGACTCTGTCTCAAAACAAAACAAAACAAAAACTCTGGCTCTCCTCTTACCTCTGTGGTCAAGTCAGGTGGCTGTCTGAGTTGCCATAAAAATGTCCTTACAAGGTAGACAGGGACTACCTTGTAAGGACACTGTAAGAGTAAGGATCAGCAAGGTTTGTAAACCACATTGCATGGCACATAGTAGGCATCAGAGAAATGACAGCATTGCAAGTGCATCCTCATGTTTCACCTGAAAAGCCACTCTAGTCTCTCACTGCTTCATCAAATAATTTTGTTTTTAAAATGCTGGTATATATGTGATTAAGCTGACTGGGCTTTGAAAATACATAGTAATCTAGTTCACTAATTAACGTTAGATTTATGCTATCAATTATCAGCAGTTTAACAGATTGTGTGGGTATTTCTTCCCTTAAATTTACATAATTGGACAGTCTTCTACCTCAGGCTTTCACGAATCAACCAGGATTTGTCAAGCACCTACCCACTATTCAGCATCAGGGACAGTGCTGTGATAATAAATTCTTACTAGTATCAAAGATTAAACATTAAATTCAAACTTTGGTAACAAGAATGGGGTTATCCTTTCCTGTTAGTAATCCTCAGTTCCTGTGACAGTGAAATAGCCGAGCCCTAATGAACAATCTCTCAACAGAAATCTGATATGTTAGTAATGTTAGATGGCTATCAGTATGTTTCAAAGGTAATTATAAAAACGGTTTATTTCCCTTGTTTTATTAACACAGTCACTAAACTTCAATCTCAGTGTTTAATTTTCCCCAACAGTTTAGCTATTTCCAAGAAAAACAATCATTTGAAGACTGGCATTGCAGATAACAAAACAGTATTACCTGGTACTGGCTTCTCTGTCAGTAGGTATTTTCAGTGGAAACAGAACCTCAAACCTGGCTACCCCGTTCCCACTTCACAGCCATTAAAACACAGCCTTGCTTTTTGCATTTCACGATTATCAAATGAACGATTCACTTCACGAAAAGAACAGTGAGGAGAATCCTGGAGAACCACGGAACTCCCCACCACGTTATGCTAAACACACCATTAGCACAGACACGGGAGACTGTCATGCTTCTGAAATCCTTTTCTTCCAGAACACCTGAGGATTACAAAACCAACACTTCTACTTAAAAAACACCTTTTTAAATTAAAAATAATAAGTGTAGTCGGGGCAAGAAAAGGAAAACAGTGTCTTTATTGTGTGTAGTTCTAACAAACGTTCACTGTGTGCGCATTCCAGCAGAAAGAGACAAAGATCTTTGTTCAAAATATTCTGAAAAAGGTAAACTAACTGCATTATTGAATACACAAAAGGAATGTTACCGTTACTTGTTCATAGTCAAAGGTGAAGTTAAAAAAAAAGGGAAGTTAAATAACTGAAGTAATGGTTTGCCCAAATAGCAAACGTAGGATACAAGCGTGGGCAAAGAGCAGCTACTGAAGCTCATGAGGAGGATGCTGGATATAGGGTAGGTAACTTGACAAATGCCTCTGCTTCTTTGGAACCTTCTTCCTAGATCACCCCCACAAATTCCAAACCTGGCTCTTTCAGAGCACAACAGCCAAATGTAACTAAACTCCTCATTACTTCTGTGATATTTGGCAACAGAATAAGATAGTTTAAAAAAAAATCAATTTCTTGTTGAGACAAGACATGTCTGAATCCATTTCTCTTGGGGTAGGAGGAGGTAATGAACATTAACGTTCTGCATCTCAATCTCCTAAAATGGAATTTAACCAGATAGATATCGCTTGAGATTTTAAAGCAGGAGATACCATAAGTAATGATACTCCAGGCCTGTAAAGCATTTTTCATTGTCCCACATTGCAGCTAAATGAGTATAAACTCGACAGTGTTCTGATTTCACAACATATGCATTTATGACAACTGCTAAAACAACTTTACAGGCTCAAACGATAGGTTCCAAGGGATTTTTGTTTTTGCTTAAGCAGTCTTGAAGAGATCTAAACACAAGATAAACTTTGACCCCACCACTCTGTTATCTTTACAAATGCAGAAGTCATTTGGAAACCAAAACCAATTGCTGAGTAGGGGCTGAGGAATTTTGGTGTCATTTCAAACTAGACTCTACTGAGGCAGGTTTAAACCCTGGCTCTCAGGCCAGGGGCAGTGGTACCAACACCCTCTATTTCGGTAGCATGAAACTTCTCTCACCTCCTCCTTCGTGTCCAGCAGCCATGATGTGTACAGTACAGTTTGCAGCAGCAGCAGCAGCAGCAGCTAGTCTTCCTCAGGAATAAACAACCGAACACCCCAGAGACCAGCTCCAGGTGGCACTGTCAGCCAATGGGGACTGGCTCCACTTGCTCTCCAGAGGGTTTTTCACCAGCTACCCATGTCAAGACTGTTTTGTGAATTCAAGTCTACTTCCTAAAAAAAAGGTCCTTTTGGATGGATTTGGCTAGTGTGCTATACTACTTTATTGTATAGAAAAACCTCTGCAAACTCTCACACAAGATTTAGCTTTCACCTGGCTGTTTTTGTAGGCAACAAAATAACAGTAAATGGACCCCAAAGTGATTTTCCAGATACAAAGTGACATCACATCGGCAGTAGTTCAGAAGAAGCCCTGGGTACTGGGGGATTTCATGGGTGGAAGAGACAAAGTCTAATTATCTTTTCCTCTGGCTCTCAGCAAAAAACAAGTGCAGATGTAAACAGGAAAAGAAAACCAATGTGAAGTAGAAAAACATACCTTTTGCATTGGCATTTACCTTAAAAATAACAAAAACACCAATTTTACTTAAGATGGTAGTTCTTTAACATTTCTTATAAGCCAGATGTTTTTCATTCAATTTCGGACATTGCCAACACACTTTTACAACTGATTCAAGTTATCTTCAGGCTTGGCTTTAGTTTGAATGTTCCCTTTCAAGCTCCTCAATACTCCTCTGTTCTTTACTTTTACCCCAATGTACTCCAATAATCACGCAATTTATTTATTACAGGCAATCATATACCAATCCTTCCTTGCCTTTAAATAGAGAAGCATCAAGTCATACCACTTTTGTTAAATAATAACCAAAGTTTTTTTCAATATTGTCTTAAAAGTAGCATCTTATAATGCATACAAACATTTTTCTAAAGATAAAAGCTTTACTAAACCCATATCCCTGATAATAAAAGTCAGCCAGAAATCTCCTAAAATTACTCCCAAATATATCCAAGTGTGCAAGTACAAGGTTAATATTATTTTGATGAATTCTGTATTCATTCAACTGCTAAATCACAGGATACAAGACCTGGGTTGAACTTTTTCTTAAATAGTTTACATGGGCAGTCCCTGGTTTGCTGGGCAGTTTCCTGTCTCATCAAATCCCTGGCAAGCTGGGAGGGAGGGAGGAGATGCTGAGCAGCCTCTATGGTCCTTCTTGAACCAAGCTGCTCCCTGCTGGATATGACAATGGCTCAGAAGCAGACTAGCAATTCTCAAAGGACAGGGAGAAAAATCACCACAGTTGCTGGCAGAAAACAGCCAGTGTACTATTTATTTCCTCAAGTGCTTCCATGGGGGAAAAAATAAAAGTCTAATATGCCAGAGAAATCATCATTGAACCAATAAGACACAGTAACATAATTCTAGTAACCTACTTCTCAATGAACACACATCTGAGAAAAAAACCGCCAGTATTTTATTCTCATGGAAAAACAGAACAAACCCACAAGTTGGAGTCACGGAGATAAAATACAGATGAAATGGAAAACGGTCTGTTGTCATGAACTCTCACTTTCAAATACCATTTTATATGGAAGTTACTTTACTGCGGGGCAAACAGAAGGCCATGCTGGAGTCTCTTACTTTTGGAAAATGGAGAATCAAAAATTTGCTAATCAACAAACAAAAAAGGAGGGAAACTCCTTGGTAAAGCTCTACAAACATAATTATACATTTATATTTTACCAATAAAAGATAGCTAGGGTAGAAAAAACAGATGGTTAGAAACTGGTGCCAAACCAAAGTGAAAGCTTTGGTGCCTTCTCTAAACTCCTATCCTGTTTCTTTAGAAAACACCAGTTTTCTAAAGAAAGATTACTCTGAATTCACCAGGGTTCTATCACCCCAATTCATCCCTACCTTTCCACCCCCAAGACACGAAAGGGCCATGTAGTTTTTTGTCCGGCACCACTTGGGAAGGGGCTGGGCTCAGGGGCTGGGAAGAGCTACCTGCTGCCCTAGCTTGAAAGGGAGGAGGTGGCCACACCATTCTTTGTATTTTTATCACGCACATAAAAGAACAAAAATCATTTGGCAGTTTTAAGTTTAATAGGTGCAAACCTTTACTTCAGGAATTAAACCCCTTATGATAAATAAAAGAATTAAATCAGATTTTTTTTTAATACAGATAGGGGTCTCGCTATGTTGCCCAGGCTGGTCTTGAACTCTTGGCCTCAAGCGATCTTCCCACCTTGGCCTCCCAAAGTGCCAGGATTACAGGCCTGAGCCACCACACCTAGCCCTAAATCAGAATTTTTTAAAAAAAATTTACTTAAAAGAAAAATGGAAAAATAAAACTTTCAACACTAGACTGCCGCCCTGTTAAGAATGTCTAATATGCAATCAAAGTATTGGAAAGCAGGCATTTTTACCAAAGAGCAATGTCACTATAACTTATGAACAGAAAGTTGTGAAATATAAGGGTACTCATGGAAACCAGTGAAGAGAGGAAACACCGGCAATTGTTCAACACGGAACAGTGAGCAGGTACTTTGGGAGTAAGGCTCTGAGAGATGGAAGACGCTGGTCTCAGATCTGAGGTGATGTCTGGCCAATCGTCTTGGCTCCAAGGGGGAAGAATGCAACTGGCAGGATTCGAGGAGAGGGCACTTCTGCAGCCCCCAAGCAAGTCTCTAGTTTTCGCCCCAAAGTGGATGCACTTTCTAACTTCAGCAAGGCCTCCTCAGGAGGATTTGCTTTCCGATGTGTAGTAGCGGTACAGGAAACCTAAGAGAACAGCGCCTATGATGGGTAAAATCCAATATGCCCAGCAACTAGGAATAGGGGGAGAAAGCAATAAAGTTGTTAATATTTTAAGCCAAATGTTCACTATCTTTCAGCTTTCACATGTTTTTATATAGGCAAGGAGTTTTTATTTACTTTGGGAAATTTAACTGCTTTTATCACAAAGTAGTTGGGGAAAAATATTTGAATTGGAGTGACAATATTACAAAGTAATTTTTTAAAAGGTTAAAAACAACCAATAGTATGATATCAAATAAGATGTCTTTAAATGCCTCTATATGTGTTTCTACAAAGTCATATAGTGGTTATTTCTGAGTTAGGGATTATGGATACTCTCACATTTTCTTCATTGTGCTTTTGCTTTTCACGTATTCTACAATTAAACATTTTTAAACAGGAAAAAACACCATTATGTATGTGACATTTCATATATGTATAAAAACATATCCATCCCAATATAAATTTGGAAGTAATCATATCTAATATAACTACCAGAAATATCCTATCTGCTTCATATGTATTTTAAAGATTTAATCCTTATGAAATAGGATAACCTACGAAATAGGGTTATTATTCTCATCTCATACAAGGGAAATATAAGCTTTGCACCCCAAATCCCAAAGCTAGAAAGGCAGCTGGACAGTCTGATTCCAAACCCATCCTCTTAATCCCTAGTTAAGTTTGGACACTAATAAGGATACACATACACACAAAGCATATACAGTTCTAACAGGGTGAAGCAAATGGCAGCTTCAAAAGTACTGCAAGAGACCTTCCTTAGGAGCTTCAGAACAGTCATCATTCTCCTTAACATAATAATTCTTTAATAGAACTTATTAGCACACTAGTTTTAAGGTATAATTCTTCCATGATCCAAATGACCCGGCTGCCCCTCTACTTAAGACATATGAGTCTTGGTATTAAAAGGTTTTGAAGTCAATAAAACGAGCTGAAGTTCATAAGAAAAATGATTCTCTTTGCCTAAACATGCCTAGCACTCTGTATGCTTACGTACAGCAGAAAGCTACTCTGGACTAGTTTAGAATATCAGCCAGGTAGCTTTGTTTACAAAACCAAGCAATATGGCACGTATAACAGCAATATGCACATGGGAACTCTGAAGTAATCTCCTGATAAGAGTAATGAATTCAGACTCCTTGAAGAGTAACCGCAAGAGACTGAAGAATCCAAAAGTAGGATCCTTGAGAAAACATTGAAGGAGAAAATTTCTTTCTTTCTTTCTTTTTTTTTTTTTTGAGACGGAGTCTCATTGTCACCCAGGCCGGAGTGCGGTGGCGCGATCTTGGCTCACTGCAAGCTCCACCTCTGGGGTTCACGCCATTCTTCTGTCTCAGCCCGTCCTCGTGATCCACCCACCTCGGCCTCCCAGTTTGCTGAGACTACAGGCATGAGCCACCACGCCGGCCAGAAAATTTCTTTAGTACAAAAGACTGAGAATGGTTGACACCAATCCTCACATAATCTTTCCTAATACTTAACTGCCACTGAGGAGAGAACCAGAGGAAATACATTTATACTGCATCACAGGAGATTCAGGTTCAACAATAACTTCCTACCATAAGACAGATTTTTCTTCTTGGAGATCCATCTAGACTACTACATGTTTGTGATTCCTTTATTTTTATTGTTTTGTAGTATTCCATTGTATGAATATACCACAATTTATTAGGGTTGTCTCTGATGTTTGAATATCTCGAATAACACTGCTATGAACATTCTTGCATATATTTCTGGGTGTACCTGGGCACACATTTCTATCAAGTATATCATTAGAAATGGAATTGCTGGGTCAAAAGTTAAGTCATCCTATCAAATTTACTAGATAATGCCAAACTGTTTTCCAAAGTGATTATACTCATTTACATTACCCTAGGAGTGCTTAAGAGTCGGTGATAAACTTTCCAACCAACTCTTATTTGCAAAATTTTTAATTTTTACCAATCTGGTTAGGTATGAAATATACCTATGATTTTAATTCACATATCACTAATGATGAATGAGATTAAACCTCATTTCCATATGTTTACATTTGTGTTTCCTTTTCTGTAAAGTGCTTAAATCTTTTTCTCATATTCTACTGAGGTTTTAAAAAACTGATTTGTAGGAATTCTTTATATCTTCTACCTAATAATTCTTTATCAGTTTTATGCTTTGCTTAAGTCTAAGTTTTATAGCATAAGCATAAGGTTTGGTTTTTTTTTTTGAGATGGAGTTTCGTTCTCGTTGCCCAGGCTGGAGTGCAATGGAGCGATCTTGGCTCACTGCAACCTCCACCTCCCAAGGTTCAAGCGATTCTCCTGCCTTGGCCTCCCAAAGCTCGCACCACCATGCCCAGCTAATTTTGTATTTTTAGCAGAGATGGGGTTTCGCCATGTTGTCCAGGCTGGTCTCGAACTCCTGACCTCATGATCCACCCGCCTCAGCCTCCCAAAGTGCTGGGATTACAAGCGTGAGCCACCGCGCCCGGCCCTGCATAAGCATAAGTTTTGTTTAAAATCTGCAATTTTGTGGCTTGTATTTTCAAAATTTTTATGCAGCATTTCGCTGATCCTAAGCCCTTAATATTAAGGAAACTAAATTTACTAATAGTTTGTAATTTTTTATACTGTGTCCGTTACCTCAAGTAATAGATCTGATACTTTATGGGAAAAAAAGACATATTTTCTTTCTCTGAAATACTTCGAGATGTCCAAAAAATAGAATGGCTAGCTCTATATAATCTCCACAAAGATACTGTACAAGCCAAGGATTCCACAGTCATTTTAGATAGAGGCACTTAAGGTAAGGCAATTTATAACTTTCAGAGCTAATACTAATGAATTACTAATATTAATGCCAAGGAATATATTGTAAATAAACCTGAGAAAACCCAAATTCCTAAATATGACCGTAGTATTTTTTTCTCCTGCAATATGTAATAATAGCACTTACCTTACAGAGTGGTTGTGAGAAGTAAATGCGATTAAGTTTTAAGTAGAATCATGTAGCTGGGTTGAACTTCGGGACTAAAGGCTGACCCAATAGTAGCTACCTGTCCATGCATCCTGGCCTCTTACTGAGTGTGATTCCAATTTATGTCACAATAAGATTAAAAAATGACTCAAGGCATGAAACTTTTAGATTATTCAAAATGGCTGAAACTGTAAAAGTTAATTTTTCTAATGTCAAGGAACAACTGAATTTGCAATGATTTGGGCCAAAAAAGAATTAGTTGTCAAACTGCACTCATAAGTTATGTTACATACATATACTTATGGAAGAGTCTCTTGCCAGACATTACCTTGAACGTATGGAAAGCTGTTAAGGAGATACTAACCTTTTGCATGTATCATTTTTTGAAGGGTCCTGAAATAAAAAAAAAAAAAAATTCAAAAATAACAAACAAAAAGAAAGAAGATTAACATAGCACATGTACATTTTCTTGATCAAGCTATGTCAACCCTGTAACTGATACCAGAACTTCATCTTTCATGCATTTTGGTGTTTACAAATATATAAGCAATGGATAGACTGGGAATTTTATTTCTGATAACATACTGGCACTTCACTAGGTTCCTTCCTAGTGAAGAATCACTAATGAAAGCATAGAAATGACCTAAACTTTTTTAGATGTTAAAAAATGTTAATGATACAAACTATATTGAAATGGACTACTCTGTGGTCATGATGATGTACCTGGTTCAGCTGGGCTTGCCACTGGCAATAGCTAACATCACACTTTCTAAAAACATTTTTTAAAGTCCAAAAAGCTCTTCTAACATGTAGATCAACTGTGAAATGCTCTAGATCATACAGATGATTGCTTGTAGATCACAAAAATATACTGGTTCACTCCTTGAAATCATAATAATTATGACAGGAGACCTTAGAATTGATTTCACAATGAAAAGAGAAAAAATGGAGTCAAGGGAAAGAAAATGATAAAATAATCTTAAAAAACAAATCTTGGCAATAAAAAGTACTGAAGTATTGATATATGCTACAAACTTCACAGCATTATCCTAAGTGAAAGAAAGCAGACACAAAAGACTACATATTATATAAATCTGTTTACATAAAATGTTCACAACAGGACAATCAATAGAGTTAGAAGTAGATTAGTAGTGGTTGCCTAGGGCTGGTGTGAGGAGGACGAGTTGTGGGGAAATGGAAAACGACTGCTAATGAATATGGGGTTTCTTCTTGGAGTGAGGAAATTGTTCTAAAATAGACTGCACAGTTCTGTAAATACACTAAAAACCATTGATTTGTACATTTTAAATAGGTAAACTGTATGGTATGTGAATTGTATCACGATAAAGCTGTTATTACAATTTTTTTACTCAATTCAAGTATCAAACGAGTTATTGATTCCATTAACCAGCTGTATAGTACAAAAGGCCTGCTAACTTACTGCCAGAGGACAATAACCCTTTAGCATAGGTTGCTGCTGCCCAAAATACCATCTTTGCAAAATGTAGAAGTATATCAGGGTATGAACATGGAATATTAGCTCTGCTTAACCACCGTTTTCAATAATCTCCAAGAATTTCCAGAAACCAATCACATTGGCCCCAATATACTTTAGAGCAGTCCATGAAATGAGTTTTAATTTCATATATCCAAAACACTGTCATGCAAATGAATACATGCCCCAAACCTGAAAGAAATTAGTCTGTAGGCAAGAAAAATGGCAAACGAAAGGTTTTAAAGAAACCATATTAACATACTTCTATACTTCTTTAAGACTTTAATGATTATCATTATCTGGGACATTTCAACTAGTCTAGTAAGGATCCGATTAATTAAAATGAGTTACAAGTCAATCTTTGAAAAATACAACAAATGTTACTATCTACAGATTCGGAAGGTAGGAGTGGTAGCGATGGTAGTATGTGCATCAAGTTAATTTATAATGCTGCCTTTTAAAATAAATATTCCACTACAGTAACCGAGAAATAATTGAATTCCATCAAGAAAATGTTCATGGTCTTTTATGCTTTAGCTACATAAATACCAATGATTTATAGACAAAAAATGTAGTTACTATTTTTAAAAGGGATAATTTGAAAGGCTTATATGAGAGCATCACAGCATAATATATGTATTATGATGTTTAATCTATAATTAGAGTAAAAATCATATACTTCATATAAATGGATTCTCTAAATTTCAAAGCTTTTAGCCTCTTTTACAATCAAAAGCCCTGGATCTCTGCTAAGTAGGGTGAGCCTTAGAAAAAGGTAATAAGCAACTGAAGAAGAAAGAGAACAAAGACAGCCAAAACCGTACTATGCTGAAATGTAAAAATTTCTAAACAATAAATAACTTAAAACATATGGTGTTCTTTGAACTAAGTACTGCAAAATGTGCCTGTTTTAAGATCAATCCATCCCTGGGGACGCAAAAAAAAGACCAACCTGTCTAACCCATTAAAGGAAAGAGAAGAGAAAGAGGCATACACTCCCTTTAGGATACTGATAGCCAAGTAGATGCAAACCATAGTGACCCCACTTTTAATCAAATACATAATAATCAAAGAGATGTTGAAGGCACAGCTCTTAGCAGCCAGGACTCTCAGCCAAATTTGGAAATAAACCAAATCGCTTGTTTTTAAACTGAAATGAAAAAAGTTCTATTAACACATAACCTCCCTTCACCTCCACCCTTCCCCTAGGCACAGTTCCCCCCAGTCTTCATTTCCACAGCTAAGCACTAGACTAAAGCTAATGGATGCTTAAGTGAAAAGCTTACAGTTTATAGTTGACTTTAATTTATCCCTTCAGGTATTGAGGCATATCTAGCTGGTTATGTCCATGCCCAGATTTTAATGCTCTCAATCTTTGGCCTGGAAAGTAATAATTGCAATACTATGATTTTAGTTACAAGTGGTGAATCAAATCCAAAGTTCTTCCAGCATAACCCCTACCAAGCAATTAATATGCATGCTTCTTTTTCTTCGAAAAGCTTAGAATACACTGGCAAACAACAAAATTGCTGTGAGTTTTGGTATTATAGGTTCTAAAACAAATTGCTGTTAAGTCTACTCTGACTTTAGCTCAAAACTCATGGAAATTAACTGTTTAAATAAAACTGGTTCCTCAAGTTCAAGGTTCATTAAGGCTTTAATTCCCCACTAAAATAAATAAGTAGGGCTGGGCACCTTGGTTCACATCTGGTGAATCCCAACACTGGGAAGGCTGAGGCAGGAGGATCACCTGAGCCCAGGAGTTCAAGGCTATAGTGAGCTAGGATTGTGCCACTGTACTCCAGCCTGGAGGACAGATCAAGACCCTGTCTCAAAAATAAATAAATATATTTATATACATATAAACACAAAAGACGGACTTTTTAGGGAAAAAGGAAATATTTTGTAATACCTGAATAGAATATTTATAAAGCTGCTCAAAATTAAAATTATATCTAATATCTTCAAGCCCAATGTTATAAATCAGTTTCCTCGTTTGTAAAACGAAAAGCTCAGATCAATGTGAATTCTAAAGTCATATTCAATTATCTCAACACAATTTTCTGAGCCAAGGACATTGTGGTGAAACCTAGAGCAGCAGGCTTCTAAAGGGTAGAGAGAAGAAAACACCATTCTCTTATGTCTAGGAAGACTGAAGAAGCACTACCGTAAGTAGATTTTTCTCTCTTCCACCAGCTACATAGAGGAGTAATTTCCCAGATCCTTGTCGCACCATAAGCACTGACCCAATTTGATAAGATTAAGAGAATGACAAAAAGGCCAGTCGCGGTGGCTCATGCCTGTAATCCCAGGCATGAATTACATGAGAGGCCAAGGTGGGCGGATCACGAGGTCAGGAGATCAAGATCATCCTGGCCAACATGGTGAAACCCCATCTCTACTAAAAATACAAAAATTAGCTGGGCATGGCAGTGTGTGCCTGTAATCCCAGCTACTCAGGAGGCTGAGGCAGAAGAATCGCTTGAACCCGGGAGGCAGAGGTTGCAGTGAGCCGAGATCACACCGTTGCACTCCAGCCTGGTGACAAGAGTGAGATTTCGTCCCCCCACCAAAAAAAAAAAAAAAAAAAGAGAACAACAAAGAAATGTCTCAACTGGCAACCACATAGAAAGGATGTGGGGGTCAATGGGTGTGGATTTCACGATGAACTTTGTTTATGAGAAAACATGAGAGAAGAGCACACACTTAAGGAATGGAGTGTACTTTGTCATCAGGACATAAATGTAGGAAAGAATGAACCAGAATCATGATTATGACGCATTACGACAGACAGGGAAGCCGGGTGCAGTGGCTCATGCCTATAATCCCAGCACTTGGGGAGGCCGAGACAGGCGGATCATGAGGTCAGGAGCTCGAGACCATCCTGGCTAACAGGGTGAAACCCCATCTCTACTAAAACTACAAAAAAATTAGCTGGGTGTGGTGGCACACACCTGTAGTCCCAGCTACTTGAGAGGCTGAGGCAGGAGAATCACTTGAACCCAAGAGGCGGAGGTTGCAGTGAACCAAGATCGTGCCACTGCACTCCAGCCTGGGCAACAGAGTGACACTCTGTCTCAAAAACAAAACAAAACAAAACAAAAACCCCAAAAAACAGGGCATTATACCTTCAGCCTATACAGCTTACATTTAGGCTTTCAAAAGCTTAAAAGGCAAATATAAGGTATATAAAGACTTTATGTTTTAATTCCTACATTGCTATTCCAAGAGGATTCTAAGTATTTAAAATTGGAAAAAGTAGATTTTAAGCCACAGGACACCTTTGGCAAATGTAATGGGTATTTAGGTGGTCTGGTAGAGACTGTGTAGCTTTGAATTTGGAACACTTTGGTATCCCTGTGGCCAGTAACTTATGAAAAACAAGTTGGGAACTTCTGGCTTCAAATTCTAAACTGGAAAAGATTTCTCCCCCTTAATACCATGGACCTTATAGCATGAGCTAACACTATATGAATTTTAATATTAGGTTCATTTTACCACCTAAAATGTTTTGAGTATTGAAGGTATATGATTTCAGCATTTTACAGTCCCAACTATGACACAGTCATGTGGTATGGATCTTGAGGACAGCCTTCTCATGAAGCTCCAATGTACTAAAATATTCAAGTCAGTAAGAACCATTTCTTTCTGGATGTGAATATAATTTAACAATTACTGCCTTGCAAAGTATATAATCCTAGAGTCAAACCGTTATATAAAAAAATTTCCCTGTAGATATGGCAAAATTCAAAGATGAAAAACAGCCCCTAAAACAAATTGCTATAAACTCTCTTAAGAACTCATTGTGATAAAATATATAACACCTCACTCAAGAAAAAAAATTAACACATTCACAGGATGATCTCTATCAGGACTTAAGAAGTGAAAAATTTGTTATAACATTGGAGGGCTGATTTGAAAAGAATGTTTCCTTACCCTTCTGAACCCTGTTTTGCAAAACTATACATCATTTCTAAGTAGAGCTTTACCAATAGAAGACATTAGTCCTTGAGAACCCTCAGCAAAGGGTATTTTGTCTTTCAGGAGTAATTTTGTCATCACATTCTATGCTTTCTTTCAAAAGATTATGTTACAAAATATAAGTGTATATGAAAATGGGAAATAAGCCAGGTGCAGTAGCTGGTGGCTCATGCCTGTAATCCCAGCACTTTGAGAGGCCAAGGCAGGTGGATCACCTGAGGTCAGGAGTTCGAGACCAGCCTGGCCAACATGGTGAAACCCCATCTCTACTAAAAATACAAAAATTAGCCAGGCGTGGTGGTAGGCGCCTGTAATCCCAGCTACTCAGAAGGCTGAGGCAGGAGGAGAATGGCTTGAACCCAGGAGGCGGAGGTTGCAGAGCCGAGATCGCGCCACTGCACTCCAACCTGGGTGACAGAGCAACACTCCGTTCCCCCGCCCAAAAACAAAACAAAACAAAAAAACACACAAGAAATCAGGAAATAACCAGACAAAATTCTCTGGTAAATAGCAATCACTGCTTGTCTAAAGGGCATCAGCATCCCATTCCAAACTTTAATAAATTAGGTAGTAGGTATGGTAGGGATATTAAATAATTCTTAAAAATAAAATTTTTAATTTGATGTAATCAACTAACTATATTTCATAATTATAAACAATATATTCCTTTTAGTTTCTCTCATAAAAGAAGTAAACTGTATGTTACATAATACATTATATAACAGAAAACTGTATGTATAATAAAAGTCAGTAGCATCTGGGAGAAAAAATGTAACTTTAAATGCAATTAATAGACTGCTTCTAACATGTAAAATTTACTAGATTTCATAAGTCAAGCTTCTTAAGTTAAAAATGAAGTTAAAAAAACACGTTAAGCCTCTATGGAGACAATTTTATTTGTTTTAAAAAACAGATCAAATCCTTCGAAAGCAAATGTCATCACATCAACACTTTCATCTATGGAATACTAAATATCTACTTAAAAAATGAGAAAGATCTTTTTTTTTTTTTTGAGACAGAGTCTCGCTCTCTCACCAGGCTGGAGTGCATTGGCACAATCTCGGCTCATTGCAACCTCCGCCTCCCGGGTTCAAGCGATTCTCCTGCCTCAGCCTCCCGAGTAGCTGCGACGACAGGTGTGCACCACCACGCCCAGCTAATTTTTGTATTTTTAGCAGAGACAGGGTTTTACCATGTTGGCCAAGATGGTCTTGACCTCGTGATCCACCCAGCTGGGCCTCCCAAAGTGCTCGGATTACAAGCGTGAGCCACCGCCCCCAGCCCAAAAGATGTTAATAAACTGACAAGAAATAATGATGAATAAAAAAAAAATTTTTTTTGAGACAGGGTCTCGTTCTGTCACCCAGACTAGAGTGCACTGGCACAATCTTGGCTCACTGCAACCTGTGCCTCCCAGGTTCAAGCCATTCTACCGCCTCATCCTCCCATGTAGCTGGGACACCACCATTCCCAGCTAATTTTTGTATTTTTAGTAGAAACGGGGTTTCGCCATGTTGGCCGGGCTGGTCTCGAACTCCTGGCCTCGTGTGATCCGTCCACCTCAGCCTCCCAAAGTGCTGGGACTACAGTCGTGAGCCACAGTGTGCAGCCAACAAATAAAATTTTTAAGTAAAGAGAAGCAAGGTGAAGAATAGTATGTATGAGGCTTTTTACCTTTTTTTTTTTTTTTTTTTTTGAGGCGGAGTCTCGCTCTGTCGCCCAGGCTGGAGTGCAGTGGCGCGATCTCAGCTCACTGCAAGCTCCACCTCCCGGGTTCACGCCATTCTCCTGCCTCAGCCTCCCGAGTACCTGGGACTACTCAAATTTTGGGCCTCCCCAAATGCTGGGATTACAGGCTTGAGCCACCGCGCCCGGCCAGCTTTTTACTTTTTTAAAGGAAATGATGGTTGGTTTGTCTGTCTATCCATCCATCCATCCTTATGAATGCATGGAATCTTTGGAAGAGTAAACAACAACAAAAAAATGATGGCTGGTTACCTCCAGGGAAGGGGAACTAAAAGTCTCAGAGCTGGATATACGAGGGAATTTTTTTTTTTTTTTTTTTTTGAGACGGCGTCTCGCTTTGTCGCCCAGGCTGGAGTGCAGTGGCGCGATCTCTGCTCACTGCAAGCTCCACCTCCTAGGTTCACGCCATTCTCCTGCCCCGAGTAGCTGGGACTACAGTTGCCCGCCGCCACGGCCGGCTAATTTTTTGTATTTTTAGTAGAGACGGGGTTTCACCATGTTAGCCAGGATGGGCTCTATCTCCTGACCTCGTGATCCGCCCGCCTCAGCCTCCCAAAATGCTGGGATTACAGGCGTGAGTCACCGCCCCCGGCCAACTTTTTTTATAGTATACTGTTTTGAACTATTTAAATTTTTTTTTTACCATGTACATTTTATAATACTCACTCAAAAAAAATGTAATGGGGAACAGGTCAAATTACTAGACCTATTTGACTACAAGATTTAACTAGTAAAGCAGTTGAACTATTATCTAGATAATATCTGTTGAAGAAATGAATGAAATGGTGCCCACTTTTTTAGTCAGGTTACGATTTGTATGCACTTTATCTCTTGAACTGATGGCAGATTAAGTGATAAAACAGCTAACCAAGAAGTAAATACATCATCAAAGAGAGAATTCATAGACCACGAATATTTATAGGTTACTTGCTAAAGAGCAGGCAAGCAGGCAGGCAAACTGGCACAGAGAGCACTGAGTCTGTTTCTAAGGTGAGTTTCCGTAACCAAAAACAAACCAGAAAAATGTTAAGTCAAATATAAGTAGGAGATTGACGGCTCTCAGCATGAGGGTTAATCCAGCAAGGAAGAGATTCACAAAGACAAATGGTTTTTAATTCTAGTTAGTTATTTTTGATTGAAGCGGGTTAAAAAAAAATCTGTTGCTACATCTTTAAGTTTTTAAGTCTTTACGTTTTTAGTATATTAATTCTGGGCCTTCAACTCAGGTACTATCCATCTAACAATAAAACAATGGTGACCATTAATTATTTACCTGTGTTATAAAAGTAATATGAAAGGTGTTTTCTAAAAGAATTAGGGAATGGTTACTGACTTACACTTTGGAATAGCAACATTTTGAGTGTTTCTTTCTTGGCGGGCAGTAGGGATGGTGCAGTTCAGACAGGGAGTAGAAGAAGGAGAAGAAGGAAAATGGAAATGAAAACTCTCTCCCATAGGCTGAAGATACTTTTTAATTTGACTTTTAAAAATCACTTCTTCATAAAGATTCAGAAACCATGAACCAAGAGAAAGGAAGGTAACCAATGAAATGAACTCCATTTCCATTTCTTAATGGTGAATGTTTAAACCAGATAAAGTATGGAGAAGAGAGATACCTACATCCTAGACACCAAGTCCCTATTTAAACCTCTGTAAGAAATAAATCTGAGAGATCAAGAATTTCTTCCTGGAACTGAAGTCAGGTTGGAATATAGCTCTATAAAAACCTATGTAGGTGGTCTTGAAAATGTTCCAAAAGGCCTTTCTTGCCTGATCTGCCTGAAGTAGAGCAGAGTGACTAGAAACACAATAGCCAGACTCTCTACTTAATGAAGACATGTCCCTTGAGTACAGTGACATGAGGAAAACAGGATTGAAAACACTGCCTTTAGTCACTTTTTAACCCAGATAGGGGCTAAACTACATTTGGAGACTTCTAAATTATTATAGAACTTGGTGAGCTTAAATGCTTTCTTTTTCTATCTTTCTTACAAAAAAATCTAAGGCTCAATAGTTTTTTGGGTTTTTTTTTTTTTTTTTTTTTGAGATGGGGTCATGCTGTGTTACCCAGATGGAAGTGCAATGGTGTTACCATGGCTCACTGCAGCCTCAAACTCCCGGGCTCAAGCTATCCTCCAGCCTCAGCCTCCCCAGTAGTTGGGACTGCAGGCACACATTATAATGCTCAGCTAATTTTATGATTTTTAAAAAATAGAGACAGGGTCTCACCATGTTGCCCAGGCTGGTCTCCAAGTGCTGGGCTCAAGCCATCCTCCCATCTCAGCCTCCCAAAGTGTAGGGATTACAGGCGTGAGCCACTGCACCTGGATGGCTCAATAGTTTTAATTCAGCTGAGAAATCTCTAATCCTTTGGCCTATAGAAGGCAGACAATGCTTACCACAGAAGAGAATTAAATTTTCCTAAGTTTTCAAATGAAAAGATGGGCATATCATTCAGCAAAAAGTTTGGGCTTAGCTACCTACTTATCACCTAGATTACTTAAATTGCAAATTCCTAAACCCTATCTCCAGAGATTCCAAAGCAGTAGGAGTAGAAGCCCAAGAAATAAACATTTCCTATATATATTCATGTACATACCAAGGGATTCCAACTGAGGTGATACAAGAACAGAATTTGGGGAACATTGTTCTACATTCCTAAGAATGGTCCTAACTGTACTACCAAGAAAGAAAAACAGCAACAAGAAGCAATCTGTAGACTTCTAGACATTGTAATTGCAAACATATTTTTTCTATTGTTTTAATATAAAAGATGCTCTCATAGTTGCTGTGCAGAAATGTGTTATGGCTCCTATATCCTTTGAATCAGATGTTGACCTCTGAAAGTGGTATTTTCTGGACATGTTCAATATACAAATCAAGGCCACGCTTCGTTCAAATTTTACCATAATAACACAAGTTATTAAGAGTAAGCAACAACAAAAAATGATGGCTGGTTACCTCCAGGGAAGGGGAACTAAGACACTGAGAGCTTGAGACAGGAAGAAACTTTTTACAGAATACTGTTTTGAACTATTTAATTTTTTTTTTTTAAGGATTCAAGAATGGATAGTACATGTGTTAGGAGGAGAGGACAAACAACCAACAGTTGTTACAAAGTGTTTTAAGAACCATTTCATTCCCCTTTCAGAAACAATTCAATAGTTCAGAGTAGCAGTCTAGCAACATGGAAGAGTTAATTTACACAAACACTCTGGATTGCAGGGCAACAGATGGCAGACACTGTTAAGCAAGCAATCTCTTGAGTTAATAGAATTCTTGTGTCTAGGCCAACTTTAATTGCTGTGTCAAACCTATTCAGTAATTTCGGCTCAATGAGGAATGGGAAGCAAGCAGCAAGGAGGAGGAAAATGGAAGGGAGGCAGCATCACTTTCCTATGTTCTAGGTGGCACCTAAACTGCTGTCCCTTTAAATTAGAGTGCTGTGTACCAGCTATCTGAAGGACAGAAATTAAGGAAAATTGTTAGGGAATAAGGGAAATGAACCACCTAGCATGTGGGAGGCAGAAAATGGTTCCATATTTTCTTCCTGGTATGCAATGTAGTACACATTAAAGTTTTCAAACACTCAAATACTTAGTCTTTTGTTTTCGCTGTATTACTAAGTAACCGGGAAGGGTGTGGGCCTGTTTGAGCCTACAGGAAAAAAGAATTAAATTTGGAAAATAAGTACAGAAAGGCCTCTGTATTACAGATAAAGAAGATAACCTATAAGAAACAAAACAACTTTGCAATTATTTTTTTCCAACACAGAAACAATTATTATCACTTGTCCTACATAATGTAAAAGTAAGATATTTTTCCACAACTGAACCCATAAACTAATTTCTTTCAAAACCACACAGGGCATAGCTTTGGAGTTTCAGTTAAAAAAAAAAAGCGTATAAAGGCATTAGCAAAATGTTTCCTACTGTTCAAGACTCAGCTATTCTTTTATTCCTGAGATGATACTGAGTCCAAATTCCAGAAAAATAGGATTTTTGCTTGGGGAAAAAGTAAATACTTTGTAACTTCTCTTGTTAAGAAAAAATGTTTCAAAAAGCAGTCCTACTTGAGTAAACACAAATATAAACACAAGACAAACCGCTGACTTCTTACCTTGCTACCACTTTCAGGTTTAAGGTCACTCTGTCAAAAAAAGGAAAACAAATAATATTTTAAGACATAGCCAAATGAATTCTCACTATATGCTTGTTTCTAACTTTGGAACATGAGACTATATTCTGGTGATAGTGAATTCCCTGGGAGATTTGAGGATCCATAGAAAGATACCTCTACTCTGAGCATATCAGAGTCCCTTGTTAGAATGGTATATATGGATAGTTTTTAAAGTCCATAATTACTACCTTTAGCAAGGAGCTTGCAAAAACAAGCAAACCACTATTTTAGGTAAAGGTGTTATTAACTGCATTACAAAAATAAATCAACACATAAAAATAATCCAGAATCAGTTCCCTTAGCTTTTTAGAGATATTACATGTGCTACCTGGCAAAGAAGAAGCTATATCCTAGCACAGTAAGACTAGACAATTTTGGAGAAAATTTAGCCTGATGGCTAGATTGAATGAATTTCCATTTTAATAATTTTTTTTTTTTTTTTGAGACAGAGTCTCGCTCTTTCACCCAGGCTGGAGTGCAGTGGTGCAATCTTGGCATACTTCAACCTCTGCCTCCCAGGTTCAGGCAGTTCTCGTGCCTCAGCCTCCTGAGGAGCTGGAATTACAAGTGTGCGCCACCACACCCAGCTAATTTTTGTATTTTTTAGTAGAGGTGGGGTTTCACCATGTTGGCCAGGCTGGTCTCGAACTCCTGACCTCAAGTGATCCGCCTGCCTTGGCATCCCAAAGTACTGGGATGACAGGTGTGAGCCACCACGCCCAGCCAATAATTCATTTCTTCATCCTGTTCTGCAGCTGTTAAGTAGTTTTCTCTGCATAAGGGCTCCCATCTCTGATAGTTCTTACCGGATGGATATCACCAATGTAGTACTGCTTTAGCATTTCTCTGGCATCAGAAGAGTGTCCTACATCTTCAAAGCTTTCACTTGCATCTACACCAGCTTGTTCCAGCAGAACCTCTTCTCCTCCAGGGTGCTACAAGGAAAAGATATTTACTGAACCGAGGGTTCTCTGAAAAGCAAACCAACAAGTTACTTTCCCATACCCCCTTCTTCCTTTCTCCCTTTAATAGAAATAATGGAACAAATTGACATTGTGTGGTGCCTGACAGGATGCAATGGGAAGAACACAGCATAACTTCTGTGATACTGTGGTCAAAAATGCATCATATGGGGATTACAGTGAGGACACCTGGGACAACCACAAATTTAGAAATATTCTACAAAATCTTTCTGGACAGGTCTGGCCTGTGATCTCTAAAGATACCACAGTCATGAAAGTCAAAGAAAGAGTGAAGAAACTGTTCCAGATTGAAGGAGGCTAGAGATTCATGACAACTGGGAATAATGGGTGATCCTAGGTTGGTTCCTTTTGCCAATATTATTGAGATAGCTGCAGAAACCTGACTAAGGACTCCAGGCAAAGGGTATATGCAATTCTTTATTCTATTCTTGCAACTTTTCTGTAACTTTGAAATTGTTTCAAATTAAAAAGTTAACTAGGCCAGGCACGGTGGCTCATGCCTGTAATCCCAGCACTTTGGGAGGCCAAGGCGGGCAGATCACTTGAGATCAGGAGTTCAAGACCAGCCTGGCCAACTTGGTGAACCCGTCTGTACTAAAAATACAAAAAGTGCCAGGCATGGTGGTGGTGGGTGCCTGCAGTCCCAGCTACTCAGGAGGCTGAGGCAGGAGAATCACTTAAACCTGTGAGGGGGAGGTTGCAGTGTGCCAAGATCACGCCACTGCACTCCAGCCTGGGCAAAAGAGTGAGACTCTGACTCAAAATAAATGAATAAATAAATAAGTTAACTATATAAAGTAGTGCCTCAGGAAGTAGATTCTATAACTATCAGCTATGTGACCCTGCACAAGTTATTAAAAAATTGAGATGTCTTTAGTTCCTTAGTTGTAAAATGGAAATATTAATAAGAGTACCTGTCTTGACAACTATTGTACATATTAAATGAGATAAGCATATAAAACACTTTGCACTCCAGAAGAGCATAATATAATACCATCTACAATTTTTAAATGAAGATATATATATGCATATTTATACCCATGCATAAAATCTCTCTGAAAATGGTGAAAGAACCTAGTGGCTGGGAGATAGGGTAGAAGGAAGACTTCACCACATACTCTTCTGAAAAAAAATTTTTTTTTTTTGAGATGGAGTTTCGCTCTTGTTGCCCAGGCTGAAGTGCAATGGCACAATCTCAGCTCACCGCAACCTCTGCCACCCGGGTTCAAGCGATTCTCCTGCCTCAGCCTCCCAAGTAGCTGGGATTACAGGCATGCGCCACCATGCCCAGCTAATTTTGTATTTTTAATAGAGACGGGGTTTTTCTCCATGTTGGTCTCGAACTCCCAATCTCAGGTGATCCACCAGCCTCGGCCTCCCAAAGTGCTGGGATTAAAGGTATGAGCCACCATGCCCAGCCTCTGAAACTGTTTTACCAAATAAAGCATTACTTACTCAGAAAATTAACCATTTTGTAAAATTATATTTAGCACAGTCCTTGACTTAAATACTCAAAAAACATTTACTTAAATTAGCAAATTTAGAATTTATATTATTTAATATATCAAAATTTGTATTTTTGAAATATTAATGCTTTTTACTTTTTATAACAACCATTTCAGCAGGAATAAATTATCATTCCTATTTTAAATAAATGTTAATTCAATTGAAGTATAAAAACTGTAAGTGTTACTTCCCAGTCATAGTCACCAGCCTATGAGCTCCCTGAGGATAAGGATAACTTCTATTTTTATCTCCTAAAAGGTCTCCACCCAGTGAGTGGGTCTCACATCCCAGTATTTAAGAATGCTATTTTACAGCAAGAGTAAGACAGCCACGATTCACTTGTTATTATATCTGAAACTCTCAGGTTATTATATGTGAAACTGTTCTTTGTTGTGGAACTAAGTCATCAGTTCTGGAATTATGTCCCAATTTGTTCTATACACCTAAACTATGGATGATATTTTTTCCTTTTGACACAACCCAACTATTGTGTTGCCTTTCAGAGTAAAAGGACAATAAAACTCCTTCATAGATTACAACATTTCAGGGAATGACTGAATTTTTGACTTGCTACACAGTTCTTTCTACAAGTACTTTCACTTTCATCAGTCTCTCACCACTTATAAACAAGAGAAAGCACAACACTTTTTTAAAATATTAAGTAAAAGTTATATATTCGCTGTGGTAAATTTGGAAAAAAGAATAATCAACTAGAGTCCTGGAACAGAAATAAGTCCAGTTAACAATTTGGTGCATAAAACTTCATTTTTCCTGTGTATTCTTTCAATCATTTCAGCCATTAGTCTACAATTTTTTATTGAATCCTTACTATTTTGTGTGGTAGGCAGTGATAAATAAAAGTTTTTTGTGTTCTCACAAAGTGAATTCATGTAGTACATAATGTTTTGTAGCCTGCTTCTTTTTTTTTTTCACTGAAGCAAGTGGGGGTCAGAGTGATCAAACAAAATTCTACGGTTTAATAACTTTCACTCTAAAATATGGTCTTAATAGAGATGGCTTAGAACAAGCAAAAAGACGTCAGGGAGCTTTTGGTTTCTGTTTAGAACTCTATAGTCTCCAGATAGAGTTAGCGAAAATCAAATGGATGCAGGGCTGCCATGGGCCACTGGCAGCCCAGCTGGAGGAGTTGGAATCACTGCACTAGGCCCGAGGCTATAGCAGGGTCCTGGCCAGTCTTAGGCCAAGATAATGCCCAGGCTGAGGAGCATACGAAGGCCTCGACGAAAACCCAAAGAGCCCCGGCACCCCAGGAGAAGCCAGACCAGCTCTCAGTGAAGACAGAGGGTAGGAGCTACTGTCCAACTCCAGCGTCAGCCACTGGATGGTCCCGCCCATGTTTATCATCTGCTTCTTCTCAGATATGATCTGCCACTACATGTTCATCCTGGTACAGAGCGACAAGAAGCTCACCCAGGAGCAAGTATCTGACAGTTAAGTCCTAATTTGAAGCAGAGCCTTCAGTGAAAATGGAAATTACATTCCCAAAAAGTCTTTTTCTTGACATGAGAATATTACATCAACAACCCAGAGGATAAAAATATCACCACTTCCTCCCACTATGCTCTCAGGCATGATGAAAGGAAATATAACAAACGTCATCCCTATGATTCTTACTTGTGAATGGATCAACATTGACATACTCAGGCATTGTTGCAACCAAGGTCCTATTTCCACTGACCCTCTGTTTTTTGTTGTTGTTGTTTGTTTGTTTGTTTGTTTTGAGACGGAGTCTCACTCTGTTGCCCAGGCTGGAATGCAGTAGCACAATCTCGGCTCACTGCAACCTCTGCCTCCCAAGTTCAAGCGATTCTCCTGCCTCAGCCTCCCAGGTAGCTGGGACTACAGGTGCCTGCCACCATGCCCAGCTAATTTTTGTGTTTTTAGTAGAGACAAGGTTTCACCACGTTGGCCAGGCTGGTCTCGAACTCCTGACCTCAGGTGATTCACCCGCCTCGGCCTCCTAAAGTGCTGGGATTACAGGCATGAGCCACTGCACCCGGCCGACCCTCTGGTTTTAAGCCTATGCTGCAGCAAGTTATCAAACTACTCACATTAGATCCACCCTGAATGAGCTCTGCATCCTGGTATTTCCTCAACGTATTTGGGCTTCAGAGAATTTACTGTGATTCTAGGCCAAGATAATGGCAACTGACCAATAAGAAATGAGGCAGGAGCAGATGACCAGAGCAGCCATGGCCATGCCCACAGAAACCAGCAAAGCTTCCAAGACAAAGTAGAAAGTTCTGGAGCTGATGGGTCACCAGTGGACACCAGATGATGTCAAAGAGCTCATGGGCAAAGGCCTTCACTTTGAAGTTATGTTCAAAAAGGAGTTACAAGACCAAGTGCCATGGCTCACGCCTGTAATCCCAACACTTTGGGAGGCTGAAGAGGGCGGATCACTTGAGGCCAGGAGTTTGAGACCAGCCTGGCCAACGTGGTGAAACCCTGTCTCTACTAAAAGTACAAAAATTAGCTGGGTATGCTGGCGCTCACCTGTAATCCCAACTATTCGGGAAAACCACTTGAACCCGGGAGGCGAAGTTTTCAGTGAGCCACAATCGCACCACTGCACTCCAGCCTGGGCAATACAGTGAAGCTCTGTCACAAAAAAAATTTTTAAAAAAGCCTCTATTTTTTGAAGACCAAGTAGTAAAAATTAGCTCTGCCAGAACTTGGAGTAGTCCTTAACCTGCTAACTTGTGTTTGAGCTAGAGACTCTCAGAATTTAAAAAAAAAAAAAAAAAAAGGATAGCTAGGCACAGTGGCTCACACCTGTATTCCCAACACTTTGGGAGGCCAAGGCAGGAAGATTGCTTGAGGCCAGGAATTCAAGACCAACCTGGGCAACCAAGCAAGACCTTGTTCTCCACAAAAAAAATTTTAAAAATTAAAAAATTATCCAGGCATGGTGGCCTGTAGTCCTGGCTACTCAGGAAGCTGAATTAGGAGGATCATCCAGAAGCCAAGGAATTCGAGGCATGGCGCCACTGCACTGCAGCCTGGGCAACGGAGACCCTGTCACTAAAAAAATTAAAAATACATAAATATTAAAAAGTAAAAAATAATAATTTAAAAAGAAAGATATATGAGCCGCTGAGCATGCAGCAAGGATCATTCTTATCTGAGCCAGGTTTCCCTTTATGCCTGAAACTAGAAAAAATGCAGTGTGTGTGCTGGATGATTTACAGGGAAAGAGCCATTTAAAAAATGTTTTACATTTTCCTTCTGGTGACTCTAGAAATGAGAGGCAGAGAAAGGGGAAAACTTAAGCTAGCCAAAATATAAACATTTACCAAAAATTCAATCTTTGAAAAAGCATTATTATTTTCTGAAAGATTTCATGTAAACAAAGAAAGAAAAAGCATTATTAATTATAACTAATTATTATATGCAGTCTGACTTTTAATCACAGTAAGCTCCTATTTTGAGATCCAAGCACCCTGCATTTTTATATTTAATTGTTAGTATTTTTATAACTTTCTTTACAAAAGTAATAATTTTCATTACCAAAAATTTAGAAACTATAGATAAGCAAAATGAATCTCCCTGTATTGTTCATTCTGAGCCTACAGGATGACATGAAGAGCAAATACGTGAAAACTTCATTCACACAAACTCTTTTCAGACAGATTATCCAGGGCCAGGAAAAGTAGCAAACCTTCTATATATTTTAATACTATCCAGGGAAAATTAGTGACCCTGACATACTGCCAGATCTATTTCCCATCTAGGGAACTTTCAGGATCATCAAAGACAGGTTAAGTAATGGGAAGTTCTTGATCTAGAGTTGAGAATATTATCAAACCCACTGAAAAAAAATGAGTTTCTATACTGTATATGTCCAGTCAGTTGAACTAAAAACCCCAGATATTCTAGATAAGAGTTTACATAACTTTTTAAGAAGGCAGAGAGATCAACTGCTGGCAGACATCTAGGTGAGGGTTGCACAGGAATTTTTCTGTCTGGAATAAATGTCCAGGGAAGTGGCAGGGTACCATTTCTGTATCAACAGGTAGATGAAATTTGCATAATGAGCACTGTAATCAAGAAGAAATGACTCTTGACTACAAATTAAACCATCTCGCTTTCTCTTTAAGAAATAAATCAAAGAGAAGTAAGGACAGTCGTGGTGGCTCACGCCTATAATCCCAGCACTTTGGGAGGCTGAGGCGGGCGGATCACGAGGTCAGGAGACCGAGACCATCCTGGCCAACATGGTGAAACCCTGTCTGTACTAAAAATACAAAAAATTAGCTGGATGTGGTGGCATGTGCCTGTAAGTCCCAGCTACTCAGGAGGCTGAGGCAGGAAAATCACTTGAACGCGGGAGGCGGAGGTTGCAGTGAGCTGAGATTGTGCCACTGCACTCCAGCCTGGGCAACAGAGCAAGACTCCATCTCAAAAAAAAAAAAAAAAAAGAGAGAAGTAAAACTGGGAAATCAGAATAATATCTGTGGACTGATTAATGTCAATATCCTGGTTGTGATACCATACTAAAGTCTTGCAAAATGTTACAAATGAGAGAAGAGTACAAAGGATCTCTATCATTTCTTACAACTACATATGAATCTACAATTATCTCAATAAAAATTTCCATTAAAAAATCAAATGAAGGCCAGGCACGGCGGCGCAGGCCTGTAATCCCAGCAGTTTGGGAGGCCAAGGTGGAAGGATCGCTTGAGCCTGGGAGTTCATGACCATCCTGGACAACATAGTGAGACACTATCTCTTTAAAAAAAAAAAAATCAAATGAGATCCCCTAATATATACTAAAGAGAAATGTGTAATAGATATATGTATTTACACACACACACACACACACACACGCAACACACACGGCCATAGCAGCATTATTCATTACAGTCCCAAACTGGAAACAGCCCAAACATCTACAGCAGAGTATGTACAAAATGAGATATAATCATACAATGGAATCCTAATCTGCAATGAAAAAGAACGAACCACTGCCACATACACAACACATGAGAATGCAACATGTTGAACTGAAGAAACCAGACACAAAAGAATATATACTGTGAAATTTCCATTTATAAAAAGTTCAAACACAGGCAAAATGAATCTATGCTGTTATGGTAATACAGTGGGTACCTCTGGGGATGAGGAAGAACCAGATGGTGGTTATACAAGTGTGTTCACTTACTACAGTGACATCTTATGGCTAAATCTCAAAAATATAGGCAGTATGTAAAGTAAATTCATAGAAACACAAAGTAGAATGTGATTGCCAGGCACTGGGGAAGGAAAAAAAGGGAATTTGTTTAATGAGTATAGTCTCATTTTTGTAAGATGTAAAAGTTCTAGAGATCTGATTCACAACAATATTCAATATTCAATATTTAAAACAATTGAATTGTACACTTAAAAATGTTTAAGATGGGCCAGGTGCAGTGGCTGAGGCCTATAATCCCAGGACTTTGGGAAGCTGAGGCAGGAGGATCACTAGAGGCCAGGGGTTGGAGACCAGCCTGGGCAACACAGCAAGACCCCGATCTATATTAAAAACAAACTAAAAAAATTGGCCAGGTGTGGTGGTGCACATCTGTAGTCCCAGCTACTTGGGAGGCTGAGGCAGAAAGATTGCTTGAGCCCAGGAGTTCAAGGCTACAATGAGCTACAATCACACCACTGCACTCGAGCCTGAGTGACAGAGCAAGACCCTGTCTTTAAAACAAACAAATGTTTAAGATGGTAGATTTTGGCTCACACCTGTAATCCCAGCACTTTGGGAGGCTGAGGCAGGTGGATCACTTGAGGTTGGGAATTTGACCCTAGCCTGGCCAACATGGTGAAACTTTATCTCTACTGAAAATACAAAAATTAGCTGGGTGTGGTGGCCCGCTCCTATAATTCCAGCTACTCAGGAGGCTGAGGCAGGAAAATCACTTGAACCTAGGAGGTGGAGGTTACAGTGAGCAGAGTTCATGCCACTGCACTCCAGCCTAGGTGACAGAGTGAGACTGTCTCAAAAAAAAGATGGTAGATTTCATGCTGTTTTTATCATAATATAAACTTTTAAGTAAAATACAATTAAAAAAAGAAACAGGCCGGGCGTGGTGGCTCACAACTGTAATCCCAGCACTTTGGGAGGCCAACGTGGGCGGATCATGAGGTCAGGAGTTCCAGACCATCCTGGCCAACATAGTGAAACATCATCTTTACTAAAAATACCAAAATTAGCTGGGCCTGATGGCGGGCACCTGTAGTCCCAGCTATTCGGGAGGCTGAGGCAGTCGAATCGCTTGAACCCAGGAGGCGGAGGTTGCAGTGAGCCAAGATCGAGCTCCCATTTGATTTTTCACAAGGATGCCAAGTCTATTCAGTGGAGGAAAGAACAGTCTTTTCAACAAATGATGCTGGGAAACTGGATTTCCACATGCAAAGGAAAGGTTGAACCCCTACCCCACACCATATTACAAAAATTAACTCAACAACCTAATATAAAATATCAACAACCTAAATATAAAAGCTAAAATCATAAAACTCTTAGAGAAAACATAAGGGTAAATGTTCATGACCTTGAGATTGACAATGGATTCTTAGATATGATACCAAAAGCATGGGCAACAACAAAAAAAAACAGATAAATTGGACTCCATCAGAATAAAAACTTTTGAGCATCAAAGGACATCAAGAGTAAAAAGACAATCTACCAAATGTGAGAAAATATTTGCAAATCATATATCTGATCAAGAATTAATATCCAGAATATATAAAGAACTGTAACCTAACAATAAAGACACTCCAATTTAAAAGTGGGCAAAGAGCTCTCTCGCTCTCTCTCCTTCTCACATTCAAATTTACAAAAAGGCAAAGAACTCTAGTAGACATTTCTTCAAAGTAAATACACAAATGACCAATAAGAAGATGAAAAGATGTGCAATATCAGTAGTCATTCAGGAAATGAATTCTGTCAGAAAGGGACTCCCCACACCAAAAAAAAAAGAAATGAAAATCAAACCATAACGAGACACCACTTTACACCTGCTAGGATGGCTACAATTAAAAAAAAAAAATCGAAAAATGGGATCTTTGTACATTGCTGGTGGGAATATAAAATAGTGCAGCTGCTGTGGGAAACAGTTTGGAGGTTCCTCAAAAAGCCAAACATAGAATTTCCATATGACCCAACAATTCCACTGTTAGATATGTCCAAATGAATTAAAAACAGATTCACACAGATACTTGTACACCAATGTTCACTGCAGCATTGTCCACAACAGCCAAATGGTAGACAACCCATGCCTATAAACAGATGAATAGATACACAAAATGTGGTATATACATAAAATATTATTCAGCCTTAAAAATGAATGAAATTCTGATACATACTACAACATGAATGAACCTTGAAGACATTATGCTAAGTAAAATAAGCCAGATACAACTGGACAAATATTGTTGATTCCATTTATATTCTAGAGTAGTCAAATTGATAAAAACAAAAAATAGAACTGTGATTACCAGAGGCTGGGAAGAGGGGGAAATAGGGAGTTATTTAATAAGTACAGAGTTTCAGTTTGGAGTAATGAAAAATTCTGGAGATAGATGGTACTGATGATTGCACAGCAACATGAATGTACTTAATGCCATTGAACTGTATGCTTAACAATTAATAAAATGGTAAATAAAAATAAAACAAAACACATTATGCTAAGTGAAAGAAGCCAAATACAAAATGACAAATATTATTTGATTCCATTTATATGGGGTACCTAGAACAGGCAAATTCAATAGAGACAGAAAGTAGATGAGAGGTTAGCTTGAGTTTGGGGAGAGGAATACGGAGTTATGGCTTGATGGTTAGAGTTTCTGTTTGGAGTGGTAACGAAAAAGTTTTGGAAATAGATGGTGGTGATGACTGCATAACAGTGTAAACGTAATTAACGCCACTGAATTATACAACTAAAAATGGTTAAAATGGCAAATTTTGTTATCTATATTTCACCACAATAAAAGAAAGAGTAAAGTTAGGTTTATATATCTATAATTAATATAAACTAAAAATGTGCTTTTGTCTGAATCCTAACAAAACAAGATAGAAGTGTATTGGGGGGGTTATGCTCAGTAGTCTAGATTAGTTGTCTGTACTATTCAAATCTACTAGACACTCAAAAATTCCTCCCTACTTTTTATTAAGTAAACCTAGTAAGACAGTAGATATTTCCCATTTTTTTCTAGGATTTGCTTTGTATTTAAACCTCTTGTGAATTTGCAAAAAAACATTCTTCCAACCTGAATAGCCTTTGTACTTTAACACTAATGGACTCTTTGTCTACTTAATATTAATATTATGTACGCAGTTACACAATATTACAAATGAAATGTTTCAAATAAACTATACTGCAACCGAAATTATAAACTGCCAAAAAAGATGAAACAATGATTGTGATCTATTCATTTCTGTCTAAATCAAGCAATAATAATCAAGTGAAATACTTTACAGCTACAAAGGAAATTGTGTAATGTCCTCTTGTGAAAAATTTTATCCAGTTCAACTGTCCAAAGAATATGTGATAGTAGGGGAAATCTACTGACTTTTCCTTAAGTTCATTTACTTTACTAAGTATTTTTGGAGAGCAGACAGAAAATCTATGTTTCAACAAAGAAGAGGACAAATTCCTTATGGAAAATAATACTTCCAGATTACTAATTCTATGGAAATAGGGGACTGATGGGCAGAATAGAGGAGAATGTGAAGAATGGCAGTTACAGAATAAAAATCTTGTTGGAAAAAAAATTACACAAATTATCTGTAGGTGGAAATTCCATAGTGATGTAATAAAAATATAACAATGGAGATATACTAGAGATCACCTGACATGGAAAATGAAATCCAGAAACATTAAGATTGAGGAAGTGCAAAATTAGGCCTAGTGATGAAAAGGGGGTCCTCTAGCCAAACACATTACCTCATCAAAATAAAACATGGAGGTTAAAATTTTAGAGAAGACAAAAACTACTTCCTAAAAAACAGTCTGCAGGGCAGAGAAAGATAACAGACCTGGGGGGTGAACAGGAGGAAACGGTGCAGGTCTATAGGTATTTGCATTTGGGTTAGAATGAGCCTGATAAGAAAAGGCTGTCACCTAAGAGAGGCAAACCAGCTGGCTGCCAGGAATGGTGTAACCTTGGCAGGGTCTGAAGTTCAGGTCTGCAGATCCAAACATAACTTGACATCCTTATCCCCCCAGACGGGGTCCCACTGCACTGATTCTCACAATGCCATATGTACCTTCATGATATTTATGTATCACAATTGCAATTATTTATTTAATATCTTTCTTCTCCATCAGACTAGATAAACTCCATCGGGAACAGAGACCACGCCTGTCCCATTCATGGCTGTTTTAGAACACAGCATGGTGCCTGGAACATAATGGGAGCTGGGAGTGAGCACACACACTGCTCACAAGCGCGAACACACATGTGAGTGCATGCCATGCCCCCGGGCAAAATGAATAAATAAATGAAAGTAGATTCCTTGATCAGGTCACCTCACCTGGGCAGTGATAGAGGTTAAATTCTGCCTCATCTTATTTCTCACCTTCCCTAGAACTAACCACTTGGAACCACTCTTGGCAGAGAGCATTCTTTCTATAAAATTATAATGTTAGGCCAGGCACAGTGGCTCGCTTCTGTAATCCCAGCATTTGGGAGGCTGAGCCAGGAGGATCACCTGAGGTCAGGAGTTTGAGACCAGCCTGACCAACATGGGGAAACCCTGTCTCTATTAAAAACACAAAAAATTAGCCAGGTGTGGTGGCGGGTACCTGTAATCCCAGGTACTCGGGAGGCTGAGGCAGAAGAATTGCTTGAACCCGGGAGGCAGAGGTTGTAATGAGCTGAGACCGCGCCACTGCACTCCAGCCTGGGAGACACAGTGAGAGTCCGTCTCAAAAACAAATAAATTAATTAATTAAATTTAATTATAATGTTAATTCCACTGGACAGGCAACAATCAACTTTCTTTTGACCAGCCTTGGAGAAGTACAGTAGGAATTATTAGTCAAATGCCAAAGCTTTCAAGAAATACCCTGGGATTGTACCAAATAGAGCCTGCATTCTCAGGCAAGGCCACTCTATACCTCACACAAGAATTACTTGGGCACAGATCTTCCCTGCAAATCCAAGTCATCTAATTTACCTTTCAATCCTTCAAAGCACTTGCCACTTGGTACTCAAAAGATGCTGCAGGAAACAATGCAATTTTGTATTAAATGCAATTTTGTATTAAAAACAAAAATAATCACTAACACTTATTGAGCTCTTTAAGCCAGGTAGTATGCCATAATAAGTCTATATATGCATTATTTAAATTACTTGTCACAACCACAACTACCCTGTGAAGTATGTGCTATTATCTCCATTTTACAGAGGGAAAAGGGCCTTTACAGAGCTTATTTCCACAAGGTTCCACAACTATTAAGTGGTAAAGTAGAAAGCTCAACCAGACACTTGGACCCCAAAGCTAATACCCAGCCACTAGAAAAAAATGCTTTCAAGTCAAAAATAACAAACAACCCAATTTTACAAAGGGCAAGACCAGATACTTCATAAAAAGGCATATATAAATGGCCAATAAGCCCATGGAAAGATACAACATCATTAGTCATCAGGAAAATGCAAGTTAAAACCACAATTATATACCATTACACACCCATTACAATGATTTTTTTTTTTTTTTTTTTGAGATGAAGTCTTGCTCTGTCACCCAGGTTGGAGTGCAGTGGCGCGATCTCAGCTCACTGCAACCTCCACCTCCCGGGTTCAAGCGATTCTCCTGCCTCAGCCTCCCAAGTAGCTGGGACTACAGGCACCTGCCACCACACGTGGCTAACTTTGTATTTTTAGAAGAGATGGGGTTTCACTATGTTG
Source organism: Homo sapiens (assembly GCF_000001405.40). Lineage (NCBI taxonomy): Eukaryota > Metazoa > Chordata > Mammalia > Primates > Hominidae > Homo > Homo sapiens. Next base: position 69,434,675 of record NC_000016.10, on the reverse strand, counting down.
GCCAGGCTGGTCTCGATCTGCTGACCTCGTGATCTGCCCACCTCAGCCTCCCAAAGGGCTGGGATTACAGGCGTGAGCCACAGCACCTGGCCAACCACACACCCATTAGAATGGTTAAAAGTAAAATAACTGACAAATACAATGTATCAATGAAGATGTGAAGAAACTGGAAAACCTACATTGTGGTGGGAGTATAAAATTATATAAACACTTTGGAAAATGCTCTGGCAGTTGCTTAAAAAGTTAAACAGACATATAACCTAGTAATCTCACTCCTAGCAATTTTACTACTAGGTATTTGCCCAGGAGGAATAAAATCATATGTCCACACAAAGATTTGTACATGACAGTTCCTAGCAGTTTTATTCATAACAGCCCCAAACTGGAGACAACCCAAATGTCAATCAACAAGTGAATGGATAAACAAATTTTGGTATGTTCACACAATGAAATCATAAGTTACAAATCACTGATAACACAGAAAAAATAGATGAATCTCACAGATATACTGAGCAAAAGAAGCTAGACAGAAGAGTACGTACTATAGTGTTAGAAATAAAATGAGTGTGTATGGGGACAACACTGGTAGAAATGTTCTACAGTTATGTGCCACATAATATGGTCAACAATGGACCATATATATGATGGTGGTCCCATAAGATTATAATACCATATTTTTATTGCACCTTTTCTATGTTTAGATGCACAAATACTTGTTACTGTGTCACAACTGCCTACAGGTTTGTACAGGTTTATAGCCTAGGAACAAGAGACTATACCGTACAGCTAAGGTGTGTAGCAGGCTATACTACCTAGGTTTGTGTAAATATACTCTATGATGTTTGTGAAGGGGTAAAATCAACTAATGATGCAGTTCTCAGAATGCACCCTCATTGTGAAGTGACCCATGACCGTATATTGATTGTGATGGTGATTATACAGATGAGACATTTGTCAAAACTCACTGAACTCTACATTCAAAATCTGTACATTTTATTGTCCCTACATTTGATTTCAATTAAGTTGATTTAGAGAAAAAAATGTGACAGCAAAATATTGAAAAACCCAAATGTTTATCAATAGGATACTGCTTAAATAATGATCCATATAATAAATCCTATGCAGCTGTGGTGAAGGAGGAGGAGGGATGCCAGTTATTGCTATGGAAAGATCCCTGAGATACACAGTTAAGTGAAAAAGGCAAGACACAGATGAGTGTGCATAGTATGTTATCTTTTGTGTAAAAAAAGAGAAACTACATTCACTTTGGCTTGTACAGGCAAAAAGAAACTAGAGGGATACACAAACAATGGGAGTTAACTTTAGGAGGCAGTGAAACTGGGCAGAGGGGAAGGTGGCTTTTTACTATATACCTGTTTGACCTACTTAAAAAATGAAAAAAATTACCTAGGTTCCAGGAAAGGGGTATCTGTTCTAACTTCCCTATACCACATTCCCAATCCTTCCAAATTATATTTAAAATGTGAACAAAGCTATAAAACAGACCTAATTCCATACTCTGCAGCCATGAAAAACATTGAGGCAGATCCTAGGGTACGGTTAAGAGTACAGGCCACAGGCCGGGCATGGTGGCTCAGGCCTGTAATCCCAGCACTTTGGGAGGCTGAGGCAGGCGGATCACCTGAGGTCAGTAGTTTGAGACCAGCCCGGCCAACACGGCAAAACCCCGTCTCTATTAAAACTACAAAAATTAGCCAGATGTGGTGGCAGGTGCCTGTAATCCCAGCTACTCAGGAGGCTGAGGCAGGGAGAATCGCTTGAACCCGGGAGGTGGAAGTTGCAGTGGGCTGAGATCGCGCCATTGCACTCCAGCCTGGGTGATAGAACGAGACTCTGTCTCAAAAAAAAAAGGAGTACAGGCTATAGGGTCACAGTGCTTGATTTCAAATCTCACCTGTGCCACCTAACTTTATGACTCTGTGAAAGTTACTCCTCTGCTCCTGTTTTCTCACCTCTAAAACAGGTTGTTGGGAGGCTTAAAAGAGAAATTACATGTAAAGCACTTAGAATAATAAGCACTCAATAAATACTATGACGACTACGAGGGCAAATCAACTAATAGAATACTATGACTCTATTTCTGTATATATTTGTACATATTTGTATATATAAGTATATACATGTTTGCACATATAAGTATATGCACGGAAGATGTAGTATTCAAACAAATTATTGGGATTGAAAGAGTTTAGCCTACCCTAACTTAAATGTGTTCAGAACATTTACGTTAGCCTACAGTTGGGCAAAATCATCTAACATGAAGCCTATCTTACAATAAAGTGCTGACTATTTCATGTAATTTATTGAATACCATACTGAAAGTGAAAAACAGAATGCTTGTATGAGTACTCACATATCACTTTCACACCATGGTAAAGTCAAAAAATTTTAAGTCAAGCCCTAGTAAGTCAGGGACTGTCTGTAAATTGCTTCAATGTCATCCCTCATCTTCAAACATGTCAGTGGTTTTCTATTACCTTTTGGATCAAATCCAAACTACCTACCAGACCTTGCATGTCCTGGGTCCCGCCTAGCTCTCTGGCCATTCTTGTCCTTCATTCACTATAGACACAGCTTCTTTCAGTCCCACTAATGTGCCAAACTCTTGCTTGACTTCAAATGCTGCTGGAATGCTCTTTTCTGTATTCTTTCCAAATCAGGTTCATGACCATCAGCTCAATTAAATGTTATCTTCTCACAGAGGCTTTCCCAGATCACTCTTATTAAATTAAATCTTTCCTGATTTTTCTTTCTCAACTCATTTGTTTTCTTCATAAAAGTGCCATAATTTAAAATTATTTCATCTGTCTGTTTTTGTTTTGACTCCTCTAGAATGGTAGCTTCAAGAAGGCAGTATCATGGGATATTTTCGTTTTGTTTGTTTGGAGACAGGGTCTCGCTGTCACCCAGGCTGGAGTGCAGTAGTGCTATCTCGGCTCACTGCAGCCTCGATGTCCTGGCCTCAAGCCCTTCTCCCACCCCTGCCTCCTGAGGAGCTGGGACTACAGGCTCATGCCACCATGCTCGTCTAATTTTCGTATTTTTTGTAGAGATGGGGTTTTGCCATGTTGCCTAGGCTGGTCTCAAACTCCTGAGCTCAAGTGATCTGTCCACCTTGGCTTCCCAAAGTGCTGGGATTACAGGCGTGAGCCACTGCACCCAGCTTTGTTTTGTTTTTAAGACAGAATCTCACTCTGTCGCCCAGGCTGGGGTTCCATGTTTATGTTTATTTTTATACACCACCAGGGCCTACTACTATATAGAACTTAACAAATATTTGTTGGGTTAATAAAATGTTATCCCATTTATGAGATGGTTCCTAAAGTAATATTCTCATTTATGGTGACAGTTTCTAAAAACACATATAGGCCGGTGCCGTGGCTCACACCTGTAATCCCAGCACTTTGGGAGGCCAAGGTGGGCAGATCACTTGAGGTCAGGAGTTCGAGACCAGCCTACCTAACATGGTGAAACCCCATCTCATAAAAACTAGCCAGGTGTGGTGGGAGGGACCTGTAGTGCCAGCTACTCCAGAGGCTGAGGCAGGAAAATCGCTTGAACCCAGGAGGCAGAGGTTGCAGTGAGCCAAGGTAATGCTACTGCACTCCAGCCTGGGCGACAAAACAAGACTCCATCTCAAAATAAATAAATAAATAAATACACATATAAAGCTTTAAAATAGGGCTGGGCATGGTGGCTCACACCTGTAATCCCAGCACTTTGGGAGGCCGAGGCGGGTGAATCACCGGAGGTCAGGAGTTCAAGCCCAGCCTGGCCAACATGGCAAAACCCCATCTCTACTAAAATAGAAAAATTAGCCGGGCATGGTGGCATTCACCTGTAATCCCAGCTACTCAGGAGGCTGAAGCAGGAGAATCACTTGAACCTGGGAGGCAGAGGTTGCAGTGAGCTGAGACCATGCCATTGCACTGCAGCCTGGGCGACAAGAGTGAAACTCTGTCTCAAAAAAAAAAAAAAAAAGTTTTAAAATATCACAATGTTATTTCAAGTTACTCTTTTGACAAATGACTATTTATACACAAGTCAATGGCTTCCAAATTTTCACTTGTAATACCCAGTAAGGAAATAATTTTACACTGCAATCCAATAAACACCATATACATGAGATATTATAGGCCAGGCACAGTGGCTCATGCCTGTAATCCCAACATTTTGGGAGGCCAAGGCGGAAGGATCACTTGAGCCCGGAGTTTGAGGCCAGCCTGGGCAACATGATGAAACCCCATCTCTACAAAAAAAATACCAAAAAAATTAGCAGGGTGTGGTAGTACATACCTGTAGTCCCAGCTACCTGGGAGGCTGAGGCGGAGGATTGTTTGAGCCCAGGAGGCAGAGGCTGCAGTGAGCCAAGATGGCACCACTGCACTCAAGCCTGGACAACAGAGCCAGACTGTCTCCAAAAAAAAGAAAAAAAAATACATTATATATAACTGAACAAAGTTTCACAAAATTTTACCCTTGATAAGAGAGATGCACTTTGATATTTTCTATCAATGTCATAAGATATTACAATCATTTTTATGTGATTTTTCTAAACTACTAAATGGTGGAAAGATAATGACATGTACTACTTTCATTCATGATTTCAACAACTCATGAATGCACTGATTCAAACAATGCAAAATTAATCTGCCAGGGAAAGACAATTCAATTATATTACTAATTCTAAACTACCACATTCAAACTCCAGTATCATACTCTAACCAGTCATTAATCAAAAAAATGGTAAGCTACAGACACAGGACACTTAAGATTAGGAACCTCTTGCTAAAGGAGGGGCCCCAAAGTGACATCAGATTGGAAAGAGAAGGATGAATACCAATGTAAATCTTCCCTCTCTCATCTAATAGCAACCCAACTCTTGAAGACTCATAAGCCAAAAACTTTGGTGTTATCCTTGACTCATTTTTCTTTCATTCCCCAAATCTGGCGCATCATTAAATCCTATTGGCTCTTCCATCACAACACATCCAAAATCTGACACTTGTTCTGGTACAACCCACTATCTCTTGCCTAATTACTAAAACAGCCTCCTAACTGGTCTCCTCAATTCTGCCCTTGTCCTCTTAAGAAGGCAAAGCCAGCTGGACTTCCTGGGTGGAGTGGGGACTTGGCAAACTTTTGTGTCTAGCTAGAGGATTGTAAATGCACCAATCAGTATGCTGTAAAAATGCACCAATCAGCACTCTGTGTCTAGCTAAAGGATTGTAAATGCACCAATCAGCACTCTGTAAAAATGGACCAATCGGCACTCTGTAAAATGGACCAATCAGCAGGATGTGGGCGGGGACAAATAAGGGAATAAAAGCTGGCCACCCCAGCCAGCAGCATCAACCTGCTCTGGTCCCTTTCCACACTGTGGAAACTTTGTTCTTTCACTCTTCACAATAAATCTTGCTGCTACTCACTCTTTGGGTCTGTGCCACCTTTAAGAGCTATAACACTCACCGCGAAGGTCTATGGCTTCATTCTTCAAGTCAGAGAGACCAAAAACCCACCGGAAGGAACCAACTCCAGACACACTCTTCCTTCAGTCTTTCACAACAATGTAGTCAGAACGATCCTATTACGCCATTAAGTCACATCATGTCACTCTTCTGCTCCAATGATTTCCCATCTCAGAATAAAAGCCAAAGTCCTTCCTAAAACCTGTGAAGTTGTACATGATTTGTCCTCCCCTGATCATTCTGATCTCATGTGCAACTATTCAACCACTGTGGCCTCCCTGACTGTTCCTCAAACATACCAGACATCCTCCCATCTCAAGGCCTTTGAACTTGTTTCCTCTGCCAGGAATGCTCTATGCTCTTCCTACAGATACCCTCATGGCTAGCTCCTTTACTTTGCTCCTGGCCTTTACTTAGTCATCTTCATAAAGTTATCTCGGCACCATCGCTAAAATTTCAAACCCTCCTCCTCACACCACATAAATATTCCACAGTCCTCTTCCCTGTATTATTTTTCTTTTTTTTTTCATTTGTGACGGAGTCTCACTCTATCACCAGACTGGAGTTCAGTGCCACAATCTTGGATCGCTGCAACCTCCAACTTCTGGGTTCAAGTGATTCTCCTGCCTCAGCCTCCCAAGTAGATGAGAGTACAGGCACATGCCACCATGCCCAGCTAATTTTTGTATTTTTAGTAGAGATGGGGTTTCACCATGTTGGCCAGGATGGTCTCAATCCCGACCTCATGATCCATCCGCCTCGGCCTCCCAAAGTGCTGGGATTACAGGCCTAAGCCACCGTGTCCAGCCCCCTGTATTATTTTTCTTCTTAGCACTTACCACTACCTAATGTAGTATATATTTTAGTTATTTACTCTGCTTATCGTCTGCCTCCTGTGCCATGTAATCTCCATGAGGGCATAGCTGTTTATTCACTACTAAATCCCCAGCACCTAGAACAGTGTCTAGAACATAGTAAAGGCTTAATAAATATTTGAATAAGTGAATGAATGAATAGGCTTGGAATGAACAAGAAAACAGAATAAATAAGAATAGCTAATTAGGCTGAGCACAGTGGCTCACACCTGTAATCTCAGCACTTTGGGAGGCCCAGGCAGGAGGATCCCTTGAGCCCAGGAGTTCCAGACCACACTGGGCAATAGTGGGACCCCAATTCTTTTTTTTTTTTTTTTTGAGACAGAGTCTGACTGTCGCCCAGGCTGGAGTGCAACGGCACCATCTTGGCTCACTGCAACCTCCACCTCCCGGGTTCAAGCGATTCTCCTGCCTCAGCCTCCTGAGTAGCTGGGATTACGGGTGTGTGCCACCACGCCCAGCTAATTTTTTTGTATTTTTAGTAGAGACGAGGTTTCACCATTTTGGTCAGGCTGGTCTGGAACTCCTTACCTCATGATCTGCCCACCTTCGCCTCGCAAAGTGCTGGGATTACAGGTATGAGCCCACACCCAGCCAGTGGGACCCCAATTCTACAAAAAATTTTAAAAATTAGCCAGGCGTCGTGGTGCACACCTTTTCCCAGCTATTCGGGAGGTTGAAATAGAAGGATCACTTGACCCCAGGAGACTGAGGCTGCAGTGAGCTGCACTCCAGCCTGGGTGAAAGTAAGACCTTGTCTCAAAAAACAAAACAAAAAAAACAAAACTGCAGGTAAAGAGCTGCAGCTCAAGCTCCAAGAGAAACCTTGGCACATTAGTGATGTCTCTGGCTATATCAGCATGTGGTTGAAACAGGTTAGTTACTTCTGGAATCTTCACAGAGGAAAAAAAAAAAGAAAGAAACAGGTTAGCAACTATTACTTGAGACTGAATTAATGCTCTCTGTAAGGGCTGAGTGTTCCCTCCAAGCTCACCATCTATTCTGAATCAATCAAGAAAAAAAATGGAGGGAAATAAAACCACAAATGAAAAACATGATTTTTTTTTTCTTTTTTTGAGATGGAGTCTCACTCTGTCACCCAGGCTGGAGTGCAGCAGCACCATCTCACCTCACTGCAGCCTCCACCTCCCAGGTTTAAGCGATTCTCCTACCTTAGCCTCCCAAGTAGCTGAGATCACAGGTGCCACCAAGCCTGGCTTATTTTTGTATTTTTAGTAGAGACGAGGTTTCGCCGTGTTGGCCAGACTGGTCTCGAACTCCTGAACTCAGGTGATCTGCCCGCCTGTGCCTCCAAAAGTGCTGGGATTGCAGGCATGAGTCACTGCGCCCAGCCAAAAAACTTGATTTTCTACCCATTATGAACCATGCTTTAGCATGAAACTTACTATGAAGCAAATACCAGAAGTCATAGCTAAGGCTAGAATTTTGAAGTAATGCTATGCAGACAAGAGAAATCAAGGGATCTGTCAAATCTGCTACTAATTGATTGTATGACCAGGATCTTTCTGAACCTGTTACTTGTACCTCTGTTAAAAAAAAAAAATCACTACTATCCAAGTCACCCTCCACTAGCTTTTTTTTTTTTTTTTTTGGAGTCTCGCTCTGTCGCCCAGGCTGGAGTGCAGTGGTGCAATCATGGCTCACTGCAATCTCCGCCTCCCAGGTTCAAGTGATTCTCCTGCCTCAGCCTCCTGAGTAGCTGGGATTACAGGCGCCCACCACCAGGCCCAGCTAATTTTTGTATTTTTAGTAGAGTCGGGGTTTCACCATGTTGGTCAGGCTGGTCTGGAACTCTTGATCTCGTGATCCGCCCGCCTCAGCCTCCCAAAGTGCTGGGATTACAGGCGTGAGCCACCACACCTGGCCGGGAAAGTACTTTTTTTTTTTTTTTTGAGATGGAATCTCGCTGGGTCCCCCAGGCTGGACTGCAGTGGCGCAATCTAGGCTCACTGCAAGTGCCACCTCCCGGGTTCACGCCATTCTCCTGCCTCAGCCTCACGAGCAGCTGGGACTACAGGCGCCCACCATCACGCCTGGCTAATTTTTTGTATTTTTAGTAGAGATGGGGTTTCGCCGTGTTAGCCAGGACGGTCTCGATCTCCTGACGTCGTGATCCGCCCGTCTCGGCCTCTCAAAGTGCTGGGATTACAGGCGTGAGCCACCGCGCCCGACCGGAAAGCACTTTTAAAAGCATAAAATGCCATACACCATACAAATGCAAGAAGTTAGTAAATTCTGAGTTTGTTAAATTATTGTTCACTATTAAGATTTATTAAAAATAATGTTCTTTGGGGGAAACTTTTAAATTTTAAAAGTTTTTAGAATTAAAAGTCAGGATGCAGAGATTTCTCTTTTAGGCCCCAAATTAATCGAAAAAATATTTCACTAGTATATTTGCTTCAGAGAAATAGAAGTGAACTTTCACAAGTCATTAATCTATTGCTCAAAATAAAATGATCACACACAAACCGAAAATCAAAGCTTCAAACATACACACACCGAAAATCAAAGCTTCAAACCAATCTTTAGCGGCTGCATATCACTAGTTGCCTGGGGTTGGGAGAGAATGACTGCAAAGGGAAAGGAAGCTTTTTAGAATGATGGAAATGGTTTATGTCTTAACATGGATGAATACATTTTTCAAAACTCATCAAAATGTACATTTTAGATAGGCACAATTTACGTATGTACATTACACCTCAATAAAGTTTTAAATATTTAGAAGTCTATCCTGTTTCCTTAAAAAAAAAATTAGTTGCACCATGGTCTCAAAAATAATTTTTAAAATGAGATGTAATGCAACAGACTTGAAGATTAAATAAAACAGTCTTGAATATTTAAGAAAAATGACAAAACATGAGTCAAAAACAAAAAAAAAGGGTTGATTTATGAGTTTCTGGCCTCAAGGTCAACTCAGATTAGGGGGAAAAAAAAACAGTGGAGGCATAATCAAGATGGGGAAGCGTGTGGAGAGAAATCTCAGCTTCTACTCTAGAAGACGAAAACCAAAACCGGTATTACTTCAGAAGGCACACTGGAAAAGCACAGATGTGGGTGCACTTCAGACCTAGGTTCAACGGATCTAAGCTGCTAACTCTATGGCCCTGAGAGTCCTCAACCTGTGAGCCTCAGTTTCCCTTTCTGTAAAATAAAGATAATGATGGCTTAGAGTTTAGCTGAGCACACAGCAAATGCTCGACACATAAGTAATACATGATATTACATAAGGCACCAGAACTCGGAGCTGACTGGAAATGCATGCAAACTAAAGCCCTCCCCCAATCCCACCCCAGTTTCCCTCTGAGGGTCGTGATCCCTTTCTTACGCCTTATCGCCCCCAGCCAAGCCTCCCTTCCTTCCCACATACACTCCACACAGCCTTTTCACCCCTCGCCCCAGCAGCTTCAGAGGCCTCCCACCTCCCAGGCCCCACCTCGTTGAGGAAGCGGGTGACATCGTAGACTCGCCCATGGATCACAAGCCACAGTTCCTTCAAGGAGTTGCGCTTTGCCACCTCCTCCAACCGGTAATAGGTGACTGAGGTCTCGACTTCCTGCCCTTTCCCATCGCTGCCGCTAGCTTCCGCAGTCGCCATTGAACCGGACATACTGCCTCTCCACCGCTAACTGAGATTCCGCGACTACTTTCCTTGAGAGCCCGCGCTCAGCCTTCCTCGGCTTCCGTAACCAGGGCCCATAAGGCCTTGAGACGGTTCCTAGCAACAGCCAATCACACTTCCGAATAGTTCCTGGTTCGTTTTCTTTTCACCAATGAAGGGAGTGGCTCAGTTCGAAATCCCGCCCACTCCTCGCCCGATCCTCCAGATGAAAGTCTGGTTCGAGGTCCAACTAACCAATTAGGGTCGTTCAGCCCCCTCCAACCTCGCCAATCAGATACCGCGATTTTTGGACTGGCGCCCAAAAGAGGCGTGCTGACAGGTGTCACTTCAGGAGAGGTACCACTTCTCTCAGCCTGTGGGCCTTTAGGGTCTCCAGTGTTCTGCTTCCCTTCCCATCGCTGTGGCTTTCTCCTGAGTCTCAGAAAGTTCCTATCCCCTACACTACCGGCGCAGCCTGTATCCCAACCCTGATTTTACATCTTTGCTGCCTCCAGGTCGTGATCTGGCCAATCCCGTCTCTCCTCAATTTCCCCATCAGTAAAATGGGCTTGATAAAGCACTCTCTTACAGAGGGGTTTGCCTTTTTTTTTTTTTTTTTTTTTTTTGAGACAAGTTCTCGCTCTGTCTCCTAGGCCAGAGTGCAGTGGCACGATCTCGGCTTACTGCAAACTCCGCCTCCCAGGTTCAAGCGATTCTCCTACCTCAGCCTCTCGACTAGCTGGAACTACAGGCATGCGCCACCACGCCCGGCTAATTTTTGTATTTTTAGTAGAGAGTAGGTTTCACCATGTTGGCCAGGCTGGTCTCGAACTCCTGACCTCAGGTGATCCGCCTGCGTAGGCCTCCCAAAGTGCTGGGATTACAGGCGTGAGCCACCGCGCCTGGCCCGGTTTGCCTATTTTAATGAGAGTGCCTGTAAAGCGCTTGGCGCATAGTAATCGCTAAACATGGCAGTCGATTAGAAAGGCAATTGCTGTCCCGGACAGCAATTGGGGGTAGAATGTGGAGTATCCTATGTTTCTACCATCATTCAGAATCCGATTTTCAAACGAATTCTGTGATGATCAGGATCAATCGGCACTATTTTAGTCTCTACGTGATCTAAAATAGAATTGAACTCAACTGCTCTCCGCTAGAGGTCCCAGCACTTTGGAATTCCAAGTTTGGTTAAGGTACAGTGTTGTGCGCCACTTTTTAACTGCCATTACAACTGACAGATTGCTCTTCCTATGATGTCGTCGTTTTCATCCTGTCACTCTCGCAGTCTACCATTCAGGGCTCTCCACAATCCATTCGCAACCTCTTTCACTAACGTATAATATTTTCCACCATTCCCTTTATAAGCCTGTTGCACCCGCCCCGACTCTGAAACCTGCTGGTTTAAAACCACATCCGTGGTCATCCCAGGTCCACCAAGTTAATTTTAGATCACTTAGAGACTAAAATAGTGCAGATTGATCCTGATCATCACAGAATTCATTTGAAAATCGGATTCTGAATGGTGGTAGAAACATGGGATACTCCACATTCTACCCTCAATTGCTGTCCCAAGGACTCCTCTTCCTTTCAATGCCTACCGGCTTTTCAAGTTCCTCTTCAGTTTCTTCTATTTTCAAACTTCTCCTACCGTTTTGAGCTCCAGTGCTTCCATCCCTTTGTAGTACCTAAGAAAGCATATTACTATTTTGGGAAGCCTGCTACGTCTGTAAATTTTAACTTTACGTATTTTACCTCCCTAGTTAGACTGACACTATGAGAGCAATCTCACAAGATTCTTAGGATCCTCCACAAACTCTAGATTCAAATATTTACATTTATTCCAGACATTTACTATTTACTGTTACAAGTCTTATGATAGGCATTGGGAGTAGAGAGATAACATAAGAAACAAAATCTCTGAAAGAAATAAAAACATTTACAGGCTGAATGTGGTGGCTCAAGCCCCGTAATTCCAGCACTTTGGGAGGCCGAGGTGGACAGATCACTTGAGCCCAGGAGTTCAAGACCAGGCTGGGCAACATAGTGAGGCTCTTGTCTCTTCAAAAAATACAAAAATTATCTACGCATGGTGGCACACAACTGTAATCCCAGATATTTGAGAGGCTGAGATCTGGGGATGGCTTGAGCCTGGGAAGTCGAGGCTGCAGTGATGTATGATCGCACCACTGTGCTCCAGCCTGGATGACAGAGCGAAACCCTGTTTCAAAAAAATAAAAATAAATAAATAAAAATAAAAAATAAAAAAATTACAAATTCTAGCACTTAAGTGATATATACCTGTAACATTATATTTGAAAATGTTTTTAGAATTTCAAATAAGTAAGTTACAAGAATAATACAATGAATGACCATATACTTTTAGCTTAGGTTTACCAACTGTTAATATTTTTCAATATTTGATTTTTTCCATATTATTTTGATCATTGTTGTTAATAATGCTGAACTATTTCAGATATCACCACCCTTTACAGCCAAATAATTCTACATGTATCTTCTAAAAATAAGAACATATTGTCACGTAACTGCAGTATGAATTTCAAATTCAGAGAATTTAACATTCACACAAAATTATTATCTAACATACTCTCCATATTATTTTCCATTATTGCATTCATGTCCTTTGTGAAATTTTAGTGTGCCTGTATGACCCAGGATCCAGTTCAGGATCATGTATTGCACTTAGCTAAGTCTCTTGAGTCCCCTTTAATCTAGAACATTTCCTTAACTTTGCTTTTGCTTTCATGACATTGACATTTTTAAATAGTATAGCCTCAAATTGAATTTTACACTGAAAAATTATTGTGACCTAAATGTTTTGGTTATAAATTTATATTTACAATTGATAGCACATGTTAGCCAGAAAGTCTGGCTTGGAATACCTGTCCCTGCCACTCACAAACTTGGTGACCTTGGGCAGGTTTCTTAGCCTCTTTTTTTCCATGTGGATACCCACTTGTTCCTGCACCATTTGATGAAAACACAATTCCCCCTTGAATTGTTTTCCTGTATCTGTCGAAAATTGATTGATCATATAAGTGTGGTTCTCCTTCTGAAATTTCTACTCTGTTCCGATGACTTATTTGTTTATCCTTGTGCCAATTCCACAGTCTTGATTATTGTAAGGCACTAAATCAGGTAATATAAGTCTTATAGCTTTGCTCTTAACTTTTGAAAATTATTTTTGCTATTCTAGATCCTTTGTATTTCCACATACATTTTTTTTTTTCACTCTCATCACCCAGACTGGATGGAGTGCAATGGCACAATCTCAGCTCACTGCAACCTACACCTCCCGGGTTCAGAGTAGCTGGGATTACAGGCCCCCACCACCACACTTGGCTAATTTTCATATTTTTAGTAGAGAGGGGGTTTCACCATGTTGGCCAGGCTGGTCTCAAACTCCGGACCTCAGGTGATCCGCCCACCTCGGCCTCCCAAAGTGCTGGGATTACAGGCATGAGCCACCATGCCCGGCCCCACACACAATTTAAAATCAGCTTGTTGACCAAGTGATCAAATTAAAACATCTCCATAATAAATCATGTTGACAGCATGTACCCCCGGTGTGATGTGATGAAAAGGGCATGTTGCCACTGTGGCATTCTTCCACAAAATCCATAACCATAGTCCAAGCATGGGAAAAACATCAGGTAAACCCAAACTGAGGGACATTCTACATAATGCCTGACCAGTACTCCTCAAAACTGACAAGCTCATAAAAAAAAAAAAAAAAAAAGGAAAGATTGAGAAATTGTCACAGACTCAAGTAAACTAAGGAGACATGACAATTAAACGCAGTATAGTATCCTGGACTGGATCCTAGAACAGAAAAAGGGCACTGGGGAAGAATTAGTGAAATCCAAATAAAACAGTAAGGTGCCAGTGTTGATTTCTTACTTTTGACAAACATATTATGGTAATGTAAAATGCTATCTTTATGGAAAATTGAGTGAGTATACAGAAACTCATTGTATTATTTTTGCAACTTTTCTGTAAATCTAAAATTATTACAAAAAAAGTTATTATTTTTTGCTGGGCACTGTGGCTCATTCCTGTAATCCCAGCACTTTGGAGGCTGAGGCACAAGGATTGCTTGAGCTCAGGAGTTCAAGACCAACCTCGACAACATAGCAAGACCTCATCTCTTTTTTTTTGAGACGAGTCTCACTCTGTCACCCAGGCTGGAGTGCAGTGGCATGATCTAGGCTCAGTACAACCTCCGCCTCCCGGGTTCAAGCAATTCTCCTGACTCAGCCTCCTGAGTAGCTGGGATTACAGGTGCCCACGACCATGCCCAGCTAATTTCTTTGTATTTTTAGTAGAGACAGGGTTTCACCATGTTGGCCAGGCTGGTCTTGGACTCCTGACCTCAGGAGATCCGCCTACCTCGGCCTTCCAAAATGCTGAGATTACAAGCGTGAGCCACTGTGCCTGGCCTGCAAGACCTCATCTCTTTAAAAAAATGTAAAAATTAGCTGGGCATGGTGGTGGGCACCTATAGTCTCAGCTGCCTGGGAGGCTGAGGCAGGAGGATTGCTTGAACCCAGGAGTTGGAGGCTACAGTGAGCTATGATTGTGCCACTGCACTGCAGCCCGGGTGGCAGAGTGAGACCCTGTTTCTAGAAGAAAAAAAAAAAAATCAGCTTCTTAATTTTACAAAAGTGCTTATAGATGAATTTACAGAAAAAAGACACCTTAAAAACCTTACATTTCATGAACCATTTACTTCAGTTTAATTTGTAGTTTTCAATGTAGACATCTTTAGCATCTTTTATTAAATTTATTTCTAAATGTTTCGTTTTTTAATGCCCCTATAAATGAAATTATTTCATTTTCCAATTGTTTGCTGCCAGTCTAGATAAATATAATTGATTTTGTACATTGACTTACTATCTTATACCTTGCCAAATTCACTTATAGTTCCTGTAATTATTTTATGGATTTCTTAGAATTATCTATGTAATAAATATGTCGTCTGCTAATAGAGACAGCTTTGCTTCCACCTTTCTTCCCAATCTGTATGCCTCTTTTTTCCTTGCCTTGTTGCACTGGCTAGGACTTTCAGTACAGTGTTGAATAGAAATGGTGAAGTTAGCATCCCTGTCTTGTTCCTAATCTTAGGAGGAAAGCATTCAGTCTTTCACAATTTAATATAATTTTTCAGTAGATGTCTTTTATCAGCTTGAGGATCTTGAGGATCTAGTTTCCTGAGTTTGTTTTATTTTTATTTTGTTTTTATTAAGAAAGGGTGTTGAATCCTGTTGAATATTTTTTCTTTTCTTTTCTTTTCTTTTTTTTTTTTTTTTTTTTTGGTTGTTGTTGTTGTTGTTGAGACAGGGTTTTGCTCTGTGGCCCAGGCTGAAGTGCAGTGGCACGATCACAGCTCACTGCAGTCTCAACCTCCCGGGCTTGCAAGCAATCCTTCCACCTCAACCTCCCAAGTAGCTGAGACCACAGGCTCCCACCATCACACCCGGCTAATTTTTGTATTTTTTGTAGAGACAGGGTTTTGCCGTGTCGCCCAGGCTGGTCTCAAACTCCTGAGCTCATGTGATACACCCACCTCAGCCTCCCAAAGTGCTAGGATTACAGGCATAAGCCACTGTGCCTGGCCTGTTGAATATGTTTTATACATCTATCAG
This sequence comes from Homo sapiens, assembly GCF_000001405.40. NCBI lineage: Eukaryota > Metazoa > Chordata > Mammalia > Primates > Hominidae > Homo > Homo sapiens. The sequence goes on along the minus strand of NC_000016.10, from coordinate 69,419,029 downwards.
AATGATCATATTATTTTCCTCCTTTATTCCGTTAATATGGTGAATTACACTGAATGGTTTTCAAAAACTTAACCATCTGGCCGGGCGTGGTGGCTCATACCTGTAATCCCAGCACTTTGGGAGGCCGAGGCGGGCAGATCATGAGGTCAGGAGATTGAGACCATCCTGACTAACACGGTGAAACCCCGTCTCTACTAAAAATACAAAAAATTAGCCAGGCATGGTGGCACGCACCTGTAGTCCCAGCTACTTGGGAGGCTGAGGCATGAGAATCGCTTGAACCCGAGAGGCGGAGGTTGCAGTGAGCCGAGATTGCACCACTGTGCTCCAGACTGGGCGACAGAGCAAGACTTCATCTCAAAAAAAAAAAAAAAAAAAAAAAACTTAACAATCTTTGCATTCCTGAGATAAATCCCACTTTGGTTATGATGCTAATCTTGTTTATTGAATTCAATTTGCTAATATTTTAAAAGGATCTTTGCATTTATATTCATGAAGAATATTGGTCTGTAATTTTCTGTTCTTGAAGGTCTTTGATAGTTTTTTCAAGCTCTTTGACAAATATTTACTGGGTAGCTACAGTAAAGCATTGTGGTGACATGAGAATTAAACAAAATTCTTAGCACACTGCCTATCACAGAGAGTCCCCAGTAAATGCTAGCTATTTTGGGGGTTATTATTTCTAGATGCTGAAAAATGAAACCCAGTTCTTGAGGAAATTTACAAGGAAGATGGCACTTACCATATAAAACAAGTTTAACATGAACATTTTACTATTGCTGTTTTTACAAGTTAGAAAATTCTCTCCCCAGGCTGGATGACAATCAGTGTGAATTCTGTAATTTACCTCAGATAACAGTACCTTAGCGTGTGAGACACTGCTCCACCAGGGTTGTTATTTACCTTGCAAGCTCATTTTATTGCTTTTGTATAAACAGGAAATGGTCAAGGCAAACACTGTGCATGCTCCTTGAGAACAGAGCAAGAAGCGAGGATGCTGTCCCAGTTTTTGCAGCCATCGGGCATGCCCTGTGTTCTCATACCCTTTTGAGGCGGCAGCGGGAAGGAATGTTCCCTTTTCCTCTTCCAGGAATGAAATACAATGAGGTGGCCCTCCAATCTGTTCTTGCCCTTCTCAAGATATTATGTTCCCTGGCAACCTACTCTTTGCTCCTGCCAGAGGGAAGACAAACTTCTAAAGCTGTCACACTCCAACACTCTTTCCCTTCCCAAGGCCAGGCTTGAGTCATCCAGTGTTTGGGAAGCTTCAGGAAGTCCTTGCAAAGTTAGGAACCTATATCCTCCAGGGGACAGCCTCAGGGGTGTTTGGTTGTCAGCATTCTGGAGTAGATCCCACCCCCAAGTCAGCCAGATCTTCCCGGCCCGTTAGGTGGCCTCTTCTGGAGTTTCATCCAAGACCATCCTGTCAGTCTTATCCAGTGAGGTCCAACCCCCACCAGCCCAGCCCAGCTTCTAGGAGTGAAAGAAACTATAGGCTGATGCAAAACAGCCATTGGCAAGAATGCTTTCCACCCTGGGTTGCTTTTCCTGGCTTCAGAACAGTCGCTGTTCTTCCTTCCAGTGTTTGCTAGCTTATTTTTAATAGGTAATAAATACAATTCACTTTTATTTATCCCTTCCACAGCCCTTCCCTTTTTATACAAAGCATAGCTTATTATAGATAAACTTAATTGTTTTATTTGTTGCTTTATTCGCTTAAAATTTTTCTTCAAGTTCATTCAATATCTTTATTTATTTATTTATTTATTTACCGAGACAGAGTCTCGCCCTGTCACCCAGGTTGGAGTGCAGTGGCACGATCTTGGCTCACTGCAACCTCCACCTCCCAGGTTCAAGTGATTCTCCTGCCTCAGCCTCCCAAGTAGCAGGGATTACAGACACAGGCCACCATGCCCGGCTAATTTTTGTAATTTTAGTAGAGACGGGATTTCACCATGTTGGCCAGGCTGATCTCTAACTCCTTGCCTCAAGTGACCTGCCTGCCTTGGCCTCCCAAAGTGCTGGGATTACAGGCTCAATATCATTTTATTCTTTTATTATTTTAATTTATTATTATATATATTTTTTTGAGACAGAGTCTCTGTCGCTAAGGCTGAGTGCAGTGGCGCAATCTCAGCTCACTGCAACCTTGGCCCCCCAGGTTCAAACAATTCTCCCGCCCCAGCCTCCAAGTAGCTGGGATTATAGGCACACTCCACCACACCCACCTAATTTTCGTATTTTTAGTAGAGATGGCATTTCACCATGTTGGCCAGGATGGTCTCAAACTCCTGACCTCACCATGTTGGCCAGCCTGGGTGACAGAGCAAAACTCCAACTCAAAAAGAAAGAAAAAAACTGGCCCACAAATATTCATAGTAGCATTATTTGTAATAGCCAAAAAGTGGAAACAATCTAAATGTCCATCAATTAATGCATGGATAAATAAAATATGGTTGTATCCTTAAAATGGAATAGTATTCAGCAACAAAAATAGCATGCTAAAACATGGTGAAAACATCATGCTAAGTGAAAGAAGCCAGTCACAAAAGATCACATTCTATATGATTTTATTTATAGGAAATTTCTAAAAGGGGCACATCTCCAGAAAAAGAAAGTAGATTTAGTGGTTGCCTAGGACTGAAAGAGTTGGGGGGAAATGGGGAGTGACTGCTAATGGGTAAGAGTTTTCTTTTGGGAAAGATAAATATGTTCTAAAATTAAATTGAATCTCATAAATTTGCATAATTATTATGTATCAAAAATAATAAAATAAAATTAGATTGTAATAATGATTGCACAACCCTGTGACTATACTAAAAAAAATTCAGTTTTACAAGATAAATGGTAAATTGTATGGTATGTGAGTTATATCTCAATAAAGCTGTTAAAATCACAAACGAAACCTAGATATAGTGTTAGAAGTCTGGATTCAGTGTTGCAGAAAAGTCATGAAGGGGAGGAGGGAGAGTGATTTAAAAATATTGAAAGGCTGCAACCCCTGTCAGGTGCAGAGCCAATGAGTAAATGGATGTAAAAAGACTTTAAAATTGTGAAGCTCTTTACAATATAAGGGATTCTTTTTACTTTTTTTATTCTTTTTTTTTTTTCTTTCTTTTAAATGGGTTCTTGCTGTGTTGCCCAGGCTGGAGTGCAATGCCAAGATCTCAGCTCACTGCAACCTCTGCCTCCTGGGTTCAAGCGATTCTCCAGCCTTAGCCTCCTGAGTCGCTGGGACTACAGGCATGCCCCACCATGCCCAGCTAATTTTTGTATTTTTAGTAGAGACAGAATTTCACCATGTTGGCCAGGATGGTCTCGATCTCTTGACCTCATGATCCGCCCGCCTCAGCCTCCCAAAGTGCTGGGATTACAGGCATGAGCCACTGCACCCAGCTCTTTTTGTTTTTTTGAGATAGGGTCTCACTCTCTTGCCCTGGAGTGCAGTGGCATGGTCATAGCTCACTGCAACCTCGAACTCCTGGGTTCAAGTTATTCTTCTGCCTCAGCCTCCCAAGTAGCTGGGTCTACAGGCATGTGCCACCATGCCCGGCTAATTTATTTTATTTTTAGAAGAGACATGTTCTCCCTATGTTGCCCAGGCTGGTCTCAAACTTCTAGGCTCAAGCAATCCTCCTGCCTCGGCCTTCCAAAGTGCTGGGATTACAGGCATGAGCCACAGCGCCTGGCCAGATTCTTTTTGTTAAAGATAATCTAACACATAGATTACATGACTGTCACTGTCTTTACTACAGTCTGCTGGGCAAAGGCCACTTCGATAAGTCATAATCTTTCTATAAACACAAAGGTTCCTGTAGGTTGGTTTTGCCCTCCAAATGCACCAATTGCCTTTGGCCAATTGCCTTTTTTCTAGTCTGTTGAGGATGAAGAGCAAGGCACAGAATCCTCCATGGTGATTAAATTAACTTTTACTGGTTTTCGTTTTTGTTTTTTTTTTTTTTTGAGACAGAGTCTCACACTGTCACCCAGGCTAGAGTGCAATGGCTCAGTCTCAGCTCACTGCAACCTCTGCCTCCCAGGCTCAAGCGGATCTTTATCCTGCCTCAGCCTCCCGAGTAGCTGGAACTACAGGCACACGCCACCATGCCTGGCTAACTTTTGTATTTTTAGCAGAGATGGGGTTTCACCATGTTGGCCAGGCTGGTCTCTAACTCCTGACCTCAGGTGATCCTCCTGCCTCAGCCTCCCAAAGTGCTGGGATTACAGGCATGAGCCACCACACCTGGTCATTTACTGTACTTTTTAAATCAGCTTTATTAAGATATCCTTTTTTGGCCGGGCTAGGTGGCTTACGCCTGTAATCCCAGCACTTTGGGAGGCTGAGGCAGGTGGATCACCTGAGGTCAGGAGTTCGAGACCAGCCTGACCAACATGGCAAAACCCCGTCTCTACTAAATACAAAAAATTAGGCTGGGTGTGGTCGCTTACATCTGTAATCCCAACACTTTGAGAGGCCGAGGCGGGTGGATCACAAGGTCAGGAGTTCGAGACCAGCCTGGCCAATAGGGTGAAACCCCATCTCTACTAAAAATACAAAAGTTAGCTGGGTGTGTTGGCATACGCCTGTAATCCCAGCTACTTGGGAGGCTGTGACAGGAGAATCGCTTGAACCCGGGAGGCAGAGGTTGCAGTGAGCTGAGATAATGCCACTGCACTCCAGCCTGGGCGACAGAGTGAGACTCCGCCTCAGAAATAAATAAATAAATAAATAAATAAAACTCCACAGCTGGCCATAATTACCCTTAAAACTAGGGGTAAGGGGTGGTGGTAAAAGTTGGAGGCAGGCCAGGTGCGGTGGCCCACGCCTGTAATCCCAGCACTTTGGGAGGCTAAGGTGGGCAGATCACCTGAGATTGGGAATTCGAGACCAGCCTGACCAACATGGTGAAACCCCATCTCTACTAAAAATACAAAATTAGCCCAGTGTGGTGGCGCATCCCTATAATCCCAGCTACTCAGGAGGCTGAGGAGGGAGAATCGCTTGAACCCGGGAGGCGGAGGTCGCGGTGAGCCAAGATCGCGCCACTGCACTCCAGCCTGGGCAACAAGAGCGAAACTCCATCTCAAAAAAAAAAAAAAAAAAAAAAAGTTAGAGGCAGTATGTTATACCGCCACCAGGCTTTTAGAGATCATTTCCTGAGAGCCCCTTAAGGCAATGGATCCTTCAAGCCAGTCACATGGGCTTTGTATGTACTATGTCAAGCAGAATCTGCATCAGGTCCTCATAGAAAAGGGAAAATAAGCTAGGACCTCCCCTTTAGTTCTTTCTCCTCTTCCTTTAAATAAAACAAGGAGCTGGGCATAGTGGCTCATGCCTGTAATCCCAGCAGTTTGGGAGGCCAAGGCAGGAAGATCACCTGAGCTCAGGAGCTCGAGACCAGTCTGGGCAACATAGAGAGATCCCATCTCTTCAAACATTTTTTAAGTTAGCTGAGTGTGGTGGCACACGCCAGTGGTCCCAGCTCTTTGGGGAGCTGTGGCAGAAGGATTGCTTGAGCCCAAGAGGTTGAGGCTGCAGTAAGCCATGTTCATGACACTGCACTCCAGCCTGGGCAACAGAGCAAGACCTTGTCTCAAAACAAAAAAAACAAAAAACAAAGCAAGGTTTTGTGAACACTGGCCTTGAGTGCACAGAGCGCCTACCTTCCTTTCCCAGGAGCAAAACACTGAGTGGTTTTTGTAACCTTGGCCTCCCAAAGTTCTGGGATTACAGACATGAGCCACTGTGCCTGGCTGTTAACAGTCTACACATTTAACCTTCTGCACGGTCAGATCCAAAGGGGAAAAACCTCATGAGTTGTGATGAGTTGTTTGGGGAAGTGGCACGGGCAGACCACTCACTGTAGAGGGCCCAGCATATCACAGAGGACTGAAAGGGCCAAGGCGAGGGAGAGGTTGGGGGGAAATGTGTTACACACCAATGGCCCAACTCTGGTGAGCCTACGCCTCTTCTGGTACCACCAGCAGGAAGGCACCATCCTTTCCCTGCAAATAATGTTTTAGAAATTTCCTGGCTGGTGTGGTGGCTCACTCCTGTAATCCCAGCACTTTGGGAGGCTGGGGCAGGAGGATCACTTGAGGCCAGGAGTTCAAGACCAGCCTGGGCAACACGATGAGACCCCCGTCACTACCAAAAAAAAAATTCAAAAATTAGCTAGGCGTGGTGGCAGTTGCCTGTGGTCCCAGCTACTCAGGAGGCTGAGGCAGGAGGATTGCTTGAGATCACTTCAACCCAGGAGGTTGAGGCTGCAGTGAGCTGTGTTCATGCCTCTGCACTCCAGCCTGAGCAACACAGCAAGACTCTGTCTTTAAAAAAAAAAAAAAAAAAAAAAAGGGAAAGAAAAAGAAATTAATTTCTGGAGCTCACTCCCGCCTCCAGTCCACTCGGGCATCTTGTGTTTGGAGTCAAGGTTGTAGCAGGCCCCACCCCGCTCTGGAGCACAGATCCTCTTCAGTGCTTCCAGACCGCTGAAGCCCACACGCATGGAGCACATACCATTAGTGAGCACAATGGCACCTGCAGCCCTGCGCAACAGCTTCATAGCCTTTTGTTTGAAATGCTGCCATAATGACGTTCACATTATTGTAAGGCTGATGATTCAGATATGGCCTTGTCTTCTTTCCAACGCACGCAACTCGTGTTTTTCATTTTAGGTTCCAGGGAGGGCTAGAAACTTTCCCCTCTTCCCTCCTGAGGAAGAAAGTAAGCTTCGCGGTCTTTTCAGGATTTCTGAGGTTCACCTTATTCTCTAGTGTCCATGTTTTATACTTTGTCACTGGGAGAAAAGTTCGGAAACAAAAGGGAATGAAATCCACCACCACTTTCTTCTCAATAGAAAAACAACTTTGGGATTCGTTTATTTTGCCACCACTGTCAACGTGCAGAGTTTTAGAAAATCATAGAAAATGTGAAGCCTTGTTTCCTTTTTCTCACTCTCTCCTCTCACCCTCCTCCAAAAAAAACACAATTTTTTATTTTCCTCTCAGAAAATGCCAACCAGACCTCAAGGTAGGAAGACCAAACAGAATCAGTCATGTCGCTCCTTTTCTTCCATTTCTTTCAAACTTCCATGACACCAATTTAAGAGAGAAGGCCTGGGTGGTAGATAAAAATGCAGTATTCGAGCAGCTATCAAGGGGTGTTGGGATGGTGAGCCACGCTGGGGCCTCAGCGACAGCCCCCCATCCCTTGAGTGCGGTGGAGCCCCACGGGGCTCTGGCCAAGGTGGGCACAGCTCCTTCAGAAAGTGAGGACACCTGCCCCCTTACACAGAGCCTGACATCAGCGGCTGTCACTAGCCAGCATATGCATCCCCAGGGTGGCTTAATTTATTTTCTTTTCTTTTTCCTTTTTTTTGAGATGGAGTTTTGCTCTTGTTGCCCAGGCTGGCGTGCAATGGCACGATCTCAGTTCACCGCAACCTCCGCCTCCCAGTTCAAGCGATTCTCCTGCCTCAGCCTCCTGAGTAGCTGGGATTACAGGCATGCACCACCATGCCTGGGTTTCACCATGTTGGTCAGGCTGGTCTCAAATTCCTGACCTCAGGTGATCCACTCACCTCGGCCTCCCAAAGTGCTGTGATGACAGGCATGAGCCACCACGCCCGGCCTCAGGATGGCTTAATTTCTATATGTCAAGCACAAGCCTGTCTTGGAGGATTTTCCCTCTGCAGGAATGGTCTCCCCAACCCCTGCTTCACATACAGATCTTATTCTGATGTCAGTTTAAATGTCACCGTCTTCCTAAGATCAAGGCTTGCCACTTCCTCCTAAGTGGTTACCCAGTGTCTCTCTAACACATCATTCTGTCTTCTTTTCTCTCCATTTGCTCATGGCTACATGACACTTTATTTTTTTCTTTTCTTTTTTTTTTTTTCGAGATGGAGTCTCACTCTGTTGCCCAGGCTAGAGTGCAGTGGCGCAATCTCAGTTCACTGCAAGCTCTGCCTCCCGGGTTCAAGCGATTCTCCTGCCTCAGCCTCCCAAGCATCTGGGATTACAGGTGCCCACCACCACACCCAGC